>NC_000006.12:46726666-47029696 GCF_000001405.40 Homo sapiens | reverse complement strand
ATTTTTTTGATGCAAAATAACCTGGGTATAAGTGATTAATCTTGTGACCAGGTCTATGTACTGAGTTTTATCTAAATTATTTGAGATAACCATAAACTCGAGGACATCTTTTTGCTAATTATATCTACTATGAAAAAGGAAATTTTCTGGATTGATTCATTATTATTTATATGCTTAAACACTCAAATTATATCCTGGTATTAATGGTTTACAGAGTCTTTGGTTATTTTAATGTTTTTCTTTCCTGAAATGAAAAGGAAACCTCAGTGAAATATAAAAGACTGATGTTAAATGCACCTAATTGCAATGTTAAGCAAGTCACGATTAAAAAAAAAAAACCTGTGTTTAGTCAGATACCATCACTTGGAAGAGAGCTCTAGAGCAGTTTTCTAGTAAGTTTGTAATGATGGAAATTTACTACATCTGCAATGGGAGCAGAAGTCATGATGTCACAGGTTCCGTGGAGTGGAAACATAAACACCCAGGGGTTCGGATCAGCTCAGTGAGGCCTTACCACTTTGTGCATTTTTACATTTTGGCTTGAATTTCTTGTTTTTGTGCCTCTACCTTACCTGGTACCCTGCTTGTTTAGTCACAGACTATGCACCCGACTGCTGCTGTTCAGTCCAGGGAAAATGAAAGTTGGAGTGCTGTGGCTCATTTCTTTCTTCACCTTCACTGACGGCCACGGTGGCTTCCTGGGGGTGAGTTGGTGCTATGTCTCATATCTCTTCTCAACTAACTCTCCTCTCTCGTTCCGGCACTTTTAGAACCCCTCACTCTCTAGGGGACTGCAACTGCATAATTTAATGTACTTGAGATCAGAAGTCCTGAGTTCTCGTTTCAACATTACCAACATTCACTGTGTGGCCTTGGATAAGTAAGTCATTTCATCTCTTCGGAGCTTAGATGATCAAACTGCAAAAGGAGGATCTTTGATTAAACTATCTTAGAGATCTTTTCCAGTTCAACACATGCTGTACTATGGCTTCTCGGATGCAGAAAAATCACATGGATGGACATTAGCAATCCTTAGACACTGTCTTTCCTGTCTACACTCGCTTGAGTGATGCTTTCATCTAGGATCATGGTTTTAATATTCTCTACATGCTGATGACTCCCAGCTGTATAGCTCCATCTCAGACCTCTCCCCTGTCCACACTCACATATCCATTACCTACGTGTTATTTCCAGCTGGGAATCCAGCGGACCTCGGAACTTCATTTGTTCAAAATCGAACCCAATCCTTCTTGCCTATCTCAGCAAGTGGTATCACTATCTTTCCAGCTACTTAGGCAAAAAAACCTTAAGAATCATGCTTGACTCTTCTCACATTCCATATCTAAACCACTGGCATTACTTTTAAAGCTTTACCTTTAAAATATATCCAGAATTCAAAAATTTCTCACTACTTCCGTGGCTGCTACCTTGATCCACACCTTCATTGTCTCTTGCCTGCATGATTTCAACAACCCCAGAAATGCACGCATTGCTTCTGTGCTTCTCTGTTCTCAATGGGGCTTCAGGATTGAGCCTGCTACAAAGTAAGTTACAGCATGTTTTTCCCCTGTTCAAAGCTACCCAGCAGTTTCTCATCTCGCTCAAGGAAAAGGTAAAACCCTTTCCATGGCCTATAAAGGTCTGCACAACCTGCCTCCCCAGAGACCCTCTGACCCCACCTCCTGTGCCTCTCCTCTCACTCTCCTCTCTCAGCGGCTCTGGTGTCCTCATTCTGCCTTTACCTGCCAGGCATATTCTTACTCTTCAGGTGTTTGCTTAAAAGTTGCTCCAGTGAGGCCTTCCCTGGCCGCCTCTCCACCATCCCTGGCTTGGATTTTAGATTCATGATTTTAATTCATCTGGGAAACTCAGCAAGGCCTTATGAAGCACAACTCTTCAAAGTCTCACCGTAACTATTTTTTTTCTTTTTAACAGAAAAATGATGGCATCAAAACAAAAAAAGAACTCATTGTGAATAAGAAAAAACATCTAGGTGAGGCTCTGTTAGACAGCATGGTGCAGTGGATTTTGGTGTCAAGGGACCAGGTTTCTAATCCCAGCGGTGCCCCTGACTGGTTGTATGATCCTAGGCACATTATTAAACATCCAAATATGTACAAGGAGAATGACAGTAATTCCTATGAGCAAGACGTTTGTGAAGATTAAATAATATCATGAGAGCACAGTGTCTTACATCAGACCTGGCAAGTAGCTGTTCACACACGCCCTTTTCTTCTGTGCCTTGATTCTAACAATGTAATTAATGGCCATAGCCCCAGTCCAGAAATGAGTTGTGTTCTGAAATTTAGTTTGTGGTTCTGATGTTTCTAGTGCTGAACACATTTCCTCACAGAAACAGTGATGCACATGTGGTTGTTAGGTTCCCGGGTCAGTCTACAATAGCTTTTATACCATGCAATAAATCTGCCATACAGCAATGTGCTAATAGTACCATAGCACCTATCACTGTGCAAGGCTATACTTCTTTGGGAAAATGAAATCAAAATTTCAACTTGGAATGACATGAATACAATTTCCCTGACAGTAAAAATAACAATAAAAATATAGCAACTATTGTTGGGATGTTACTATGTGGCAGGACTATTTGAAGTGCATTAGATGAATTAAACCCTCACACTGACCCTCTGAGTCTGGTACAGTGGTCATCTTTATTTTACAGATAGTGAAACTAAGGCACAGAACTAGGGGCAGGGACCAGGATTCAAATCCAGTCAATCTGGCTCCAGAACCAGTGCCATTAACCCCTGACGATGTGAGCAGGGCCATCCTTTTCCCTGTTCCCCACTGCACACCTGCGTGGACGAGAAGTGGGTCTTGTCTCAGGTCCCACCACTCAGAGGGGACTTCCAATGCCTGGGGAAGAGGCTCCAGTCCGTAAGGAGATGGGGAGACTAAGAGATGGGAGTGGGGTGCAATGGTGTGAGATGTCAGGTCTTTCATAGGTGAGCTTCGGGGGACCTTGAAGCCCCTGGGAATTTCATGTCAAGTTTTATGTGAATGGGCTTAAGTGAATTTTGGATGGGAGAAGACTCATAGGATTCCTCTCCTTTCCCTGTCAAAATCAGTTAATGGCTTCTCTGTGGGGAAAGAAAAGGTGCTGTGCAGAAATGATGAGCTGGAGGTGAGGGTGCATCAAGCCTCAAGGGAAGATTTAGTTTGTTTTGCTTTTGGATTTCATATAAATACCCACACGCAGCTAACGAATGGAATATTTTCACAGGAGAAGAAAGGGCTCTTTGTAAGTGTGAGATTGAGGGGTCTTATACTGGAGATACTTCAAGGAGATCAGAGCTGGGGGCGGGGGAGGGAAGGTTGACTTGGATTTCCTCACCTCTTCCCCCTTCAGTCTTGACACCTGAAGCTTGACTCTGGGTGTGCCCTGAGGAAGTGTATAACATTGGGAGAGTGATTCTGGGGAGGGACAGACAGCACTGGGGCAGCTGGCCTGGCAGAAGTGAGAGGACAGACGTATATTTGGCGTGTGTGGGAACCATTTGCTTGTGTTTACCCTCAGTGTTCATTGTTAGTCCATGTTTGGATGAGAGGAACTCAGGAACAAGCAGCATGGTAGAGTCCCTGACCTAAATTTGATGATTGTTTCTCAGTCACTTCCTCAGCAATATTTTCCCCAAGGACAGAAAAAAAGGTTTCTGACTCTCTTTCTCTCTTTAGGCCCAGTCGAAGAATATCAGCTGCTGCTTCAGGTGACCTATAGAGATTCCAAGGAGAAAAGAGATTTGAGAAATTTTCTGAAGCTCTTGAAGCCTCCATTATTATGGTCACATGGGCTAATTAGAATTATCAGAGCAAAGGCTACCACAGGTAAGGTGGCTCTCGGTGACTGGATGTATAAATGGGGAAGGCGGGTATATCAGTCAGGCTAGGTTGGGTTATGCTGTGGAAACAATCATCCCTACAATCTCTGTGATTTAAAAGAATAAATGCTTTATATCTTCTTCATGCTACATGTCCATTGCAGATTGGCAGAGGGCTGTATTTGTTGCCACCAGTACCCAGTGATGTATCAGACCCTATCTCATATGTACCCATGCTGAGCAAAAAATAGATGAAACACTGGAGGGTTTTCCACGGGCAATTAAATTCTCTAACTCAGAAGTGACCGCAGTAACTCTGCCAACAACTTTTTGGCTAGAACTGGCTCCATGGCCCCACTTAACTTCAGGGGACTAGGATATGCAATCCTGTGTACCTGGAAGACAGCAAGAAATATTTGGCAAACAACATTAATAAGCACAAAGGTGGGATTCAGAGAAGTTAAATTATTGATCTAAAGCAGTGATTCTTAAAGCATGGTCCCCAGGCCAGCAGCAGCAGCATTAGGGAACTTAGCAAAAATGCAAATTCTTCATTTGTCTTGACTTAAGAGGATCAGAAACTCCAGGGTGAGATCTTCCAGGTGATTCTGTGTCGCAATAAAGCTTGAGACCCATTCACTGCACACCATGGGTATTTTCACAAAGGTGTCTGGTGACTTTGCCCTGGTTCTTGATCTACTGAAAGAAAAAAAAAGACGACTTCGGTGGGAATTTCAGGTGTAATAGAAGGGGGCAGGCATATAGGATTGCTACTAGAGAAACTTTTCATCATGACTTTCCCCAAAAATGTTTCTCTGCCTTTGTCATCTTGCTTATAAGGCCTACTTGGGAGTGGTAGCAGGTGGATAGAAAGGAGCCTCCAATGAGATGGTGGTCAAATACGCTCTAGAATCCTTTAAACAACTCTCCTGTTACAAGTGTCCTCTTCTGCTTCTCTCTTCCATTGCAGTGGCTATGTATGGGGTATACATCCTTCTTTTGCATGCTAATCCCAGCCATTGTAGCTTTATGTTTGTTAGCTTTCTGATACCAACCTCAGAATTTATTGAGTTGGACATTTTCTTACCTTGACTATATTGCTGTCCTGGTTTCATCCTTCTAGCTTTTGGTGAGAAATATTAACCATTATTTTACTTTTAATGGCAAAAATTGCTATTACTTTTGCACCAACCAAATCCTTGGTCCAGATTCCATGTGAGAGCTAAGGATCACAAATCACTACTCAGGGTCAGGCGCGGTGGCTCACGCCTGTAATCCCAGCACTTTGGGAGGCCAAGGCGGGCAGATCACTTGAGCTCAGGAGTTCAAGACCAGCCTGGCCAACATGGCAAAATACTGTCTCTACTGAAAATACAAAAACTAGCCAGGGTGATGGTGCGTGCCTGTAATCCCAGCTACTCAGGTGGCTGACGCACAAGATTCACCTGAACCCAGGAGGCAGAGGTTGCAGTGAGCTGAGATCATGCCACTGTATTCTAGCCTAGGCAACAAAACAAAACAAAACTCATAGAAGATGTAGGAAGTTAATCTGAAAAATAAACATATATAAAATAAAATCACTGCTCAGCAGTAGTCAGTTTATAAACCAGAATCCATGAGACTGAGTTCTATTTCTTGTGCAGACTGCAACAGCCTGAATGGAGTCCTGCAGTGTACCTGTGAAGACAGCTACACCTGGTTTCCTCCCTCATGCCTTGATCCCCAGAACTGCTACCTTCACACGGCTGGAGCACTCCCAAGCTGTGAATGTCATCTCAACAACCTCAGCCAGAGTGTCAATTTCTGTGAGAGAACAAGTAAGCAACTAAGAATGCTCTGGGCTGGGGCTTCTCCCACCCCAACATGCAACAGAGAGGGGACGCTTGCTCATTGTCTAGCTAGTCAATGTTTGTTTACAGGGAGATTGAGGGACAGTGATGATACATCATGTTAGGCCTGTCTGGACCCAGTGAGAACTTTCATAGTACAGAAGATCCAGAAACACATGGTGACATGTGAAGGTCACTTCAACCTTTAGGTCCATCCAGCTCAGCTCTGCAATCATATGATTTTATTGAGATTGAGGAAGAGTTGCTAAAATTCCAAAAAGAGGAACTGCTTGAGTAAGCAACATTTGTCTTCCTACTCTCTTTTCACGTCTTTTGCCAACATCAATTTCAAGAAAAGGGGAGTCTAGAGATATGAATGCAGGGAGGAATATATAGTGAATGATTCCATTAAAAGAAATCTCTCAATTGTCAACAAATATGTGTACTGAATGCCTTGTTAAAACAGAACAAAAGCTAAAAGTCTAGCTTAGGAAACCAATGGAAGCTGAGGGAGCTATGGTTAACTTAGATTTATGTTCAATGAAAGGTGAGATGAGCCAAATGACATGGACTCCAGGACATAAAGGACTTTACTAAGCTCCTGCAATGATTACTCCAGTTAACTGGAAGCCCCAGATATTGGTGGAACTGAGCAAAGAGTGAGCCTGAAATAGCCCAGCTTAATTGGGAATACTGGCTCTCCTTCCTGGGACTACAGCAATTCAGGTTATGGCAACACATTACTTATTAAGCACCATCTTTTCACCCAGATCAGGGGCAAATTCTAGGAGGACACACAGAAGAATTTCTCTTGCTGTCTATGAATTAGGAGACTAGTTGTAGAGGCCAGACTGTAATACAAGAAAGAAAATAATGTAATTTCTTCAATGAATGTTGATGAAAGCCTATGTTTTGAAAGATGGGCACAGTGGCTTACACTTGTAATCCTAGCAATTTGGAAGCCTAAGGCGGGCTGATTGCTTGAGCTCAGGAGGAGTTCGAGACCAGCTTGGGCAACATGGCAAAAATGCATCTCTACAAAAAATACAAAAATTAGCTATTTACAGGTGTGGTGGTGTGTGCCTGTAGTACCAGCTACTTGGGGGGCTGAGGGAAGAGGATTGCTTGAACCCAGAAGACTGAGGCTGCAGTGAGCCAAGATCGTGCCACTGCACACTAGCCTAGGTGACAAAAGTGAGACCCTGACTAAAAAAAAAAAAAAAAAAAGAAAAAAGAAAAGAAAGAAAGGAAAGAAAAAGGTGGTCCATGTCTAATCCATCTTTGAAAGATACAAAACTGGATCAGACAGGGATGACACTTATGAGGAGCTTCCCACAGTACCGTGGAGATGTGCATAGATGAGACATACACAAATCAATGTTTAGGAATATGTAAGAGGATGGGAGGCAGATAGGGATAAAGTACTGTAGGAATTTAGAGGAGAGAAAGACTCTGCATCTGAGGATTAGAGAAGACCTTGTGGAAGAGATGATATTTGACTAGGTCCTGAATGAAGGATAAATAGAATTTGTCCACACAGAGAATTGTCCCATTGCAGAGAAGTACTGGCAATGGGTAAGTAAGGAATGTGTTGGAGTTAGCAAGTAGTGTTGCTGTTACGGTCATCGTTTAATTTTTAATAGGGACAATGCTTAAGCTTATTGCCCAGATGAAGATACATTTCAGAGTTCAGTGAATGCCTTCTTTAGTGACACATGAGAGGCCACGCATTTACCTACTTTTAAGGTTGCCTTGATTACCAGCACTTCCCTATTACTGCTCCAAATCTGCAGTCAGAAACTCTGCTTTTATGTATGCATCCTGTGTTATTTTAGGTGAACATTTCTTATGAAAAAAATTTGAAACATCACTGTTGAATAGATGACTCTGAATTGTACTTCTATAATTGTATGCTACTAGTAAATCAAGTTAGAAATTTATTATGTCTATAAACTTATTTTTATTTCCTACAGAGATTTGGGGCACTTTCAAAATTAATGAAAGGTTTACAAATGACCTTTTGAATTCATCTTCTGCTATATACTCCAAATATGCAAATGGAATTGAAATTCAAGTAAGCACTTTCTACTTATTATATAAGGAATCGTTTGCTACACTCAAGTTCAAATGTTTTCAATTCAGCATGTATATTTAATACATATTCTTAATTATTCGTTTTCAGTGAGCAAATAACAAAACAGTTATTTGCTCTGCCCACAGTTGAAATTCCCTGAGTATCTTCTTTCTAGGAAAGTTTAGCAGCTGACTTCTTTGCACTTCTCTTGTGTTCAGTTTTGCTCACTTATTTTAGCAATATACTAAGGCTTCTTGATTATTTTCTCTTTTAATTTTTTTATAAAAAATTTTTATGGACCGGGCATGGTGGCTCACGCCTGTAATCCCAGTACTTTGGGAGGCTGAGGCAGGCAGATCACTTGAGGTCAGGAGTTCGAGACCAGCCTGGCCAGGATGGTGAAACCCAATCTCTACTAAAAAACACAAAAATTAGCAGGGCATAGTGACATACACCTGTAATCCCAGATACTCAGGTGATGAGGCACGAGAATTGCTTGAACCCGGGAGGTGGAGTTTGTAGTTAGCTGAGATTGTGCCACTGCACTCCAGCCTGGGTGACAGAGTGAGACTCCACATCAAAAAACAAAAAAAAATCATGATCTAAGCTCAATTGTCAGCATTTGGGATTTGTTCTATAAAGAAAACTCTGTTGTTAGAGGCTGAAGAGAGTTACTGAGCAAAACTCTCAACTTTATAATAAAGTCACATAAAAACTAGATCAGTGTCCCTCTGCCTAGGATGCTGGCTCAGGTGTAGCTCTAACTGAAGACCCGAGCAAATACTTAATAGATGGATTCGGTCTAAGTACCTGTAAAAATTAATGGCTTGTTTTTCATAAGGAAAAAATGGATTTTGGGTAAATTTATTCTACGATCTGGCATCAAATTCATCTCCTATTCTAAGCAGTTGGTTATTCACAATTTATTAGCAATCTCAAAGGTACATTTTATACGTGTATATGTATGGATATGTGTGTGTGTATGTATACATTCACAACTGTTATTTTAACTGTATTTGTATGACATGCAATTACTTCCCACTGTGTCTCTTTTCTTTGCTCCTTTGCTACTGTTGATTTATTTATTGTCTGTATCAATTTTTGCTCAAATGTCTTTCTGAAGTACGGGAAGAACAATTAACACATTGTTCTTTGTTCTCTTTCTAAGCTTAAAAAAGCATATGAAAGAATTCAAGGTTTTGAGTCGGTTCAGGTCACCCAATTTCGGTAAGTAACACAATGGTCTTAGAAGGGCATCCCCAGAATTGGGCACCAGTTCTGCAAAAGGCAGAGTGCTGTTTTTAGGTGACCCTGACAGAAAACAGGACAGAAGTCATCTTTATAGTAGGATTTTTACTAAGTGAACAAGGATCTGTGATGCTTTAAAAAGTCTGAAGAGTAAAGCCTAGATTCTCACTTAAATGAGTTTAGGACCTTAAATTTTTTTTTTTTTTTGACAGAATGTCACTCTTGTCGCCCAAGTTGGAGTGCAATGGCACAATCTAGGCTCACTGCAACCCTGCAACCTCTGCCTACCGGGTTCAAGAGATTCCCCTGCCTCAGCCTCCCAAGTAGCTGGAATTACAGACACCTGCCACCACATCCAGCTAACTTTTTTTGTATTTTTAGTAGAGACAGGGTTTCACCATGTTGGCCACACTGGTCTCAAACTCCTGACCTCAGGTGATCCGCCTGCCTCGGCCCCCAAAGTGCTGGGATTACAGGCATGAGCCACCACATCTGGCCTAGGACCTTAAATATTGGAAAGCATTCTCAAAACTGTGGGTCAGTGAGTAGAACTACAAAACAATAGCAGTAGGGCAGAAACTTGAAAGAAGGCAGGAGATCATGGTGACAGTGGATGGGAAAAAGTGAGGGTTGGGGATAAGGGTTGCGGGTTGTCGAAGGGTGGATTTTCTCCTTCAGCAACTACAGGAGATATGATGCCTCATAATTCGGAGCCAGAAGTGGGGCTTTGGGTGAGATATCTTTGCACAGATAACATGTATACATCATAGTTCAAAACCCAGTAGTCATTGTTTACAGCAAATAAAGAAATATTTAGTAAATTATCCTTTTGTTTATGCCTTAATTCCAAAAGTTGTTTAGTTAGCCATGTTTACATTAATTACCAACTATTAATAATCTGTCTGCTTGTTAGAGAAAGTGGCTTAGAGGTCAGAGAAATTGACTTGTGATTTTTTTTCACAGTTAACTTAAAAACACCCATAGGACATTTTCTCTTTTCTTTTCTTTTCTTTTTTTTTTTTTTTTGAGATGGAGTCTCGCTCTGTCGCCTAGGCTGGAGTGCAGTGGCACGATCTCGGCTCACTGCAACCTCCACCTCCTTGGTTCACGCTATCCTCCTTCCTCAGCCTCCCGAGTAGCTGGGACTACAGGCATGTGCCACCACGCCTGGCTAATTTTTTTGTATTTTTCGTAGAGATGGGGTTTCACCGTGTTAGCCAGGATGGTCTCGATCTCCTGACCTCGTGATCCGCCTGCCTCGGCTTCCCAAAGTGCTGGGATTACAGGTGTGAGCCTCTGCATCTGGCCAACCCATAGGAAATTTTCAACAGCATTTGCTATAAACATGTTGTTCTGGGCATTATCCTTTAAGTCATACATGAATAGTTTTCTTTAAAATTCAATACCAGCAAAAACACTGCTTTTTTTTATATTGAGGTTTATACAGTTGATCATACTTTCAATATTCATATTTTTCTTTTCTGTGATCCTTGTTTTCTATTTATACTTCTAATTTATATTCTATCATGCATATCTTATAAGCTGTCTCCAATAATCTGCAGACCAAATCACAGTAAAAGTAGGCACAAGTCTATAAACTACAACTTTTTACTTTTGTTCTGTTTCATTTTGTTTCAATATGGGGTCTCACTCTGTTGCCCATGCTGGAGTGGAGTGGTGCGATCTCAGTTCACTGCAGCCTTGACCCCTGGGTTCAAGCAATCCCACCTATGCCTCCCTGGTAGCTAGGATCACAGGCACTTGCCATCATTCTTGGCTAATTAGTTGAGGTCTTGCTATGTTGCTCAGGCTGGTCTTAAACTCCTGGGCTCTAGTGATCTTCCTACCTTGGCCTCCCATAATACTGGCATTACAGGCATGAGACACGAAGCCCAGCCTAAAGTTTTACTTTTTGCATATATGATTTAAAATAAATCTCTTTTAAAAAAATTATTTTAAAAAATAAAGAAGGGTTTCACCATGTTGACCAGTCTGGTCTTGAACTCCTGGCCTCAAATGACCCACACACCTTGGCCTCCCAAAGTGCTGGGATTACAGGCATGAGTCACCATGCCCAGATTAAAATAAATCTTAATCTCTCACTCTATTTACTTATCTGTCAAACAGGACAGTTATACACCTGTGGAACCTGGTTTAACTTCACTAAATCAAACCTATAACAAGCAGGAAAATACTCTGTAATCAATAGAATGGACATATCAATACAAAGGTATTGTGACCATCATTAAGCAAAAGGGTGTCTGCACTTATTTATACATTGTGAGCAGAAGTTCAATGTAGTAAGAATTTGAGCTGCGGAACTTCCGATCAATTAGTAATTAATAATTTTTTCACCCAACTTCTCATTGGGCCTCAGTTCTCTTATCTATAAAATGGGAATGATACACTGCTTATCTCATGAGTTATTGCAGGATTGACTTAATGTATTGATCTCATGTGCTTTCATGTCTTCAAACACATCTGTATGCTGATGGATTCTAAATTTATTACTTGAGCTCGGGCACTCCCCTGAACTCCAGACTCAAATAACCAACGGCCTACTTGACAGTCTCCACTTGGTTTTCCAGCTGGGATGTCAAATGTCATGTGTCCAAACTGGGAATCCTCTGACTCTCCCCTTCCTAACCTATAACTTATTTTTCCCACTGTCTTCCCTATTTCCATTACAGCAATGCTGTCCTTCCACTTGCAGAGACCCAATCCTGGAGCCATCCTGTGCTATAATTTCTTTTATTGAGGTATAACTTGCACACAGTTATGTGCTCAAACTTTGTGTATGACTCTATCAGCTTTGAAAAACGCTTGTGCAAGTCCCTTCCTGTCAAGATGGAACATTCCCATAACCCCAAAAGTTCTCTTGTGTTGCTTTCCAGCCTCTTTCCATGCCATCCCCTCACGCCAGAAGCAACCACTTGTATGATTTTTATCATCACAGGTTAGTTTAGTCTATTCCAGAACTTCACATAAATAGAATAATCCAGTTTTTTTTTTTTTTTGCATGTTCGGCGTCTTTCACTCAGCATAATGTCATTGAGATTCATCCTCATTTTTCTATCAGTGGTTCCTTCCTTTTTGTAGTCCAGTAGTACTCCATGGTAAGAATATACAAAAACTTGCTTTTCCATTCCTTGGAGTTATTATTGACTGATTTCTTTCTTTCACATCCCAAATCTTCTCCATTAGTAAGTTCTATGGCTCTGGCTCCAAATAAAACCTGAATTTGACCACATGCATAGCTACCCAGCTAGTTCAAGCCACCACCAGCTCTTTCCTAACTGAGTTCCCTGTACCTTGCTTGCTTCCCTTCCATCTGTTTTCTACACAGCAGCCTTTACGGTCTTAAAAAGATAAATCTTATGATGCCACTACCTTTTAATAAAGAAGAAAACTTTTTAATAAAGAATGAAATCGCAACTCTAATGTCCTATGAGATCTGACTCCTGGTACCACTCCAATATCATCTCCTGCTATTGCTCCCTTGCTGCTGAATTTCAATCATCCTAGTATTTAAGCTTGTCAAACTCACAGGCATTTTCCCGCCTTAGGACCTTTACTTGTGCTGACATTCCACACCAGTGTTCTTTGCATAGCTGGCCTTTTCTTCTTTGCATAGCTGGCCTCAGGCCTCAGCTTCAAAGACCCACAGCACAAAAAAGCCTTCCATAACCAGCTTTATTTAATGTGGGGCCCCATAATTATATCTGTATATATACAGATGTATTTATACATATATATATATCATATATATATGTATTTTTGGTGGATACTTGTTTTTTTATTTGCCTTGCCTTATCCACTAGAATGTAAGCTCTGTTTACTTTATTCCTATGGACCCCATGGCATGTACACACAGCATAGGCCGGGAGTGAATGAATAAATAAGTAGTGAATCTCATTTCTCTTTCCCCATAATCACTGCAGAAATGGAAGCATCGTTGCTGGGTATGAAGTTGTTGGCTCCAGCAGTGCATCTGAACTGCTGTCAGCCATTGAACATGTTGCCGAGAAGGCTAAGACAGCCCTTCACAAGCTGTTTCCATTAGAAGACGGCTCTTTCAGAGTGTTCGGAAAAGGTAATGCTGGATTCCCATCCTCTGCTTAGGTTAAGAGAGTCCTTTAATTAGTAGTTCATTTGTGTCCTCAGGAAGTAGATTTGAGACGTTTGAATAACGAATTGTTCTCTAACTGCCTTTCAGCACAAACAGGCAGCTGTTTCCCCCAGCACCAAGATGAAACTTAGCTTCAACTGACTATTTCAAATTCTTGCTAATTGGAAATCTGATCTGTACCTCTTAGTGTAAACAGTGTGGAGAACTGACTTCACTGCAGGCTGTGATGGAAAGGGCTCAGCAATAGTTGACTGGCACACATGTTGAAAGAGCCCTGAGGCTGACAATATTCCTAAGTCACAATCCAAGAAATTATGTCTTTAACACATATAAAGACAGACAGACAGACACGCACACACACACACAAACTGTTTTTCTTCAGATATTTATCTTTTTCTTTTACATTCAATCTTACGCCTTTCCTACCAAAATTTGTACCACTCTCTTTCAACAACATTTATTCTATAAATATTTACTGAGAATCCAAAGTGTCTAGACACTTAAAATGCAGCAATGGTGAAAACAAACAAAAATCTTAGCTCTGGCTGGGTGCAGTGGCTCACGTCTATAATCCTAGCACTTTGGGAGGCCAGAGTGGGCAGATGACTTTAGGTCAAGAGTTCAAGATCAGCTTGGCCAACGTGGTGAAACCCCGACTCTACTAAAAATACAAAAATTAGCCAGGCCCAGTGCAGTGGCTAAAGCCTGTAATCCCAAAACTTTGGGAGGCCAAAGAGGGCAGATTGCCTGAGATCAGAAGTTTGAGACCAGCCTGGCCAACATGGTGAAATCCCGCCTCTACTAAAAATACAAAAAAAAAAAAAAATTAGCCAGGCGTGGTGGCACACACCTGTAATCCCAGCTACTCGAGAGGCCAAGGCAGGGGAATCACTTGAACCCAGGAGGTGGAGGTTGCAGTGAGCCGAGATCACTCCACTTAACTCCAGCCTGGGTGACAGAGCGAGACTCTGTTACAAAAATAAATAAATAAATAAATAAATAAATAGCCAGGCATCGTGGTGTGCACCTGTACTCCCAGGTACTAGGGAGGCTGAGGCAGGTGAATCACTTGAGCCTGGGAGGTAGAGGTTGCAGTGAGCAAAGATTGCACCACTGCACTCCAGCCTGGGCAACAAGAGTGCAACCCCATCTGAAAAAAAAAAAATCATAGCCCTTGTGGATCTTCCAGTTAATGTTTCCATCTCCTAGTTCCAATCATGATAAGAATGCATTATTAAAGGCTAGCAGCAAAAGTAGCAACTGGTTGCAATGTGAGCTATGCTTAAAGAGGTACAGGTAGGAAGTGCTACCCACAAATAGCAACTGCCCATCTTTTAACCATAACATTACTGCTTTATTCTATAGTGTCTGGAAAATTGTCTGGCTTTCTAATGTTCCTTTAAAGAGTAAAAATATTTCCTGAGAGTAATCACATCTTTCCTTATTATCACCTAATACTTACTAGTTGATAGCCCATTAAAAGTGATATTGTTGGCACAGATCGGACACCTGGAAGGAGGAGTCAGCCTCAGGGAGGGTAAGGCATCAGGAATGAGTAAGGAATGTTGAGAGGGATGAAGCAGGACATCAAAGACAAACTTCTCTTACTTCTGAATTTTGCCTGGATTTCATCTCCAAAAATGAGTTCTAAAACATTTGAACATGACTACATGGTTTATATAGAGTGCCAGGATATTCTAGGATCATTTTTCTTTGTTGTTTTCTTTTGTTTCCAGCCCAGTGTAATGACATTGTCTTTGGATTTGGGTCCAAGGATGATGAATATACCCTGCCCTGCAGCAGTGGCTACAGGGGAAACATCACAGCCAAGTGTGAGTCCTCTGGGTGGCAGGTCATCAGGGAGACTTGTGTGCTCTCTCTGCTTGAAGAACTGAACAAGGTGAGGCATTTTCACTGTGTAGACTTGCCCTGGTCTTGAGTTTCAGAGTGGCAATATCCCAGTGAGCATGGCTAGGTGGAGGGTAAGTATACCTACGTGCATCATTGGCCAGTATGCAAAGAGCAAGGATGACATCAGACCCTGGTGAACCCGTGGAGTCGTGCATGAGTGGTAGCGTCTGGGCAGCAGAGTCTAGGTTGCAGCTCAAAAGACAGAGTTGATAGTTTTGTCAGGCAGAGGTGTTGTGGAGGAGTGTATCATTGCTGAGGAGGTCTATGATGGATGGTAGAGCAGCAACTAAGCTGGCCTCAGAAGTCCAGAAGACCTGGGAATTAAAGAGAAGAGTGAAGGTGTGAGTCATAAGCCAGCAGGCTTAGTACAAGTAAGGATATATCTATACCAGAAATTAGGGCAAGGAGTGGGTCAGACAAAGGTGAACCATATAAAATGACTGAACTGCAATGGACCTTAAGGGGCATCTGGTTTACCAACCTCATTTTGCAGATCAGAAAACAAAAGACCAAGGGGCCAATAGTTCCTCTGGTAGCAATAGTTTTGAATTAGAAGCATGGTCACTTGATTCCTAGTCCAGTGCTGTATTAGTCTGTTCTCACATTGTTATAAAGAACTATTTGAGACTGGGTAGTTTATAAAGAAAAGAGGTTTGACTCACAGTTATGCAGGATGTACAAAAGGCATATCTGGGGAGGCCTCAGGAAACTTACAATCATGGTGGGAGGCGAAAGGGAAGTAAGCACATCCTTATATGGTGACAGGAGAGAGAGAGAGAGAGAGAGAGAGAAAGAGAGAGATGGAGAGAGAATGGGGGAGATGCTACACACTTTTAAACAACCAGATCTTGTGAGAACTGTATCATGAGACAGCACTTGGGGGATGGTGCTAAACCATTAGAAACCACCTCCATGATCCAATCATCTCCCACCAAGCCCCACCTCCAACATTGGGAATTATAACTCGACATAAGATTTGGGTGGGGACACAGAGCCAAACCACATCAGGTGCTATGCCCTCCACATGATGCTCTCTTAGGAAGGTTCAAGTATTAAGACAAGTAAGACAGAAAGAAGGAAATAAATATCTAGGAATCAGAAGAACTCAAGTCACAGAAAAGAAGGACCCCAAGACCAGTTCACAGATACTGTTCAGCAAGTAGATTTCCATATTGAGCAGAACTTCTATTCCAGCCAGAGACCTTGCTTCTGCTGCTGCAGTAGAAAACCCCAGAATAGTATTCATCAGAGGACTGTGGAATGTTTACTTCTCCCTTTGTGGATCTCAGTTTCCTCATCTGTAAACTGGGGAAGGGGATTAGATTCTGGGGTTTCTTCTTGCTCTTGCCTTCGTTGCCTCAATTCTGGACATGAGCAATAGTTGAGACTAGTTCGCTCCAGGCAGATCCCAGGTGGCTTGAACAGAAAACAGCATTGTCAGTTGAGAAGAACAAGAAGGAAAATGGCGGGCACTTGGGCGCCTGAGTGGACTTAATGTTGAGTGGAAGGGGACTGCCTTCCTTTGCTGCTTTCCAAGTTAGCCTGGTGTAGTAAAAGTAGATGGGAGCCTCAAGAAAGAAGTAAAATTCCAAATCTAGGGCCGGGTGCAGTGGCTCATGCCTGTAATCCTAGCACTTTGGGAGGCCAAGCCGGGCAGATCATGAGGTCAAGAGTTCAAGACCAGCCTGGCCAACATGGTGAAACCCCTGTTTCTACTAAGGATACAAAAACAATTAGCTGGGCGTGGTGGTGCATGCCGGTAATCCCAGCTACTTGGGAGGCTGAGGCAGGAGAATCCCTTGAACCTGGGAGGCAGAGGTTGCAGTGAGCTGAGATCATGCCACCGCACTCCAGCCTGGCTGACAGAGCAAGACTCCATCTCGAAAAAAATAAAAAAAACAAATCTTGTGACAAAACGGGGGCTGGCACAAGCCCAGTAGTCAAATCTCCATGTATGTTTCTCTCTCTTCCCATCTTACAACGCATTCTCAGTGTAGCGTGGTGAACATAACAGGATTACTACCAGTAGACCTACCCTAACATTTTCCGCTGAGTGCTCTTTGGAAGGTCATTAAATCTCATTGAACATGAGTTTCTGTATAATTAAGATAATAATTTATATGAAAATGATTTTTAGTAAATCTTTGCAAGTTTCAGTTTCCTTAGCTATAAAATGAAAATAATAATGGCACCTCCCTCAAAGGATATTGAAAGAATTCAATGAATGAAAATAATAATGGTACCTCCCTCAAAGGATGTTGAAAGAATTCAATGAATCCCTGGTAAAGCACCTAGTGCAATGTCTAAAATATAGAAATCACTGAATAACAGCCTTTGTTACTATTGTTATGTAATTATCCTACATTAGAACACACCATACAAATGTTAGTTCTATATGGCCAAGACATCTGATTTAAATTTGATGAAACACAGCATGTCATTGTTTTCTAGAACTTAACCATTTTCGCTTCTAGAATTTCAGTATGATTGTAGGCAATGCCACTGAGGCAGCTGTGTCATCCTTCGTGCAAAATCTTTCTGTCATCATTCGGCAAAACCCATCAACCACAGTGGGGAATCTGGCTTCGGTGGTGTCGATTCTGAGCAATATTTCATCTCTGTCACTGGCCAGCCATTTCAGGGTGTCCAATTCAACAATGGAGGTATGGTCTGCCTGTGCTTGAAGGGCTCACTTTAAATGCTTGATCCTGTAGGAGGAATGACAAAGCCTTAAATATGGGGAACTATTGGAAAAGACAGAAAGCCATGTATGCGTCTTTATGTGAACTTTACTGCTTCCTCTGAGGTATACAAGGAACTCGGGATCAATAGTGTGTGTTCAAAGGAAGACAGAGCTGCTCTTATGCAGGTTACCTGGGCAGCACCCAGCTTAGAGGAGGGGGTAAGCTTTTGCACTATGTGACATAGGCACTGCCTTTTCAACATGTTTGCAATCTATAATTTTTCTTTCCTGTGGCCGCAAGCTCAGACTTGAACAGTGTATATTTTAAGAACTCCCTTCATAACACCTTCTCTCAACTGAATATGGTTTAGTTTGGATATTTAAAGATTAACTTACAAATTACATAAATGATACTTGGTCACTATAGGAAGTGCAAATAAGCAAAAAGAAAAATAAATTATCTGTAGCCTGGTCACTTTAAAATAAACACTGCTTACATTTTAGGTATCACCTCAGTACCTAGAAGAATGACAAGTGATATATAGCGTGTGCTCAATAAATATTTGTTCAATAAATATCCTTCCAAACATTTTGGGTGTATACATTTTATATGTTAAAGGATATAATGTTTTACAAAACTGGATTATATAATGTACATTAAATAATCACACAATAATACTTAACTATATATGATTAAAATTGTTTCAGAAGTGACACTAAATATCAGTAAGTTAAACTCCCTGAGTTAAAGAAAAGATACTCCAATTTGTTTTTTTAAAAACCTGACCACATGTTGTTTACAAGAGACCAACTGAAACAAAATGACACAAAAATGCTAAAAATAAAATGAAGAGTGAAAACAAAGCAGGCAAACACAAAGCAAAAGAAAACAGAGGTTTCTAGGGGCAGTAGAAGTAGAACATCATGGGATTCTGGACTAGAAGGCAAAGAGGGCTGGGTCAGAGTAAGACTCAGGTGGAGTGACAGATGCTTGCAGCCAGAGTGTCTGGGAGCCAGACCCATAAGCAAGAGAAGGGGTTCTGTGGGAAGAAGTAACAACTTCCAAGGAGTTGCTTGGAAAATGAATCTCAAACTAAGACTGACCCTTAAAACCCATGACAATTCAATGCTTGGGTTCAGGCTTTAAAATTGTTTTGCTTTATGTAGTAGGAAACAAGAAACATAAAAACTATAGTAAACAAGAAACCTAAAAATTTGAGCATCTCTTATGTGAGTTTTGAACTTCTGGTGTTAGCAAAACAAACATAATGTGGGAAAGCAGTACAAAGTAGTGTCTGCATCTTTGAGCCTCAGCCTGAATAGCAGTGTAGTCATTTTTAACATCTCGGAGAGGAGGAAATGCACATCACATGTGTGCAGCTGAAATTGCAGGATTCTTTCTCATTCATCCTGAAGCCTCAGTGCATTTACAGATGCTCTGGGGTGATCACCCTGGGACTTACATGATTCTGCTGACCCAAGATTTTGCCCAAAGCTTCTACTGTACAGATGAACTGAGCTAAATTTGATTGATGAGTTTTAATGTGGTTCGTGACTGAGCCAATTCTCTGGGCATTTTTCCTATTCTTAATGCTAATGACTATCCACTGCTGGTCCTCTTATCTGTTTACTCAAAAACACAAACTGACTCTCATCCTTGTGTTTCAGGATGTCATCAGTATAGCTGACAATATCCTTAATTCAGCCTCAGTAACCAACTGGACAGTCTTACTGCGGGAAGAAAAGTATGCCAGCTCACGGTTACTAGAGACATTAGAAAACATCAGC
This sequence comes from Homo sapiens, assembly GCF_000001405.40. Classification (NCBI taxonomy): domain Eukaryota; kingdom Metazoa; phylum Chordata; class Mammalia; order Primates; family Hominidae; genus Homo; species Homo sapiens. Next base: position 47,010,198 of record NC_000006.12, on the reverse strand, counting down.
ACTCTGGTGCCTCCGACAGCTCTTCCTCTGAATTTTTCTCGGAAATTCATTGACTGGAAAGGGATTCCAGTGAACAAAAGCCAACTCAAAAGGGGTTACAGCTATCAGATTAAAATGTGTCCCCAAAATACATCTATTCCCATCAGAGGCCGTGTGTTAATTGGGTCAGACCAATTCCAGAGATCCCTTCCAGAAACTATTATCAGCATGGCCTCGTTGACTCTGGGGAACATTCTACCCGTTTCCAAAAATGGAAATGCTCAGGTCAATGGACCTGTGATATCCACGGTTATTCAAAACTATTCCATAAATGAAGTTTTCCTATTTTTTTCCAAGATAGAGTCAAACCTGAGCCAGCCTCATTGTGTGTTTTGGGATTTCAGTCATTTGCAGTGGAACGATGCAGGCTGCCACCTAGTGAATGAAACTCAAGACATCGTGACGTGCCAATGTACTCACTTGACCTCCTTCTCCATATTGATGTCACCTTTTGTCCCCTCTACAATCTTCCCCGTTGTAAAATGGATCACCTATGTGGGACTGGGTATCTCCATTGGAAGTCTCATTTTATGCCTGATCATCGAGGCTTTGTTTTGGAAGCAGATTAAAAAAAGCCAAACCTCTCACACACGTCGTATTTGCATGGTGAACATAGCCCTGTCCCTCTTGATTGCTGATGTCTGGTTTATTGTTGGTGCCACAGTGGACACCACGGTGAACCCTTCTGGAGTCTGCACAGCTGCTGTGTTCTTTACACACTTCTTCTACCTCTCTTTGTTCTTCTGGATGCTCATGCTTGGCATCCTGCTGGCTTACCGGATCATCCTCGTGTTCCATCACATGGCCCAGCATTTGATGATGGCTGTTGGATTTTGCCTGGGTTATGGGTGCCCTCTCATTATATCTGTCATTACCATTGCTGTCACGCAACCTAGCAATACCTACAAAAGGAAAGATGTGTGTTGGCTTAACTGGTCCAATGGAAGCAAACCACTCCTGGCTTTTGTTGTCCCTGCACTGGCTATTGTGGCTGTGAACTTCGTTGTGGTGCTGCTAGTTCTCACAAAGCTCTGGAGGCCGACTGTTGGGGAAAGACTGAGTCGGGATGACAAGGCCACCATCATCCGCGTGGGGAAGAGCCTCCTCATTCTGACCCCTCTGCTAGGGCTCACCTGGGGCTTTGGAATAGGAACAATAGTGGACAGCCAGAATCTGGCTTGGCATGTTATTTTTGCTTTACTCAATGCATTCCAGGTGAGAACAGTAACAATAACCTATTGTATTGTCAAGTGATTGGAATAAGTAGAGAACTCAGGCAGGTAAAACCACTCTGGAGATTATCTCATCTCCCTGCCTCCAGCAAGACCATCAGAAAAACTGCATGGAAACAATAAATAGAAAAAAATATTTTTCTTACTTAGTTACTATCATACTGAAGCAGAATATTGGATTTCTTCAGTAACCCACTACAGGGCTTTAAATCTATTAGAGTTCTTCTGGCAAATAATCTCGCTTGCTGCTGACTCAGTTCTCTTTCTCTTAGGCAGAACTCTGGGAAAAAATTAAACAGAGAAAGGGAAATACATCATAAGTACTTGTTGACTCTGAATGGTGCAAAGGAATTTCCTAGGGTGCAATAGAGAAGGGGCTAGCAAAATGCAACCAGTAGCCTGTTTTTGTAAATAAAGTTTTATTGGAATACAGCCATGCTTATTTATGTACATATGGTCTATGGCTGCTTTCACTGCAATGGCAGAGTTGAGTAGTTGCAAAAGAAACCGTATAGCCCGCAAAGCCTAAAGTGCTTACCACCTGGCTCATCACAGAAAAAGTTTGCTAATCTCTGCTACAAAGAATGGGTTTTTACTTGGCACAGTCAGAAAGTGTTCAGAGAGGAGGTGGACAAAGCAATCATTAGGTTTTGATGAATCTGGACGAGAGCCTTCAGTCCCAGTTCAGTGAAGGTTTTGCTGGACCACCTCAGACAATGACTCAGGGAAGTGGTGGTTAAACATTTGAACTCTAGACTTAAATAGGTCTGGGCTCAAATACATCACTTTACAAACTGTGTGACCTCTAGCACATTGCTTAATCTCTCTGTCTCTCAATTCTCTCATCTTTTAAATAGAGATAATAATACTTACATCATCAAATAAATGTGAGGGTTAAATGAGATAATTTAGCACTTATCGCATTGTCTGGCACATAACAAATGCTCAATAGATGTTTCCTAAAAGTTGGTTCTCCATCTATTCAGCAACCAGTGAACAGTCAGGTGCTAGTATGGATGGCAATCATAGAGCATGCCCCTAGCAGTGACAAGCTTAGGGCACCCCTGTTGGGGAGCAGGAGTACAGTCTCATAGTGATACACTGTCTGAACAAGCACCAACTGAAGGAGCTATGCCTGAGAGAAGGAATTCAAGATCCACCAAAACATTTACCAAGGGTTCCCCAAGACCTGCACTGGAAGGAAAGGGTGCTGATATAGGTCAAATCCCTCCACTTGGCCATAGGATTGGATCTCTGTGCCTGCTGCCGTCATAGATGCTTAGACATCAAATGCCTGGTCTAAAGAAAGACTAAGATACAGACAAAAAAGGATGCTATTTGTTTGGGTTGGGATGGTACGATGGGGAGAATGAAGCTCCACATGCAAAACTTCATTCGCTTGGTCATTTGCTTATTTAGACATCAACAAAACATTTTTTTGAGTGCTTTGCATAGTGCCATGCACTTGTGGAGGCCACATGGTGTTCTTGCTTTCAAGGAGACTACAGTCTCTTAAGGAGACAGACAAGAAAACAGTTTCAATGTGGGGTGATTGAATAGTGTTACATATAAATGCTTTCTTTTTTGGAAAAGAAAAATACAATACATGTGATTTATTCCTTTCTTTTTAAAGGGATTTTTTATCTTATGCTTTGGAATACTCTTGGACAGTAAGGTATGTGTATTTATTTCTCTCATTAACCCCTAGCCTAGACATCTTAGGCCCCCTCCCCTTTGTTCTGAGGCCTTTATTCATATAATAAGAGGTGGGACTATTGGTACTTTTGTAATAAAATTCTGTGCTTTTAGAGAAGTCAGGCTCAGTCAGAAAACAAAGGAACTAAACAGTCACTGCTGATAAAGCTTGCAGAACTAATCAAACATGTAATGTAAACGTTGTCGGAAAAAAGGGGAATTCTTTTTACCTTTAACTTTTCTAATTTAAATTATGGTATGGCAGTAATTCCATAGCAAAATTGCTTTGCTAACAGGTGAATTCTCTTTTGTTCTTTCAATTATTCTACCCATTTATTTAGAATATGCTGAAATATATATCTACTTCTATACTTGTAGAGTTTTAAACAGTAAGTGTTAATAGCCTCTCACAGACTATTATTCTAAGTGAAGTAATTCAGGAATGGAAAACCAAGCATTGTATATTTTCACTCATAAGTGGGTGATAAGCTTTGAGGATGCAAAGACATAAAAATGACACAATGGACTTTGGGGACTCAGGGGAAAAGGGTGGGAAGGGGGTGAGGGATAAAAGACTACAAATTGGGTGCAGTATATACTGCTCAGGTGATGGGTGCATCAGAATCTCACAAATCACCACTAAAGAACTTACTCATGTAACCAAACACCACTTGTTCCCCAATAACCTATGGAAATAAAAATATTTTAAAAAGTAAAGTATACTGTTGAAGAAAAATAAATAAATAAATAGCCTCTCACATTAAATAAAATTCCCAGTGAAGAACAGTAAGTTTAAATGAAAGATAATAGAAAAAAATTTTTAAATATACTTGTTTCATAAACCCAAGCATTAAACAATTCTGTTGGGAGAGGTGAAGGCCATAAGCTAATAGATGTATAGTCTTTGTTTTAATAAGAAAATAAAAAATTTTTATAATTAGCAAAATTGTTGCTAATTATAGGAACAATTTTGCACATGAACAAACTGCTATCTACAAAGAAGCAATTTGCTGTTCTTAATTGTACTAAAAGTAATTGCCTTGTCTTACCATTCATGTGGTTAGGAAACTCTTCACTTCAAAGATACACTTCAGTTTAGCAATTATTGCCAACTACTAATGTCTAAAATTGGAATGAGTATGGCATTTGGTACTGTTGTTCTTTGTTGAACTCTAGTTTTGTTTATAGGTAAAGAGATGAAGAAAATAATCTTTCTACCAGATATCCATTCATGGTCTACTAACTGCTTCTAGGAAATAATACTATTAAATAACCATTTCAACCTGCAGTTGTTCTTGATTTGTCTGTGTATGATTGTATGTGTATCTCCTCAATATTTCTTTGTTGCCCTTATAGCTGCGACAACTTCTGTTCAACAAGTTGTCTGCCTTAAGTTCTTGGAAGCAAACAGAAAAGGTAATTATCTCCTACTGCCATGAATCCAATACATGAAGTTCCAGTTTTGCATTCTTCTCTTTATACAGTCTTGCTGCAAGCCAACTTCTGTGTAAACCCCTTGAATTTCTTTCACCATTATATTCCTGGTATCTGACATGGAGCCTGGCACATGAGTGGTAGTAAAGAGTTGTTGAGTGAATGAGTGATTAAATGAGTGACTGTGAAGTCATGGAAACTTACAAGGATGCTCAAGTATGGAAGTCTGTGGGTGCTTGTGAGTGAATACTTTTGAACAATGGCATTTACTTTAGTCTGACTAGCTTATCAATATTTAGAACTAGCAAGGCCCTTTTCTTCATCTGACTTTCTGAACCTTCTGTAAACCATTTTTCCTTCTCTAGACAGATAAAATGAGAGATCTTGGTTAAATTCTTGTCTTTAAATTTGGTTAACTTCTAATACATAAAAGTATTATGTATTAATAATTTTCTTTTTTTAGGCTGCTATCACTGATTCTGTTACTTGCAATCTTAGCTCTTAAGTCTACAAACCCACAAGTTTTTAAGGAAATGGAGGATTTCTGTATCATTCTTTGCCATAAAAGTATAATCCATATGGGGATAGTATATTTAGAAACAAAAGTGCTTGAACACATATTTTGTGTTTTCAATATTATTTAGACTTTTGTTTTTCAGCGAGGCACTGAGGGCCTTTCAGAAGGAGTTCTAAAGCAGAGAATTTCTTTATTTTATAAAAGTCAACTGACTTAACTGCATCCAAACCTATATGGGTATTGAGAGATTTTTACAAGTGACAATATAACTTTTTGAAATAAAAATCAATAAGGAAATTTTCCTCTGGCATTAAAAAGTCTTCCTTGGTCTGCATTTTTCAGTAGACAGCACTGCTGTGAATTACGGAGCACTGGCCCATGAGCAGGTGGACCAGTCCTGCCCTTGTATTTCTGACTCCGTAACCAATTGACTGTGTGATCTTAGGAAAGTCACTTCGTCTCTAAGTTTTAATTTTCTCAACTGTAGAAAATAAATGTTGGACTAGTTATTCAAAGCAGAAGTTCTCACATTCTGGGATTTAGATTTTATGTCTGGAAGAACTAAAAATCACTCGAACCAGAAGTTGTGAAACTAATGAGTCATTACCTACACTTAAGAAAAGGAGAAAATTACAGCACATGTGACTACATAAAAGATAAAACCTTTAGTGAATATAATGAGACGGGACACTCCCCACCCTGCAAAGCAGAAAGTCAAAATTTTTCTCCTTTGAAAACCAAAGAAGGAAAAATACTCCCAAGTAAAATAAAACAAAAGCAAAAGCAAGAATGCCTAACAGTTTCTCTCTGTTTCTAACATCAAGCACTGACACTTCTGAGAAGGCAGTGTCTGTATTTGTACCTTCTCCCCAATTTCATTTCCAAATTAGGTGACAAAAATGAGATTTTGTTGCTGGTTAGGTGGCTCATTTGTTTTAAAATAAATATACATTATTTTCAAGAAGAAAATATGTGCATTTATAATTTTCTTAGAGAGTTTGAATGAAAAAGCAGGACCCCAAGGACCCCAAATGACAGATGATGAGAAGGTGAGAAAGAGATCACACTTGATGAATATTCCTGCCAAGAAACTCGCTGGTGAGCAAAATCAGCGAGATTGGTAACCAGACGTGGACCCAGCACAGCAGTGACAGGCTAGAGTTGAAGTTGCCAGGATGTGACAAGTTCATATGTTGGGAGGGGTGAGCCAGTGAAGAGACTCTGAAAACAAATAAGAGAGAGACTGAGGATAATGGGCAGAAGAGGACTCCTGGGAAGACAGAGGGATTGGTCGGACTGAAGATGGAGGGATTTGCTCCTTAGCTTGACACAGGAAGTACCACATTGATGCAGGAGGAGCAACATGTATAAATTGGGATTCTAGGTGAAAAAGTATCTGAGACAGGTCTCAATCAATTTAGAAGTTTGTTTGCCAGGGTTAAGGATCATGAGCCATGACACAGCCCCAGGAGGTTCTGAGAATGTGTGCCAAAGATGGTTGAATTACAGCTTGATTTTATACATTTTAGGGAGACATAAACATCAGTCAGTACATGCGAGGTATATCTTGGTTCAGTCTGGAAAGATGGGACAACTCGAAGTAGGGACAGGAGGGCTTCCACGTCATAGATGGATTCAAAGATTTTCTCATTGGCAATTGGTTGAAAGAGTTAAGTTATTATCTGAAGACCTGGAATCAATAGAAAGGAGTTTCTGGGTTAAGCTAAGGGGTTGTGTAGACCAAGGTTCTTTTTATGTACCTGAAGCCCTTTGATGCAAGAGATGCAAATGTTTTCTATTCAGACCTTTTAAAGGATATAGACTCTCAGCTAATCTCTTCAGGATCAGAAAAAGATCTAGAAAGGGAAGGGAATTTTCTACAGAATATAAATTTCTTCCACAAGAGACAGCTTTGCAGGGCCATTTCAAAATATGTCAAAGAAATATATTTTGTGGTAAAATACTTTGATTTCTTTCAGGACCTATCTGTTGCATGATGCTATGCTAGAGTTTGGTTGGAATTTGGTATCTTATTGCTACAAAAGATTTGTTCTATCAGTCTTAAGATCTCAGTTTTGTGTCTGAGCTCCAAAGGGAGAAGACTACAATGAAGCATGTCTGACCCCCACTTCCCATCATAACCTCAACTAGTTTTTCAGGTTTCTTTGAAATCTCCTTGGCTGAGAGGGGGGATCCATTCAGTTGGTTGGGGGGCTTAGAATTTTATTTTTGTTTACAGTGTCATGATATAGAGAGTTCGAACCTTGATACTTTTTTTGTTTGTTTTTCTTAAGTAATGGACAAGGCTATCCTCTGAGAGATAGCTAAAGGAGGAGTAAAGTAGGGATCCTGAACAGAGCAGTGAGACTATGATAGTTGACTGAAGGGAATGAAAGAAGAGCCAGCAATAGTCTCAGCAAGGACCATCCTTCAAGCCACAGCACACTGTATGGACCCCAAATCTTCTCCATGCTCAGGCCCCTGTCTTGACCCTCCATTGTCCCTAGGCATGTTCTCTGTAACTCTTCTCCAAGTCACAGACTCTGGTGGCCTCAATGGACCCCCCTCCACAAAGAATAGATTTACAGACCTACATCTGAGTTCCAGTAACTCACGGCCTGTTATTTGGCTAAGTGTTTCGACCCATATAACTTCACACACCTGAAGAGGCTACTTCTTCCCAGACCACAAGGAAGTATATTGAGTATGTTACAACCTAAAATTCCTATCTCCAAATGGTACAGGATGCAATTTTAAGTGCCATGATCCCTGACCTTATGATTTTTTTAAAGGTTTATAGCATTAAATGTTTGCTGAGCCCTGAATTCTAGAAAATTAATTATTTTGCTTTGAAAGTTTCAAATATTTTTAATTCTTATTTTTGTAGCTTTTTTTTTTCAGAACTCAGTGTGCCTTAATACCAGTGAAAATTGAAAAACTATCACTGGTCTATCTACTGAATATAATAAGAACATGTTTTTCCCACCTTGGTTTGGTTTCCTTGTGGCATAGACTGTAGCAAGGAATGGAAGTTTTCCTTCCAATATTCCCAGTGCCAGAACAGCATCTGGCACACAAAGGCATTCAATATGAGATGGTAAATTAATGGACAAATGAATGATGAACTAATGAGTAGAAAAATATATAATGTATGTAAACACATTTATCTTTCCTGATAAGTACATGCTCTTTGTTTCAAATATTTTATTTAATTTTATAATTCAGCTGTTAAATTATTGAACTCTATATAGCCTCTGTAGCAATGACCAAAGCGTCATTCAAAAGTAGGTTTGAGAGCTAAGATGAGCAAGAGTAAAGCAAAGCTTTGTTGAGAATCATTTTTAGTCAGAGCACTGTTTTTCCTCCATTTTCCTCCATGGGTTTCTCTTCCAGTAACAAATGTGATCCAAAGAAATGTAAGCATAGACATGAAAAGGGATAATGCCGCCTTTAAAACTGTTTTCTAGTTTGTTGTTAGAAGTTATAAAAATACACAGGAACACAGCATTCACTTGAAAATAAATTTTTAGGCATTTTAAATAGATTAAAGCAGAAGAAAGAGTGAGAAAGTAACCATTCTAAATTCTTAAAAAGAGAATAGCACCTATGAAAATGAAATAAAGAATCATGAATAACATCAGGAAGTCAGGAAATGCAGACCAACAGTAAAAGAATGCTATTAATGTCCAAATGACTTATTTTTATTTTGTGCAGCAAAACTCATCAGATTTATCTGCCAAACCCAAATTCTCAAAGCCTTTCAACCCACTGCAAAACAAAGGTGAGTTACAATAAAACCAAAGGTTATAAAAGGTGTGAAAAGAGTATATGAGTATATCATATGAATAAAATTCAATGGCAACATGTAAGAAACTCATGTGAGAAGTGTGGGATTATCAGCCAGCCATGTTTTCAGAGTTCATCCAGACCGTGCTCAGGGCTGACAGAACAATGTAGGTGACTTGATGCTCATGGAGAACCAGAGAGTGTCTTTATGTAATGTCATCACAAATTATCTCTATTTCCCAAGTTTGACATTAGATAAATCTGTGGCATTGATCATTGAGGCCTTGAAGGGAAGGAGTGTGGTTAGACTAACACGATTTATGTCCTTATTGGAGAATCACCCCTTTGTGCCAGCTGCCAAGCAGTGGGCACGCGGCCAGGTGCTTGTGCCCTGATGTTGCACATGTCCTCCTCCCTAAAATGCCCCTGGGCAGGAAGGGGCCACACCTGCTAAGAGTGAAAGAGCACTGTCTCCTCCACCTGTGACATGCACTGGCCCTATGTTCATTGATTGGCGGTTACTAAAGTCTGTGCTATTGAGCAACTGCAAGACCAGTGTTTAAACATTGCAAGTAGCCACAGCATTCTTGGAGGAGAGAGAAGGTTGGAACATGGAAGTGGAGGAGGAGACATTGCCTTACAAGCTAAGTTGAAACCATGCTTAAGAGTTAAAGTCCCATTTCACATTCAGTTATGTTAATGTCATCATTAATGTAGGAAACTCATTTTATATTCCCATTGAAATTATTCAAATTCCAGATAAAGTTCAAGTGTCTGGAGAATGTGCTTGTCCCGGACCCTTGGGTTCTGTTGTTATTGCCACCAGTCAGCTTGAGCGCTTTTTTACAAGTCTCTACCTTTTGGGGACATTTGTTCCTCATCTATAAAATAAAAAGCTAAGAGATTACTAAGATTCTTCCAGCAATAACATATTGTGATCTCAATCTACTTTATGTCATTTCCCAGCAATATTTGAAAAACATGATATTTCTCAAATAAGTGATACTTGACAAATGCAAGCCTCTGGGGTGTTGGTGAAATGCTATTTCTCTCCACCAACCACAGTCTTTTTGTCTTTACCTAGAATCTTTTAAAAACTGTTCCTAGTTGTGAAATAATCTACAGGCTAATTTTCATTTTGGTCTCATGCTTGATTTCAACAGAGTAACAATAATTATTTCCTTTTTTTTTCCCCTTCAGGCCATTATGCATTTTCTCATACTGGAGATTCCTCCGACAACATCATGCTAACTCAGTTTGTCTCAAATGAATAAGGCAAGGAATCATAAAATCAAGAAAAAATTTCCAGAACAACTTGACATTTAGAGACAAATGTCAATGAAGAAATTATGCTCAGTATTCGATCGGGTTTTCTGATTTAGGGGTCTGGGAATAAAACAAGAATGTCTCAGTGGCTTCATTACTGCTCCCTTTTGTCTTCAATTAAATGAAAAGAAGATTTATTTCCATGTGATTTGATTCAAAGAAAGTGCTCCATAAATGCAGAAGAGTAGGTTTTGTTGGAAATCGTGTCAGTTGTACCCTGACCATAAAATATGGTTTCTATTTTCATAAAACAGCATTATTCACATGGCATTTCCAATAATCTGGATTGAAGGAAGAAAATTTTATGAAATAGCTTTAGATAAATTAATAGGCCACGTTCATTTTCTTGTCAAAAAGTTACTGGTGGGGGGATGGTGGGAAAAAGTTATTAGTGCAAATTTCCTAGAGAAAAAACCATTTCTCTTTCAAATTTTCCAGTTGAATTTTATGTTCGCTTTTGCTTCTTAGGTTCTATCACTTAATATTGAAAGTTAATCAGAAATAAAATGTAAACTTCTATTTCAGATAGCTTTGTAACCATTTATCAGAAAGTATAATAATGTGATATGATATATAATGTGGTATTTTTCAGTTTACAAGGCACTTCCATCTGGTCCTAAACCCTGCAAACAAAAGTGTCAAGGCAGACCTAGTGCAGAGATGAGGGCATGGGGGCTCAGAGAGGTAAAGTGACTTGCCAAAGATTGTGAAGCCAGTTAAGGGAAATTGGGGATTTTTAGGACATTTGTCTCCCAGACCATTTCTACAGCCAATAAAAGCCTTGAAAATTACCTACATCTCTAGTAAATCTTTCTGAGGTCAGTTACACAGTTCACCATTCCCAGAATTCTATGTAAGAGAGAAATTAAGGGAGAATTTGGTTGTCAGCTTCCAGGGAGGTACCTTAAAACATCCTTATTTTCTTTCATAATACACCATAGGCACTTTGTGGAAGTTATTTTCTTGTACAGCCAGTGCCACTTTTGGATGACATACAAAGCAGCAGGAGTTGACGCTATGTGAAGCAACACTTCTCTTCCATACTTCCATCACATTTGGCTCACCTACCTGAGTTTCAGCCGTGACCATAGTGCCCAGAGGAACCCGAGCCTTTGATTCATCCTTGCTGTTTTGAGAGGCCTAGGGAGTGTCTCTTAGCCTCCTGACATGGAAAGCCTTCATGCTATGCAAATAAAGACAGCTGGGGGAACTTCTAGTTAGTGGTGGTAGATTAAATAAGCATACCTGAGAGAAATTCAAAGTTAGACTTCCACAAGGCACCAAGGTGCAGCACACATGAAATATGAAAGTGAGAGGTTCAAAGGAAATGACTGAGGATCAGTTAGATGGTTCTATACCCCACAAATATGTATGAGAGTCAACAGAATTTTATGAGAAAGACTTCTTTGCAGAAAACTGCTCTATGAGCCTTCTCACTCTACCTACCCACAAAAGTGAGAGAAGGAGGAATGTCTGCTCCTTGACCTCAAATTTAGTGAGAGAAGATTTCTCAGATAGCTCAGATAGCTCAGATTTCTCAGAACCACAACAATTAGGATGCATGGCTGATGGAAGTCTGATTCTTGCCTAGAATTGTGGCCACAGCTCCGGTAGTAGAGCCCTGAATGAGTTCTGTGTTGAGAATAGCCTGTATGTCTAGTGTTTGTCAGGGCAATGGATGTGTGTGTTTCCCATGAACCATAGTGAGACATGCAAGAGTGAAGGTCAGCATGGGGCTCTTTTAGGTCCTCTCTGATAGGGTTGTCCAAAGAGGTGGAGGGAACCCAGCATCAAGAAGTGGGAGGTGAAGCCAGATTGTGGGATGAGGAAGGAGTCACAAATGACCACCTGGAATACAAAAAAATCTACACAAGCTAAAGATGAGAAGTCAGGGCTATGAGAATTTCTATGGGAGTTCTTGAATGCTCCCTCTCTTATTACACACAATTACTATCCAGAGAACCCTGACACCATGTGAAGGCAGCCCTATCTCATAAGACAGATTTCTTTTTTTGGGGACCTTGGGGAAAGGGAGGCCAGAAACCTCCGTGTCCAAGGTGGGGTGGAAGGAGAGGGAGAAATCTTAGCAAAAATGTCAACCAGCAAGGGAAGATGTGCTAGCGCAAGTAGGCAACTCAACACAAGACTCAGTTGGAGAGGGAAGAAAAATTTAGTACTAAATTATTGTAGTTTCTTCTTATTGTAGGCGACTGGGAGTCATAATTACCAAACTATTTAAAATGACCAAAATGTTGCTCTTACCTGAGTATGTTGGCATACAACTGGAATGTATCTGATGGAAGAAAAAGCTTCTCCCACTGAATAAATTTTATGAGGATGATGAGAGACAAAAAAATGTTTGATCAGATATCATGTATGTGCATGCTTGTCTAATTCACTGATTATGCATACATTCACCTCAAAATGCTACTAAAACAACAATAAAATAATGAAAAAGTGAATAGCATTGTAATAATTTTCTATTGCTGTGTTTTCTATTATAATAGTTTATTCCATTTCTGTTATGATAGTTTTTTATTGCTGCATATAAAATTGCTGCAAACTCAGCAGCTTAAAGCAACACACATTTATTATCTCAAAGTGGTCATGGGTGGATTCCATGCACAGCTAAGCTTGTACTTTGCTCAGGGTTACACAAGGCTGTCATCAAGGTACTGGATGGACTGTCATGTCATCTGGAGGTGCAGGTGGGGAAGAATTCACTTCTGACTCATTCAGGTTGTTGGCAGAATTTGTCCCCTTGTGGTTGTGGGAATGAGAATGGTGGCTTTTTGCTGACTATTGGCTAGAGTTCATCCTCAGACCCTAGAGGCCACCCCTATTTTTTTCACCACATGGGCTTTTCCAACTTGGCCACTTACAACATTAAGCCTGCAAGGACAGTCTCTAACTCCAGTCTGCTTTTAAGAGAGAGTCTTGTTTAATGTAAGATAATTAGGAGAGTGACAACCCATAACTTTTGCCATATTTCACAGGTTAGAACCAAGTCACAGGCCCTGGCCACAATCGAGAGGAGGGCATTTCAAAAGGTGTGAATGCCAGGAGGGAGGGATCACTGGAGGTCACAGACATGAAATTCCAAAGATTGGGAACAAGAGAGGAGATAACAGCAACACACCTTTGGAAAGCAGGTGGGGTGGTGTGAACTGACTTAGAAGACCTGAGAAAGTTAAATATTAAGCCAGTGGTGGGGAAAAACAAGAAGCAACCTACTTTACACTGCAGAATCCCCCAAGAGACTTAAGACTTTGCAGCACCAGGTACCTTAAGAATTTGGATGAATATGGGACTGAATAGTAGATTTGGTTGGTTCAAGTTCAATTTAGGAAGCATCTGGTCCCCCAGGTACCTCTCTAATCCCAAGTAGCCAAGCAAATGTCCTTTCCTTCATCCTACTAATAGATTATATGGAGATGTGGAAAAAGATGGGATATTGGGACTGAGAGACAGCAGAATCAGTTGGGAGAGGTTTTCCCATCCTGAAAACAAAAGGTTTAGTGAAAGTTGACATATAACAATGGCAGCAAGTCTTACATTTTTAAGGCAAGAGTCTTGTATGAGTCCATTCTCATGCTGCTGATAAACACATACCTAAGACTGGGTAATTTATTTTAAAAAAAGGTTTAATGGGCCCACAGTTCCACATGGCTGGGGAAGCCTCACAATCATGGTGGAAGACAAAGGAGGAGTAAAGGGACTTCTTACATGGCAGCGGGCAAGAAAGGGAGTGAAAACGATATGAAAGGGGTTTCCCCTTGTAAAACCACCAAATCTTTTGAGACTTATTTACTACCATGAGAACAGAATGGGTAAAACTGGCTCCATCATTCAATTATCTCCCACTGGGTCCCTCCCACAACACGTGGGAATTATGGGAGCTACAATTTAAGATGAGATTTGGGTGGGGACACAGCCGACCCAAGTCAAGTCTGAACAGGCATCTCTGGAGAATCTGATTATAACAGGAGGAAACATTGAAGATACTGACTTTGAATATTTACTAAGGAATTATTTTTCCAGATAATCACCCTACAGGAAGGCCAAGAGTCCTCATACACAGACAATCCAACCATCAAATCAGCTTTATAGTGTCTCAGTCTGAAATATAAGCAAACAGCCTAGGATCATTAAGTACTTTACAAAAGCTTCCAGTATCAAATGCAGAGGCCAAAAAGAAAAAATAAAAGGCAGGGAGAGGCAATGCAGTCTCACCTTTAGTCCTGTGATATAAGCTCACCTAGAGCAATGAAGAAACAAACATAGAAATACACATTAGGAGAGAAAATCATACTAGAAGGCAGGAGACCTAAAAGACAATCAGTTTTATCCTCAAGTAGGATATTGCCTCTATAAAGTGAGTGCTATAACAAGGAATACACAGACAACAAAAAGATATCTCTGAAATCTAAAACATCGTTAATAAAATGCTTCAATAGAAGGATTGGAAGATAAAGTTTAGGAAATGATCTAGAAAGTAGAATTAAAGAAAAATAGATGTAAAATAGAAAAGAGAGGATTAGAGGACAAAACCAAGAGTTTCAAAACTTGAGTACAGTTTGCAGAAAAAAGAGGAAAGAAGCAGAAGGAAGGGCATTAAAGAAATAAATGGAGAAAAAAATGTTATCACTAAGAAACATGAGATTCTCTATTGAAATTTCCCATCAAATTCTCAGTAGGATGGATGAAAGTAAAACCATAGTTAGACACATCATTGCAAAATTTCAGATCACAGGAGACAAAAAGAAGATCTAAACACTTTCAGAGAGGAAAAAAAAACAGATTTTATACAAAGGGTCAAAAATCAGAATATTATCAGAACTTTCCACAGTAATATTATAGGCTAGAAAACAATGAAGAATACAGTCAAAATGTTGAGGAGAAATGACTGCAACCTAGAAGCAACTAAATGTGAAGAAGAATAAAGATATTTTTATGCACGGAAGTTTTCAATAAATTTCCCTCCAATGCTCCCTTTCCTCAAAATTGTTGAGGAATATGCCATGCCATGCCATATATGGGAGTAAACCTAGAAGGATGAAGACATGACCCCAGCAAAACAAAGGATGCAATAGAAAAGGAAGCAGAGGGAATAGAACCTTTCTGATGGGGATAAAGGGAATTTCCCAGACAGCAGTTACAGGGCAGATCCAGGCTGGATCTTCAGAAGAGATTGCTCAGAAAAAGAAAAACAATGCATCTGAGTGTTATTTAGAAGAGGTTTACTTACTGGAGAAGGAGAGTTTGGGGATGAATTTTGATTAGAACACATATATTCAAGCAAGTAAAAAGAAAATACAACATCTAACAGAAACAAAAAGCTGTACAGAAAAGAAAAAAACAGAGCATACAACCTAGCTCAGCTATTAATAGAATATAAACAATCTCAATAATGTGAAATGATTTTGATATAACCAAACTAATAACAATGTAACTATATTGAGAAGGTGGAGACTAGAGAGTGTTTTGGTGGGGGGAGTGGATGGCAAAAGAGATCTAAATCAAACTTGTTCAACCCTCTGCCCACAGGTTGCATGCTGCCAAGGACGGCTTTGAATGTAGCCCAACGTAAATTCATAAACTTTCTTAAAATATTGTGAGTTTATTTTGTGATTTTTTTTTTTTTAGCTCATCAGCTATCGTTAGTGTTAGTGTATCTTATGTATGGCCCAAGACAATTCTTCTTATTCCAGTGTGGCCCAGGGAAGCCAAAAGATTGGACACCCCTGATAAATCTTCATTCTTTGCTTTTGTAAATCAATAAAAGTGAGAAACCAAGAAGTAGTATTATAATCATGTTATTTAGAAATAAGTGAAAAATACCAAAAGAACCAGCTAAATCAGTTCAAAATACTTGTCTCTGAGAATCAGGGAATCACAGAGTTATTTGACTCTTAAAATCATATTCACATGACTTTCATTAAACATAAATAAATGGTGCACGCACCTGTGTGTGTTGTGTAAATTGAAGGAAACATTCAGGATATCCTAAAATTAGAAGTCGCTTTGATTTATTTGCTTGAACTTGGAGGCTCAGTGCTCTCCACTCTTATGTGGTATTAGTCAGCTGCTTCAGGTCTTTGAGATGCCTATGAGACATCAATTTGGGATGTTAAGTGAGTCACTGGGTATACCAACCCATTGTTCAAGGGAACTTCTGGGCTGGAGATACATTCCTGGGGTCACCAGCATAGGGATGGTGCTTAAAGCCATAGGACCAGAGGAGATAACCTAGCAGGGACTGGTGGAAAAGTGAGGAGATCCTTGGTGTACCCCACCATTTACAGAAAGGGAGAGGAGCGGAGGAGGATCCGGTAAAGAGGTGTGAGAATGAACACCCTTGTGAGGTAGAAGGAAAACCAGGAGAATGTTATGTCCTAGAAGCTCAGAGAAACATTTCAAGAAGGTTTTCAAAGACAGCAACTGGGTTAAATACGGCTGAGAGTCAGGGAAGATGAGGCCCCTGACTTGACTATTTGAGTTTGAAACATGAAGATCATTGATGTACTGATATAATAGGACCTCAGAGTAAGAAATTCCAGTGTCAGGAAGTTTCACCTAGAACTCATGTTTAGACTTTGCATAGCCCTCTATTGAATAAGCTCTTCCAGATCTGTAAAGAATTATTTTAGAAAGATTAATTTTCTCCATTTCTCTTACGCTTCCAGAACAAATGAAGGGGCTGACAGAGGGTCACTCTGTAGTTCAGTGTTTATCAGACTAATGCAAATGTTGGTAAAAGTCCCATTCTGTTTCTTTCCAAGTGGTTCTTTTTTTTTAAATTATACTTTAAGTTCTAGGGTACATGTGCACGACGTGCAGGTTTGTTACATATGTATACATGTGCCATGTTGGTTTGCTTCACCCATCAACCCTTCATCCACATTAGGTATTTCTCCTAATGCTATCCCTCCCACAACCCCCCACCCCCCGACAGGCCCCAGTGTGTGATGTTCCCGCCCTATGTCCCAGTTCTCATTGTTCAATTCCCACCTACGAGTGAGAACATGCAGTGTTTGGTTTTCTGTCCTTGTGATAGTTTGCTGAGAATGATGGTTTCCAGCTTCATCCACGTCCCTGCAAAGGACATGAATTCATCCTTTTTTGTGGCTGCATAGTATTCCATGGTGTATATGTGCCACATTGTCTTAATCCAGTCTATCATTGATAGACATTTGGGTTCATTCCAAGTCTTTGCTATTGCGAATAGTGCCGCAATAAACATAAGCGTGCTTGTGTCTTTATAGTAGCATGATTTATAAACCTTTGGGTATATACTCAGTAATGGGATCGCTGGGTCAAATGGTATTTCTAGTTCTAGATCCTTGAGGAATCGCCACACTCTCTTCCATAATGGTTGAACTAATTTACACTCCCACCAACAGTATAAAAGCATTCCTATTTCTCCACATCCTCTCCAGCATCTGTTGTTTCCTGACTTTTTAATAATTGCCATTCTAACTGGCGTGAGATGGTATCTCATTGTGGTTTTGATTTGCATTTCTCTGATGACCAATGATGATGATTTCATGTGTCTGTTGGCTGCATAAATGTCTTCCTTTGAGAAGTGTCTGTTCATATCCTTTGCCCACTTACGGATGAGGTTGTTTGGTTTTTTCTTGTAAATTTGTTTGAGTTATTTGTAGATTCTGGATATTAGCCCTTTGTCTGATGGGTAGATTGCAAAAATTTTCTCCCATTCTGCCTGTTCACTCTGATGGTAGTTTCTTTTGCTGTGCAGAAGCTCTTTAGTTTAATTAGATCCCATTTGTGTATTTTGGCTTTTGTTGCCATTGCTTTTGGTGTTTTAGTCATGAAGTCCTTGCCCATGTCTATGTCCTGAGTGGTATTGCCTAGGTTTTCTTCTAGGGTTTTTATGGTTTTAGGTCTAACATTTAAGTCTTTAATCCATCTTGAATTAATTTTTGTATAAGGTGTAAGGAAGGGATCCAGTTTCAACTTTCCACATATGGCTAGCCAGTTTTCCCAGCACCATTTATTAAATAGGGAATCCTTTCTCCATTGCTTGTTTTTGTCAGGTTTGTCAAAGATCAGATGGTTGTAGATGTGTGGTGTTATTTCTGAGGGCTCTGTTCTGTTCCATTGGTCTATATATCTGTTTTGGTACCAGTACCATGCTGTTTTGGTTACTGTAGCCTTGTAGTACAGTTTGAAGTCAGGTAGCATGATTCCTCCAGCTTTGTTCTTTTTGTTTAGGATTGTCTCGGCAATGTGGGCTCATTTTGGTTCCACATGAACTTTAAAGAAGTTTTTTCCAATTCTGTGAAGAAAGTCATTGGTAGCTTGATGGGGATGGCATTGAATCTATAAATTACCTTGGGCAGTATGGCCATTTTCACGATATTCATTCTTCCTATCCATTAGCATGGAATGCTCTTCCAGTTGTTTGTGTCCTCTTTTATTTCATTGAGCAGTGGTTTGTAGTTCTCCTTGAAGAGGTCCTTCACGTCCCTTGTAAGTTGGATTCCTAGGTATTTTATTCTCTTTGCAGCAATTGTGAATGGGAGTTCACTCGTGATTTGGCTCTCTGTTTTCTGTTAATGGTGTATAGGAATGCTTGTGATTTTTGCACATTGATTTTGTATCCTGAGATTTTGCTGAAGTTGCTTATCAGCTTAAGGAGATTTTTGGCTGAGACGATGGGGTTTTCTAAATATACAATCATGTCATCTGCAAACAGGGACAATTTGACTTCCTCTTTTCCTAATTGAATACATTTTACTTTTTTCTCTTGCCTGATTGCCCTGGCCAGAATTTCCAATACTACGTTGAATAGGAGGGGTGAGAGAGGGCATCCTTGTCTTGTGCCGGTTTTCAAAGGGAATGCTTCCAGTTTTTGCCCATTCAGTATGATATTGGCTGTGGGTTTGTCATAAATAGCTCTTATTATTTTGAGATACATTCTGTCAATACCTAGCCATCTTGCGACAACCTCAAGTGGTTCTTCTGTGGAAAGACAATCTGCATTTTATAAGAAGGCAGTAGGCCTATACTGTACTTACCCTTATCAAACTTCAGGGGGCAGTCCAGACCAAGAAATAAATCCTGGACAACTTCCTTAAACCTTAAATACACCTGAAATTCACTCTTGAATTTGAGGGTGCAAAAGGCGTTTTAATCTCACCACTCTAATTAAGGGCAATCTGCATTGTTGCTGCTTTGGTTTGTATAATAAAGGAGATTAGGGATCTGTAACTGTAATAGCTCTGTTTCCTGATGGCAAACAATGCCTCTGTTTCCTGGATTTATGCCCAAGTGTGCTGGTAAACACTGAAGACTGCTTTAAGCAAAGCGGGAAGTAGCCATGGGTGTCACGGAATTTTTATCTGCTAGAAAAACAGTGTTTTTGTTTATTATTATTATTATTTGAGTCGTATCAATGGGTTATACCTTGGATACCTTGGGCAAAACAGAGTTAATTCAAATATGTGGTTTGAAAAATAGATTAGAAATATTCTGTGCTTTTTGGATTCATTTCTTACTTTGGGAAGGAATAGTCTGGAAAATTTTATATAGGTTTGTCAGCCTAGAGCCCCACTTCCGTGGATGAATTACATAAAACTGTTTACAGATTCCACTTTGTACCCAAGGTCTTAGGGTGGAGGGAACAAAATAAAACAAACAAACATAAAACAGTGACTTGAATGCAGTACAGAGATTTGCGAGGTCCCCAGGGATTGGCCTGGAACGCTCAGGGCTGCTTTGCAGTTAACTCCTCAGCCTTCACCACTGTGGCGTGGGCTCACCTTAGCAAGCTCCCCTCCCTTGTTCGGAAAGCCTCCCCACTGACCTCACCTCAGGAAGCAGCAACAGATTATATTTTATCCATAGATGTGTATCCCTTTTGGAGAGAAATTGTACACTGGGGCTGTCTTTTAACAGAATAACATTCTTAACACCACGCCATGAGGTAATTTTTCCATATCCTTTATCTGAGAGTCTCCTGCTAACCTGGGCAAAGTGGAGGAGGGGTGAGACTGGAGAAAAGAACTAAAAGAGGTGATGGGGAAGAGTCCCCCTAGTTCACTGATTACCATGAATTCTCCCATAGGGGGTCCACATTTCACCTGGCTTGATCTTAACCAAATGTGCCCAGTTGTATTTCCTTGATTGGCTCCTGTGGGGGAATGGGGAGATTTTTCTGTGGGACAGGGAGTCTTTGGGAGACTTGGGGTCTAGCTTCTTCCTGTTGTCTCCTTGTATTTCAGTTTCCCATCTGTAAAACCACAGATCCACATTCATCTGATAAGCTTAAAGGTCTCTTCTATCTCTGACTTTCTATAATTCTGGGTCTCTTCATGAGTATCACGCTGGGAGAAGAGAAATTTATCACTGAAGAATAGCAGCCCAAATGGGTTTGGCAAGACTTTATCTTGCTGGGTAGAAATTGTAGATAAAACATTGCCAACAGCTACATTATGCCAACCAAATGGGAGGCAACGCCCCTTTGGAATTCTGACCTGATGTTCGAAACCAGAGCAAAGGAGTTCCTCAGTGTGATGTGCTGCCAAGGGACACATTGGATTTGTGGATAAGGTTTCCTAGTTCTTAGATCTCAGCCATATCCCTGAACACGGATGGGCAAGGCAGCTTTGAATTCCATGACAACATGCTGCTGGGCACTGCCAAGGATAATTCTTCACAGCATGAAAGCTTTGCCTGGCACTGGTGATAATGTGACTCTCTCTTCCTGAGGTAGTCTGGGCAGGAGAGCCAGCCCTATCTGTCTTCTACTTCACCACATTGTGGGAAATGTTATGCAGCCACCCCTTCCCCAACAACTAATTTAAAAAGGGTGAAATAAAAAAGTCACATTCGTGGAATCACTTCTATCATCTATGCTGATAATTGTTTACATATGAAAGTCTGCAACAATATGAATTTCTCATAGCCTGCTTTCTCTTAGACCAGAGAATGGTTCTCAGGAGTATCCCCAGCGGGCAGCATCAGTGTCACCTAGAACTTATTGGAAATGCCAATTCTTGGACTTCTCCCCAGACCTTCTGAATTAGAAACTCCAGAGCAGAGCCCCAGGGACCTGTTATTTTAGCAAGCTCTTTGGTGACTCTGGTGCACACTCAAATTTGGGAACCACTGAGATAGGGAATGTTAGAGACCAAGGGCTGGAGGTTAGGATCAGCAGAATTGTGAAGCTGGAGAGTAGGGGATGGGGGTGAGAACTTGTTTCCATTTTATTTTCTATTAGCAACACTTCTGTGAGCATCAGTAAGCAAGAAAGTCTTGGTAATGATGTGAGCAGAGAAGTGATTAATGCTGGGTGGTAGTATTCTGGAAAATGTAATAGAACTGTTAAAAAGAAAGAAATGGGTTTGAGGCCTGCTTCCAACACTTACTAACCATATTAACTTGGTTACATTACCAAAGTTTGGTTACTTCATCTGTAAAGTTATTGTTGAGAGTACATGAGAGAAGCCTGAAAGTTCTTAGGATTCCGGTATTTAGTAAGCATTCAACAAATGGTGGCTGTTATTTACATTAATGACACTAATGTTAATAATAAAACATGAATTCTATAGAACATCATTACTACTGAAAAGCAATGTGCATAGAGGAAAACACAGTCTTTGGGGACAATAGACAGAGTTCAAACCTCAATTCTGTTACTGACCACCTTGGACAGGCCATCTTATTCCTTTTTATTTGTAAAATGAGAAAGATGACATTTACCTTGCAGGGTTCTTTGGAAACCTAAATGGAGGTAAAGTTAAAGCAGCTTGTTTGGTGCCTGTAATATGATAGGCAATCAGTAATTTTCTTTTTACTTCCTCTTTTTCAGAAGAAAAAATAAGCCCAAATTTGTAAAAGTATGGTCAGTGGGCCATGAATGTTTCAGGCAAAACATTCCTTTAAGGGTATTTTATCCAGATGGCTTAGGCAATGCCTGCTCAATTTTACAGAAGAAGCATACAAAAGGCCAACAGGCATATGAAAAACTGTTCATTATCAGCAATCATTAGGAAAATGGCAATCAATACCACAATGAGATATCATTGGACCCTAGTTAAAATGGCTATTATTAAAAAGACAGCAAGTAACAAATACTGGTGAGGATGCTGAAAAAAGGGAATGTCAGTGCACTGTTGGTAGGAAGACAAATTAGTAGAGCCACTCTGGAAAACAGTATGGAAGTTCCTCAAAAAATTTCAAATAAATCTACTATATGATCCAGAAGAATGAAATTCTGCCATTTGCAGGGATATGGATGGAACTATAGAACATTATATCAAGCAAAACATGCCAGGCACAGAAAGAAAAAGATTGCATGTTCTCACTCATATATAAAAAAGTTAATCTCATGGAGGTGGAGAGGAATGATGGCTACCAGAGATTGGGAAGGGGGAAGACAGATGAAGAAAGGTTAGTTAATGTGCACAAAAATATAGTTAGATACAAAAAATGAAAGTTCTAGTGTTTGATAGCACAACAAGGTGATTGTTAACAGTAATTTATTGTATATTTCAAAACAGCTAGACAAGAAGATTTGAAATGTTCCCAAAAAATAGAAATTATAAATGCCGGAGGTGATGAATATCCCAATTACCCTGATGGAATCATTACACATTATATGAATGTATCAAAATATCAGATGCACACCATAAATATGTATAACTATTGTGTATCAATAAAAAAAGAAAATGTCTTTTAAAGGTAAGGGGAAGGACTACAGGGGCCTATGAAGAAGAAAGTGACCCTTGACAAGTAGAAAGAAAAATAGCTCAGGGAAAATAAGGCTTTTTAACAGAATGATACTGAAGAACTGTAAACCCAAATATGCTTGTAATTATTTTTACCTTGTTAATATAAAATAGGCTTTTAAAATATATCAAAAAACCATCAGTATTACTTTTACTTAGGACATTCCCAAGTCTACAGCACTTTCAGTGTCCTAAATTGCAATCTCATACTAGCCCATCTGTCCTTCCGCCTTTTATTTTTCACTTTAGGGAAGACCAATCACCAGCCTCAGGTATCTTTTTGTGGCCTCTCTTCTGTTCTCCACTCTGCCTCCCCCAAATGTATATGCACTTTCCTTATCCTGGTGTTGCAGGTGCTGAGAGGGGTTGTGTATTACAAAAATGTACATTTGATTGCTTAAATGAACCAAAGTTTACATTTGAGTGTAAGCATAAGATGTATAGGAGGTGTGACTATGAGGTAATGAGGTTGACTCCTTGCTTTCCAAAGAGGAATTTTTACTTCTATTTGTTTGTTTATTTATTTATTTATTTACTTACTTACTTGAGGAGGTTCAGTGGAGTGGCCAGAATTACAGAATCGGGATGCCACGTTTACATTATAGCTCTCACACTTAGCCGTGCATCCTCTGGTAAGTAATTTAGTCTCTCCAAAACATCAGTTACCAAACTGTAAAATTAAAACAGTAATGGTAACTGCCTACAGGGTTGTTATCAGAATCAAATGAAATAGTATATTTAGCAAAATTCCTGGAACATAGTACGTGCCTACTATATGTTAGCTCATATTATTAGCTTTTATTTTACTGGAAATGTAAAAATTTTTATAAGACAGAAAGTATGCATTTCTTTCCTCATTATACTTGACTTTCCAGTTCCCTGTGCACCCACTTGTCCCCCACCAAAACATAATCACTGCTAAAAGTTTGGAATATGTTGTTCAAGACTTCATCCTTCCACATAAGTAGGATTCCACTTTCCACATGTATGTATTTTGCCTTCTAGACATATTTAATGCTTATTTCAAAAGCTCACAAAAGAAATTTGGCAATTTCCTGTGAGAACTGAGCCAGGTTTAAAATGCAGAAGAAAATAGATCTCATAACTTTATTTTTTATTTTTTATAATTATCCAGTCCAAAATGTCATTTTGTTTTTGTTTGGAGACAGGGTCTCCCTCTGTCACCCAGGCTGGAGTGCATTGACACAATCATGGTTCACTGAAGCCTCTGCCTCCCAGGCTCAAGCGATCCTCCCTCCTCAGCTTCCTGAGTAGCTGGGATTACAAGCATGAATCACTCTGCCTGGCTAAATTTAAATTTTTTTTTTTTTTTTTTTTTTTTTGTAGAGACAGGTCTCACTGTATTTCCTAGGCTGGTCTCAAACTCCTGGGCTCAAGTGATCCTCCTGCATTGGCCCCCTAAAGTGTTGGGATTACAGGCGTGAGCCACCACACTCGGCTGACCTCATGACTTTAGGTCTATCTCTAGAGCTCTGTATTCAGAGCTTTCAAGTTACACCCAATTTTTCAAAACAAAAACTACCTTGATGTACATGGTTAATTATACCCATGGGTCTGGATCAATTTCATTTTCTCAAAAAATTTACACTTCTCTCAAAGATGCAGATGTTGTTATCATAATAGATATTTAGAAGATTGTGAGGCAAATCCTGAGGGTACCTCCAAGAGGAGTATCAACTATGCCCCCACTATACCCTCCCAGTCCCGGCCACTCCATCCACCTCCACGCTCCCTGCCAGCCCAGGAGTGCACTGTCAAGCCCCAGATCAAAGTGTAACTCTGGGCCTCTCCCTCCAGGGCAGCCAATAAACCCCAACTTCACGTGCAACAATGTACAGTAGGCACAGATATGGGCAAGGAGTAACTTTGTTCAAGATTAGACATGGCCAGCAACTTCCACGACCAAGAGTTGAGACTTTGTGACCAAATTCTAGCTTTTCCCTTCTGAATGCTTCTTCTCGTTACATAAAAGTACATTACAGCATGTGGGTCCTACATATGCTCCATAACCTTACAACATTCCCAGGAGGAGGAGTCCAGGAGTCGGGGTCCATGTGTGTCATTTTTAGACACAACTCTGGCTCCTGGTTGAATATTTGCCTGGGTACAGCTACACTTTTCCCGTGCCACCACTGGTGCAGGGACTTGTCCTTTGTACTTCTCCACAGGTGGGAGAAGGAATAGCCTGGAATCCTCGCTTCCTAAGGATGGGTCCTTGGTCTCTCAGGAAGTTATTCATCCTTGGCATGCTCGTCCATCCAGAGATTGTGGAAATGAGGCTGGGGAAGCAAGGACTGGAGCTTCTGATCCCTCAAAAGAATGCACAGCCTGCGAAAATATTGGCCATGGAGTTCATGGCTGAGGGTTCAATAGCTGGGCCTCCTACATTCTTCACAGGCTGTGCAGCCTTTCGAGGGGTCAGAAGCTCCAAACTTAACTCCCATAAGCCTGCCACAGGCAAGCCTGCCAAGATGGATGAATAACTTCCCCAGAGCCAAAGGTCACACCCTCAGGAAGCCAGGCTTCCAGGTTGCATTTATTTTTATTATTTTATTTTATTTTATTTTATTTTTTGAGACGGAGTTTCGCTCTGTCGCCCAGGCTGGAGTGCAGCTGCGCAATCTCGGCTCACTGCAAGCTCCGCCTCCCTGGTTCAAGCCATTCTCCTGCCTCAGCCTCCCGAGTAGCTGGGACTACAGGCTCCTGCCACTACGCGCCGCTAATTTTTTTTGTATTTTTAGTAGAGACGGGGTTTCACCGCGTTAGCCAGGATGGTCTCGATCTCTTGACCTCGTGATCCGCCCGCCTCGGCCTCCCAAAGTGCTGGGATTACAGGCGTGAGCCACCGCACCTGGCTGCAGAAATGTGTTCCTTCTCTCTGCAGTGGAAATATACAAAGGGTGGGTCACTTGAGAAGCCCCCAGGAAATTCTTCACTTTCACTCTAAGCTCATCTCTGGGAGAGATGGGGTCAGGGAGACCTTTCCAACAGACAAAAAGAAACAAAAAACCCTTTGTTGGGTGGGGCGTGGTGGCTCACGCCAGCACTTTGGGAGGCCAAGGCAGGCGGATCACCTGAGGTCGGGAGTTCGAGACCAGCCTGGCCAAAATGGCGAAACCCCGTCTCTACTAAAAATACAAAAATTAGCCGGACATGGTGGCGCTCACCTGTAATCTCAGCTCCTTGAGAGAATGAAACAGGAGAATCACTTGAACCTGGGAGGCGGAGTTTGCAGTGAGCCGAGATCATGCCACTGCACTCCAGCCTGGGCGACAGAGCAAGACTCCGTAACAACAGCAAAAACAGCAACAACAAAAACAACAACAAAAACCCTTTGTTGAATGTTGGAAAGCCTGAGGGCAACTGGAGGAGAAACAACATAA
Organism: Homo sapiens; assembly: GCF_000001405.40. Taxonomy (NCBI): domain Eukaryota; kingdom Metazoa; phylum Chordata; class Mammalia; order Primates; family Hominidae; genus Homo; species Homo sapiens. The sequence continues at coordinate 46,984,010 of NC_000006.12, read as the reverse complement.
AGAGGAACAGATTTCATTTCTATTCCTGCTGCCACTGTGAGTACACTGTGGGGAGGTTACAAAGGTTTTATATCCCTAGAAGGGAAACAAAGTGCAGACACTAAGGATTGCCGTCTGTAAGACACTGGCATCCATCTTCCCCTGAAGGCTTATGAGATCACACAGGAAATAGATGTGCGTATTGGGAAGAATCTCTTTAATTTCTTCTGTTTGTCAAAAGTAAAGCCTCAAGGTGGAAGAGGTGAAAAGCATGAGAGAAAAGTGCCATTTTCAGAAAAAAATGGAAATATCACAGTTTACATATAACCATGAATTTCATGTCCAGTGTTTTAGTGGCTGAGCACTGACATTTCTTGGTAGCATGAAACTAACAGCTTGATAGAAAACATTAACCAAGGTAGAATGTGATCAATACCACAAAGCATCCCTTAGTTCTAGGATAAGAAACAAAACATGATCTTTTTATTTTTATCCTGTGAAATTACATCTCAAGTCCTTATTCTCTTAGTTGGGTATCTCCTCCTTTCAAATATAATCTATTAATCTTGGGACAGATCCATTCTCTGCATTTAGTTGAAACTAAATCAGGGGATTTGACTAGATTTGAAGCCATTTTTCACAACAAGCTCTACCACACATACTCAATTATCAGAGTGCACAGATGAGACAGGCAGAATAAATAATGGGTTTGTTTATAAAGGGCTAAGCACTTTTATGAGCCTTATTAACATTGGTAGTCATGCATACTTTGGAATGAGCAATCAAATTTCATGCTTCTAGGCTTGGGCAGGGAGCAGACTAGCTTACAAAAAGACATTTACCTTCACACACTTCTGAAGGGAAGAGAGCATTCCTTGAGTTTTTTCACCTTTACTCTAATGGGGAAATGGGCTTGTATTTTCAGCAAACACCACTGGAGGCCAGCCCATCCAGGAAAACAAACACAGCACTCACTCTGTTGGTCTCTGAAATGGTTCTGCTTCAGTGTGTATAAGCTGGGCCTCAAACTCAGTCTTAAAAACAATATTTCAAGATTCATTCTTATATTTCACAAAAATCATTTAGGTGCCTACCAAGGGCCAGGCACTGTTCTAGGCATTGGAGATACAGTGGTGAACAAAATGAACAAGGCCGACCAGGTTCCTGCTTTAGGGGACCTGGGTGTCTATCACCCACTATATATTATTCCCATGTGGTCGCAAACCCATCACAGGCCTTAAGCTTGTCTGGCCAGTCTCCTTGCTTTCTTCTAATCTCAGCTATCTTGCAAGGTGTTATTTTTTATTGACTTGGGGTACACAGGCTCCAAGAACAAATAAGTTGATACTCATCTGCTTTTTATGCTCTAGTCCCAAAAGGAAAAGTTATCCCTCACCATGTTATTTCACTCAACTAGCAAAACTACCCAGTCTCTCTTTCACCTTTGCAAACCTCACTGCCCTTCCAGGTTCCAGCGGCACCCTGTATCCTGCATGAAGACAGCCCTGTCTGCTCCTGCTTCCATCAACATCCCTCTCCTCTGAATTTTGTAGTACTCAGATAGTCATCAAGATGTTACAGTGGGGTGCTTACTGCATCATTTTTGTATCTTCTGCTGTTTTTCACCTCTATTAATCTTGTTTCACTAGCTAGATTACGCACTCCTTGCAATAGAAGACTACTTTATTCTTGATGGCAGTTAACTCATTGACACAAGACTCTAATATGAATTGCCTGCATCTGAATTTTTTTTAAGTTAATCTTTTATTTTAGGTTCAGGGTTACATGGGAAGGTTTGTTACACAGGTAAACTCATGTCACGAGGGTCTGTTGTAAAGATTATTTCATCACCCAGGAATGAAGCCCAGCAACCAATAGTTATCTTTTCTGAAATTTTCTAATTAAAAAGCTTTCAGTCATTGAGTTGTGTTTTGAGTCATTCATATACATAGTCATTTAACATATTCTGAGCTCCTATTATGCTCAAAATGGTGTGGTGCCATGGAGGATAGAAAGGAAGTTGGAAACACAATATATGCTCCTGAGGGACTCATGTTTTCCTGAATGAGCAGAGAGAGGCCAAGAAACAATTCAAGAAATTTGAAATAAAAAATAACTCCATGTTGTAATTCTTGATTTCCGTTACCAGAAATTGCTTCTGTGTGTGTGTGTGTGTGTATGTGTGTGTTTGCATTTACAACTGTGTGTATGATGTGTATTATATTTGTTTATAAGAGAAAAGGTCAACCTTAACCTATTTTAGAGAACTTTTATATTATGCTAAAATTGTCTACAGGAAAGCTAGGTGATTGGATAAAAGCTAAGATTCAGTTAAGTCATCCAGATGTTCAAAATGCAAAGAAGAACCCACTGGAAGGTGGACCTGTGTTTTTCTCAGCACTAACCAACTAACCCATGAACTAGACCCAATGAATAAGTTGTTCACAGATTTTCCCTCTTCATGCAACCTGAAACACAGGCATCACCTTGGTCAAAACAAATTTGCCTTCAATATTATTCATTTATAAATCTGGTTTAAGAAAAAAGTAGCTCTGGATGTAATAGGGAAAATATAGCCAGAGGAAAAGAGGAAAGTAAGGCTCATTCATTTAACATGACTGTATATCCACCTCAACACACCATAATTGAGAGCCACTCACATCTCCCTGTTATTTTTTAAACATATAAATGAGGGCTTTCAAGTAGGTTTTTTGGTATTTTTTCCACTCAATCCTCTCCATTGTTTACCAAGCCCTCTGGACAGGCCCAAATGAGATGCATTTTCTTTCTGGTGGTTGTTTGGTTTGTGAACATGTGCATGTGTGTGTGTTCTTGTGTGTTCCCTGTCTGGCTTGTAGTCAGGGAGATTTCTCCCACACCCCTGGGCTTTGAATAGAGCAGAAAAGGTGGAGCTTATTTTTTAAGTTGGTAATAACAATACTGACTTAAGAAGATATCTAACATTGAGTCAGAAACAGCTGATTTAGATACATGGCATGAGGCTATCATTAGAAATGGAGCCAAAGACAATCTTAGGGGTCCTAGGATCAACTAACATTGGGGGTTGAGACAGATTCTGTGCATGAGAAGAGGCGGGAGTGACATCTTATTTCTCTACGTAGAATATGGTGTTTTGTTTCTACACTTCTACAGTCATTGTTCTGAGTTATCACGGTACTTTTCACTTTGTATGCATGTGTGTGTACTTGTTATTAAACAATATGAATAACATACCTTTATTCAAATTAATCATTTTTATGAAAAATAAACTGATGATTCATATTTTGTTATTGTTTTCTTTGTTTGTTTTGCTCTACAACAATTGGTAAAATCAGAAATGGTGCCAGGTAAATTACTGTGAAATCATTAAAGTGTCGAAAACTTGGAATCATTTAGGTCAATTCATTTTGACACCTGGTCTGCCATTTTAATGTCTTGAATAGCAATGTGGTGTGTCTTTTGAGTTTGAGGATTAAGAGGAAAGCAAAGAGTCAAATTCCAAAATAAAGAGAAGAAAAGAAAAATGATCAGAATTCTGGATCCATAAGGTAGCAGATGTCTAAGCCTCCATCCTAACACCACATTCTAAGATCTGTCTGTAGGATGGATGGTACAGAACCTACAGAGGAAGGAAGATGTACTACAAATGCCTCCACCCTCTATGGCTTCAGCTAGAGTGGCCTTATTGAATTTCTCAGTTTCCAGATTGGAATATGCTGGACCACTTTGGGTTTCTATGGAGGAAAAGGACACTTTTGTCATATATAGTAGCTTATCCTTTACATGTTTCTTTCTGTTACCAGGTTCCAAGCCCATTAAGTGGAAGACCCTATGGCTCTACTCATCTGTATAGCCAGCCCCAGTCTTAGCATAAATACTGTAAGATTTGTTCAATAAATGAAGGAATGAATGAATAAATTTAATAGGCAGAGAAACAGAGAGAATTGTTGCTGAGAAACTGTCTTGTCTCTACAACCGACTTTCCAAGGAGGACTTTCTAAAGAAGACTTCCCTGTTCTTTGACTTTACATGTTGCCAAAGCCTGGCAATATTTAGTGGGACTAAAGGTAATAGGAAGAAAGGAAAAGTCTCTGTTATTCTGTAAAAAAAAAAGATACAGAACCTGAATGGGGAAAAGAAAAAAACACACACACACATATTACGTGGAAACTAAATGTGGGCAATTGAAAAAAATCACTGAAGCAGAAGAATGTAAATATATTATTGGTTAGCTTAAAGACAACACACATACACATACACAAACAATTCAAATTAAATATACACAAGACTATGCTCTACAAATTTCCCCATGTCATAAGTACATTTCAAAACATAATTTTAATGAGCAGCGTGTTATCCCATAATATTATGGTACTATATTTAATTTAACCAATCCCTCATTTGGAGGCTAAACAGTAAATAATTAATCTTACCCAAAGAGAGATCTGGTCATTGCCCTTGGCTACTGAGAGATGATTTCTAGGCCCTTGGAATGTCCTCCCTGACAAAATTATCTTTGTTTTCCTGGGGTTTTGAGCCACGATGAACAGTCCAACAGTGTGATTTATGGAGGGGCTGTGGACCACGTGGTATCCTTTCTACCCCCGGAGGGGCTGGAGACAAAAGTTATCAGTTCAGTCTCTGGAGGGGCTGAAGACTAAAGGTCAGCCTCATAGACAATCAATTGTGTCTACATGATCAAAACCCAATAAAAAACCCAGATTCCCAAGAATCAAGTAGCCTTCTCTGGTTGACAATAATCTGTGCGTATTGTCATGCATCATTGCCAGAGGAGTCACATTCCTCATTCTACTGGGTGAGCACCAATGGAAGTTCTATGCTGGGACTGTTCTTGTATTCTGCCCTGTGTGCATCTTATCTTAGATGATTTTATCCTCTATTCTTTCCATTAGTATAACAGCTTTCAGTGAGTTATGTGATTTATTGAAACTGAGAGTGGTCTTGAGAATCCTGCCACTCTGTAATTGTCATCAAAAATGGGGGTGGTTTTGTGGACCAAACTTCCTCACTTTGTAGGGGCATTAGTGATATTTCCTTTATTCTAAGTCATCATTGACTTTTAAGTGAAACGGGTTTAAAAATTTAGAATGAAGAAAAAGATTACATTAAGTATACATGACTTGTAATATGCATTAGAAAAATTAAGTGAGTTAAAGTGTGACTCTTAAGATTAAGAGATCAAGATAAATTGCTTTGATTTTGTAATGTAAATCATAGAGTAATATAATGTGTGTGTGTCTCTGTGTGTGTGTGTGTGTGTGTGTGTGTGTGTGTGTGTGTATGTATTTTCTTGATCATTTTCTTTCATTAGATTCGTAAAAGTGGGATTAATGGGTTAAAAGTCCTGGTCATCAAGCTTGAAGGATGTGAAGAATTCAGATGTGTAGCCTTAGGGGGAGTGAGGAAATAGCCTTCCAGGTGGGCTGACAAGAACAGGCAAATGCACAGAGGTGGGAAAGCATACGATTTCTGGGCTGAACAAAATAAAAGTTTGGGCAATCAAGTACTCAAGAGGACTAAGAAAGTAATCCCATTTGACAGTTAAATCATCCAGGATGCTTAGCAGTCTGCAAGACAGGAGATATTGAGGCTCTCAGGCCTTCTAAGAGGCTAGTTGTCACTGATCCCCATTCCACAAAGGATCTGAGGGAGCTAGATCTCCTATAAAAGGCTGTGTTTAAAAGTTAATAATGCCAGAGCTTCTAGAGGAAATAGGTAGCAAACAGATGATGTGTCATATGGGCCGAGTCTAGACTCAGAAGCTTTTTTTTTTTTTTTTGAGACGGAGTCTTACTCTGTCGCCCAGGTTGGTGTGCAGTGGCACGATCTTGGTTCACCGCAAGCTCTGCCTCCCAGGTTCATGCCATTCTCCTGCCTCAGCATCCCGAATAGCTGGGACTACAGGCACCTGCCACCATGTCTGGCTAAATTTTTTGTATTTTTTTTTTTAGTAGAGACGGGGTTTCACCCTGTTAGGCAGGATGGTCTCGATCTCCTGACCTCGTGATCCGCCCTCCTCAGCCTCCCAAAGTGCTGGGATTACAAGCGTGAGCCACTGTGCCTGGCCTCAGAGGCTTCTTAATATAAGAATACTTACTACGGCCTCAAACATTTTAAAGTTCTTATGCCAAATTTTTTCTTCTGAAAAATAATGGTAAGAAAATGGTTCTAAAACCTTGTCATGAAAGTATCTTAACACTTTTAGTGGAGACTTCCAGCTAGCTCCAGCTAGCTGTTATGCCAAAGAATAAATGGATGAATGCATAGGTGGAAGCAATTACCCAAATTCTAGGCCTAGGATTAGAGGAACTATATACTGTCTGAAAGTGTGAAGTGTTCAAATATTGTGAGCTTTCCAAGGGTTCTTTTCTAAATAATTTTTGGAAAGATTGATGGAAATTATTGTGTTTTGAGAGAAGGTGCTCAGTGGGCCTAGAAAGAGATGAGAAACAGATGTGTGGCTTTCCAATAGGACGTTGGTCACTGCCATTGCAGCCCAGGACACACTTCTTTCTGAGTGCCCCTATCAAGGACAGCTTCACGGATGTGTGACCTGTGAGTCACAGAGGCTCTCACATTCAGAATGGCCAAGCTTAATGCTCTACTGTCACTGTCTTGAAATTCTGAATAATTTTTAACAAAGGGCCCACATTTTCATTTTGCATTGTGTCCTATAAATTATGCATCAGGTGCTGCCTCCTACTGAGTGATGGATCCTCCAGAGGCTCCTGGAAGAGCAACTGACAAGAGCAACTGAGAAGCTGTCAACATTGGCTAAACTGATGATAAGCGTTTCAAAGTTTATGTAACTCTGAAGAATATAATAAATGGAAATACGTAGCATCTTACCAAAACAGTTTTCTTTATGTCCATTAACGCTTACTTCAAAATCTACTAAGGACTTTTTTTTTAGCCTCTTCTCTGTACTGTCTCTTAATATCTGAGTAATTTTCATTCTGTGGTTATCTAGGTCTGCCTTCTCTTCCCGTTCTTTTTTTTTTTTCCTGAGATAGGGTTCCTCTCTGTTGCCCAGGCTGGAGTTCAGTGGTGTGGTCTTGGCTCACTGCAACCTTGATCTCCCTGGGCCTACCTCAGCCCCTCAAGTAGCTGGGACCACAAGTGCATGTTACCACACTCGGCTAATTTTCATATATTTTTTGTAGAGATGGGGTTTCGCCATGTTGCTCAGGCTGGTCTTAAATTCCTGGACTCAAGAGAACCATCTGCCTCAGCCTCCCAAAGTACTGGGATTACAGGTGTGAGCCACCACACCCAGCCTTGTTTGGGGACTTTTAGTCCTCCAGTGCCACACTGCAAATGATAGGATTTCACTGAACATAATGTCCTCCAGTGCCATACGTGCTGCTGCAAATGATAGGATTTCATTCTTTTTTTTTAATGGTCAAATACAAATAGCATTCCTTTCTATATATATATATACCACATTTTCTTTTTCCATTCATCAATTGATGGGCACTTACTTTGGTTCCATATCTTGGCCATTGTGAATACTGCTGCAATTAACATGGGGGTGCAGGTAACGCTTTGATATACTGATTGTTGCTTTTGATTATAATTCAAAGGATTAAGAAATGATAGGTATATGAGAGCTGGATGCAGAATAAAACTGCATTGTACAAGAAAGCAGCCTAACCTGTGTTTCTGAGTCTGCATGAGTATGACAGTACCATTCAAATACCAGCTTCATCACTTACTAACTGTGTGGCTTTGGGCAAGTATTTAACTTCTCCAAGCCTCAGTTAAAATGTACATATTCACACCCATATTGAAAAGTATTTATGAGCATTAAATAAAATAAGGCAGTCTACATGAAATGTGTATCACAGTGTCTGGTACACAATATATTATAACCATCATAACTGTAATAATTATTGTTAAAAGTACACATGGAGCATGATTTTTTCACTTATGTCCAAAATTACACTATTCTAGGCTGCAGGAAACCTAATATGTTCCACAAAAGCTAAATATGTCTCTCAATCTACTAAAAAAGTAAATAATAAATATAATATCAACAATAGTCAAGTTAGGACTGCCCTGGACAATCCTTATGTTTTCAACAGCAGGCAGCCAGCTCTAAAGTGAAGACTTAGTTCTCTTCGAGTGTGTACTGCCCTATCTTTTCAAACCTCCCTTGGATGAACTCAATTATCGGCAGTGTTATCTTTCTTAAAGCAATTTTGCTTTTCCCAGGCCTTGAAAATTAGCCCTTGCCGATTCAGTAATCACTGTCTTTCTCGCCAACAGTTTGTTTCCAGGACACTTGCTTCGAGGCATCAAAATAAACCAGTTTTAGCAAAAAGTGGCCTGGCCTTCAGTTGATGTCTTCAATTCAAGGCATCGAGCTGTATTGCTGGGCTTAAGGTGGGTGTCAAGGTTTACTTGGACTTTTTATCAAACAGCAGAAGATCCAATCCTTATAATGGGATTTAGAAGTCAACCGTTTATTGTTTTTCTCCTTTTTTAATAAATAGAATTATTCACCCTATCCTTGAAGTATTCCCCTCTCTGCTCTAATCAATCTATTTAGAATTAGATAAATGAGAGGGTTGATATTGGATGTCTTCCTCATTCTCAAGAGTCTGTTGCCATCCCATTGTCTTTGAACTTATGTCCAAAGTTCAAATGATGAGTAAAATGTCTAAATTATTCCGCATCTTTTATTTTTCTCCTATTTGAAATCATGCCCAAATTATCCCACTTATGTTTTTTCCCTTTCCACTTTAATGATGCACATCTTTGCCATAATGCCTGATAATCATTTGGATCTGCATGTACGTGTAAATAGAGCAAAAAATAAAATACAGTCAAGATTACCCTTGACTAATCCCATAATAATACATAGATAGCTGTGTAAATGCCCATATTTACAGGTCAGATTGGAGACTGACATGACACACTGTCACTCAATAAGCCTGTGAGGGCCAGTGTTTTCTCAAGGTTGGAAATGATGGCTGTCCTAGTTGGTATCAGATGAGGTAGATGACTTGCATTTAAGGCCTATGTGACATGAGTGATGTTTATCTTTTAATCCTAGAAACACACTCGGTGTGTCAAGTCACCCTTAGTGCAAGAGGAACATGGGAACTGAACCCATCAGATGAAATAGCTGAGTCAAGTCTCTCTTCTCCAGACCTTACTCCTAATATTTGTGGAAATTGGGACAAGAATACAAATAAGGGCCACATAACACATCTATAAACTCTGAAGCTATAAATCAAGTGAACAAACTGTTAAAAGATATTTAAGAGTTCTTTTTTGCCTAATAGACTTTTATATTGGCCTGAATGGCCATATTTAAATGGGAAATTTTCAGATTCCTTGGAGTTCTGTGTCAGAATGAAGCAGTGCAGAGAAGTCACCTTCCAGCCACACCCCTCCTCCTAGGGCCAATTTCTCACACTCTGTATAACTTACCCCAGCAATCCAGGACCCTGAAACTCCCTGGCAAAGATCCCAATCTAGTTTTTTGGGCCTGTGTAGGCTTTTTATTCTGGAATGGACTGTACCGTTGTTGTGTGTACCCTTAACCCTAAGGGATGACCATGGTGTGGTTGTTTCCAGGTGTTTGGGTAGATTTTAGACATGCTGACCTAGGTGTCCATACCCCTATGCATGAGGCCTCTTATGGTGCAGGAAGGGGCCAGGAGTGGGCAGGCTGCCCTGCTCAGATCTAGAGATGGTCTTGCCCATCTCTGACTTACTGGGAAGCCTATGTTGATTATATTGGGTGGCAGCAGAATCCCCTGAGCTTTTGAAAATATTTTTGTTCTCTTTATTCCTGTGCTGATGGTGTATAACTGAATCAGTTTACCTTTAATAGTTAAATGTGTTGTGGTTACCCATCTGGCAAGCTGAGGGCACAACAAGTGTGTGTGCATGAAGTGTGAGGTGCAGGGAGCCTTCCAAAGTCTGATGGGGACAGCTGAGGATCTCTGCTTACCTCCAGGTTCTGTGCTAATGTCTTCCATTCACACCTCTGGAGGATGCCTTGGTTAGTGAGTGCAGGCATCTGTGATTCTTTCCTGGTGTTAAACAACAAGCAGGATCTTCCTCTTATTTTCCTTGTCTCAGGAGATGTCTCCATCATTGATGTCCTCAGTCCGTCCACCATCTTGGGCATCATCTTCAATCACTTCCTCTCACCACACTGTCTCCTGACCGTCTCCTAACACATTCCTTTTACCTCCTAAATATTTCTCACATGGGCCCCCTCCTGTTTATTCTCACTTCAACCACCAGTTCAGAGAAGGACCTTGGAGATGAAAGTAGGAAGTCCAGTATAGTTTAAGCCAAAGGCTCTCAAAGCAAGGTGATGACTGGAAGTTCCCAAGGTGGTCAAGGACTAAAGAACAGTTCAAGGTTATAACACTCCTCCTTTGTTCTATTGCCCTTTACAGGTGTGTTATACTGTTGTTTCTGCAAATATTTTGTATTATGTCAGAACTTTATGTGGTGGAGTCGGGCATAAATCACACAAGATAATAACTGACTGTAGACATTTAATCTTTTTACTTAATATTTAAAATTATATACCATACTCTTTGAAAGCTCCCTTCCCTCAAACTAAGGGAAAATAGCTTCATATAAGAAAATAGCTTTCTATTCCAAATGTTTACCAAGTTCTCAATGTACCTATTAATCTACTCTTTTATAACTTACCTTTCTGAGACTAATATGTAGGCAAAAAATCAATTTTGTGTTGGTCACAGTTATATTTCCTGATGAGCTGGGTAAATATTTGCCTTACTGTTTCAGAGGAATAGGAACAAAGTGTTGAAATACATGTATCATTTGCCTTCGGTATTAATTGGCCTGGTAAATTTCAAAATGTTTGCTTTCTTGAGGTAGGGACTTCTCAGTTTCCTTATTTGATCCACAACTTATCTGGAGATATCTGTACTTTGGGGGGCCAATAAAAACATTGTAGAAAAAATCGACCATGTTAAAATACAAGTGATATTTCTGAAGAGTGAATTAATTTTCCTCCATTAACAACATGTCATATTTACAGCTCTACAAGGAGATTAGCTATAGGGAGAAAGATTACTTCCACTTTTCCCAGGCTCAAGCTTTGTGATTTTCTTTCTTCTTCTAGAGCACAGAATTTCCCTCAGCATAGAAGCAAGCAGGCTGCATAGCCAAATATTTTAGAATATTCTCTTTTAAACAAACAGGAACAAACGTGCTTAAAGAGAGTTCTCCTATTTGATGGTGGTGCCAGTTGAGAGTTTTCAAACAGAAGTTTTGAAAACAAATGTATTTCACAACCTCCCACCCCTGCAAAGCAGTAGTCATTCCTCTTCCTACAGATGTTTTCACTCTCATGAAAATTGACAGGTCTGAATCAGCATTTAAATTGTGACCCCAGTCTGTGTTCTTTAGAAGTCATTTTCTCCCCAAACTGGAGATTCTAATTGTCAATGTCATCAGGCATAACTGTGTATATGAATATGAGCATCAGGAAGTAGAAATAGAAGTTCTCTATACATCCAAAATTTTGGATTCTAGTCCAGTTTCTGTCCTTAGTGAGTGATGTCTGTTAAAATTAGTTATCTCCATTTTCTGGTATCCAGTTTCCTCACTTATAAAACAAGAGAGTTGAACTAGATAAAGCCTATACTGCACACATGCTGTCTCTTCCAATCCCACATCCGTGGCAGACATAGCTAATCCACCACCACTGATTTCTTTCCCATTTAGGCTTGACTTGGAATTACAAGCCATAATTAAATGCTATAGGCAGCTGCTACCAATTGAGTAGACTTGGTGTGCTTAAGACGTAACGATTTATTACTCCAAGGCTAGATAGTATCTAAGGGGTCTTTCTAGTCTGGAATCCTATCTTTTGTGATAACAGAGGAAATCTTTGGAAAATTTTGAGTGTGTTCTATGGGTTAATTCAAGGAATAGTACCCAGAGTGCAGGCAATCAAAACATGCTGGCTCAATGGGTAGATGAATAGAATTATCATTTTTCTATTTATTAATCTATTTTGCCCCCTGAAAATTAGCTTAATATCTGACTCAATTAACTCATGGATGCTCTGAGCAACATATGCATATGAAAATTCTTTGGGAGCTCTTAAATTAGATTGAATTAAAAAATATTACTGTTATATTGCAAATGCCCCTAAATTTGGAGAACTGAGGAGCCTTTCAGGGTGAATTAGTAATATTTTATTTCAGCTTCTTTTCTTTTTTGTAATGCTGAAGGAAAGACAACTTAAAGTCATTTTTTTGTTTTCCGATGCTTCGTAACCTGTAGAGCCGCCCTAATGCATTAGACGAGAAAGAGTGTGCCCACTGACCTGGAATTTGAATTGTTACTCATACAATGGGGAACTCTTAAGAGAATGCCTTTAATTCCTCAGGGCAAGTTCTATCAGTCATAAATTTTGTGATATTCGAGATGAAATACAAATTTTAGTGAAAAATTCAGTCTGAATAAACATTAAAATTGATTTATTTAGAAGAGGAGGCTTCCATAAATCGCTCTTTACTTAAATTAAGCAAATGTGTAGTGTTACTGTCTCTGAACATAGTGTCATATTAAGGATACAGGAAAGACAAAGAATAGAGAGACCAAGACTTTAACTTCAAGAGGCTCACAGTCTAGTAAAGGAAATAAAAGAAATAATGAGACAACAACAAAACAAGAACATTTTTCCAGAGAAGAGTAGGAGACTCAAACAGGGAGATATTAATTGGTTGGGAGGATCAGGTAAAGCTTCACAGAAAAGGAAACGACTGAGCTTGACTTTGGAGGGTGAATAGGGTATGCAGGAATGAAAATCAAGCTGAGATTTTGGAGAATAAATGTGGTACTAGTGAGTGTTTTGACTTGAAAGAAGAGAGAAGTCCATTTAATTTAGAAGCCCATTTAAAAGTATAGCTGTGAAGTATTGATGGCCCAAACTAGAGACATGTTAGAAACTGAAAATTGGAGATCAGATTAGGAGAGGCATTGCTGAGGTCAGATTGTCAGGACGTGATAACTGGCACCCCATCACGAGGAAAAAGAGAGGAATGAGTCAAAGACTGCACTGCATCTCTCGCCCAAGAGACTAGGGGAATGGCTATGCTATTAGTGGAGGGGTTGAACAAAGAAGGTGGCTTCATTAACACGTTTGGAATAGGCTAAAATTCCAGCACCTTGGGCAATATATTTTAGAAATAGAACTTTTGTTTTTTGTAAATAAATAGATCCACCACTGCAAAGGCTTATAACTTTTGCCTCATAAATTTTGCCTTAGTCCTTCTTGATAATTCGAATAATATGATAAAATTGCTTTTGTCTTCTGAATACATTTATTTACAAATATAAATATCAGACTCGATCTCAAGACATCAAATTAAAGATGCCCATTAAAAAATTTTAATTTGCAGGATCTCTGCACGGAAGTTTTCTGGTTTTTTTTTTTTTTCCCCTTGGAGATTGAGTCTTGCTCTGTCACCCAAGCTGGAGTGCAGTGGCACTATCTTGGCTCACTGTAACCTCTTGCCTCTTGCATTCAAGGGACTCTCCTGCCTCATTCTCCCAAGTAGCTGGGATTACAGGTGCTCGCCACCACACCTGGCTAATTTTTGTATTTTTAGTAGAGACGAGGTTTCACAATGTTGGCCAGGCTGGTCTTGAACTCCTGACCTAAAGTGATCCTCCCACCTCAGTCCCCCAAAATGCTGGGATTATAGGTGTGAGCCATCATGCCCAGTCTGGATGTTTTAACAAAGCAAATAAAACTTCAACTAATAAATTGGTTTTTATATTTTAAATGAAAGACAAGATGTTTTGTTACTACTGGTATATATTTTAAAATCTATTTTCAGGATCAGTGTTGGCCAATGAAGATACCTGTGAATGGAAACTCTTAGACTGTCAATAAGAAGAGCATACAAGATGCATTAAAAAAAAAAAAAAGCAAATAGTGATTTTTATTAGAACTGAAAAAAAGCTGAATAAATGAAAAACAGTCAATAGTATTTAAACACTGAAATAGAACATTGGGCATTAGGTGAGATTTTTTTCAAAAGAATATTATTGTGTGTAGTATGTACCTAAGCATAATGATGTTTTCTGTGGCAATAGCAGAACGATATTTACAGAAAACAATGGAAAATTTCTAGGTTAAGTAGAAATGCTTTTGAAATTTGATGTTAAAATGGCCAAACACATAAGAGAGATCAAAAGAAAGTGAAATAAATGATCACTATCTAGAATGAAGAATTTTAAAAGAAATTGTTAATAATGAGTAATAAAATAAGAATATTTAATACATAAAAATTGTAAAGGTCAACTAGATTCTACCAGTGATAAAAGACACATTATACACCAACTTTTATCATGCAAAGTATTCAAAACTACAAGATGAAGAAACAAGGAAGTTAAAAATTCCAAATGTTTCATTAGTTTTTACATCTGTTGTAAAAAGTAAGAATTTTCACTTTTATGAAAAGATGAAGAAACAACTTTCAATTTTAGGCATTGATTTGAAAGTTTGTTAACAATTGTGCTCAGGTGGTTGTTGAAGAAAAAACCAACAAGCCAGATGACTCAAAATAGTTTGAATTTGTTACCAGGAGACAAATGCTTAACTTCTTTATAACTACGGTATTCTGTGGAACACTTCCAAGCCTTATGTATGATATTGTCTTTATCTGCCTAAAGATGAAAAACTAAAGAAACTAATATCAATTTTGGCCACCCAATCATCCTTTGACACATCATGGCAATGCTGACTGAATGCTGTTAAGGCAATTAGATTTAATTCAGGCAAGATATCAGATATATTGAAGAGTTAAGTAAAACAATAGAGGAGCTTCAAATAAACAGGAAATTATGATCTTCAACAGAAAATCAAATTAATTTTGAACATGAGTGGCTCATGTTTTTTTGTTATTTGGAATGCATTTTTTTTTGACAAAATCTTACAAAAATAAAAATCTGAGTTGTGCCATTTTACTTATAAAAAGGTTACAAATGTTTTTAATTTTTAAAACATTTTTCTAAATCAAAAGAAAGTGCATGTGATATGTGCAATGAAATAACATTCCAATAAAATATAAGTTAATTAGAACAAGAAAAAAAAATATGTACATGGATAAAAAGGAGATCCACACACAAATAATCCTGAAAGAAATTTTGGTAAGGATTGTTTTCTGGTCATTGTAGATCAACGTATGCTGTCTATTGAAGAGAAATTTGAACAAATGCTGCAATATAGTGCTATTTTCAGTTTTCTTTATACTATTCCAGCTTCAAAAAACTTGAAAGACATTTTAAAAATATTACCATGCATCTAAACTTTGCTTTAAGAGATAGTTAAAATCACGATATGTGATAACAATTATATTGTAAATCACGGTATTTTTCATGATAATGCTAATTTATCACAAGTGATTCTATTATAATATGTACACAAGATATGTAACATTTATGGCTATTTCTGAGTTTACTGTTTTAGAGCATTTACTGACGATTCTATAATTGTTACAATTTCTTGTGTCATTATAATTCTATAATTATAATTATAATTCTGTAATGACACAAGAAAGGCTTTTTAAATTGGCATTCTATCAACAGAACAAGATCTTGATTATAATAGCATTATTAGTAATTTTGTTAAAATTCAAGCAAGAAAAATAAATTTTACAAATGAATGTATAGTTTATAAATTATGTCTGTCTTCAGTTTACTAATCATCCAAACTTCCCTGGTTCATTAAGAGAACAAGCAGAAATGGTCAATTAATAATCACTGTAAGCCATCTTTGATATTTTGCCAATTTATAAGTCATTTAGTTAACCACTGCTTAACACATACCTTTTGATATTGTCATGATGGTATATTTGTCAAGGTAGGTAGTTGTAACATATTTTAACAGTTTATTAATACAATGGTCAGTTTTATAAGTGAAATTGGCTTGTCTATAGTCCACAGTTATTCAATCAAAACCTAATTGAGGGTTTGCTTTGAAAGTAACTTGTAGCTGTCATTTACTCTATATTCAGTTGATTAAGTAAAGATGATTACATAGATAATATGACTGGGCCTGATTCTATCAGCTGAAAGTTCTTTAGAGCAGAACTGAGGTTTTCTGAGGAAGAAGAATTTGCCTTGGACTGCAGGGTCAGGTTGTGCCCAGGAATTCAGCCTGCCCTTCCTGACTGCCTGCTATTAGATTTTAAACTTGCCTAGGGTCTCAGTTCATTTGTGCTGCTATAGCAGAATACCTGAGACTGAGTAATTTATAAATAATAGAAATTTATTTCTTGCCATTCCAGAGGCTGAGATGTCTAAGATCAAAGTGCAGGCAGATTCACTGTCTGGTGAGGGTCTCATCTGATGGTGCCTTACATGCTCTATCTTCAGATGGTGGAAAAGGTGCAAGGGCAAAAGGGCCTGGCTAGTTCCCTCTAGCCATTTTATAAGGCACTAAACCCATCCAAGAGGGCCCTACCTAATTGTGTCCTAAAGCCTCCATCTCTTAACACTCTTCCATTTGGGATTTAGTTTCAACATGAATTTTGGAGGGCGCACAAACATTCAAACCAAGCAGCCTAGCCAGCCCCCACAACTACATACGCCAATTCTTTGAAATAAATCTATTAATGTATATCTTCTACTGGTTCTGTTTCTCTGGTGGAACTCTGACTGACACAGTTAGCTTAATTTATAATTGTTAGATATTAAGACATAGGGTATGTGTCTCTCCATGTGTACTTTCCCCGGTATGTTTCTGGGGCAGGCCTGGAGCCAAGAAACTTCTCCCTCTAAGATGTCTCCCTGAAATTTGACCTCAAATATTTTCCTTTTTTCTTTCCTTACCATCTCCTTTAAGTATCTGTTCTTCCCCCCCCCACCCACCCCCCCCCCCCCCCGCCCACTGGTAGGATATTGACCATTGCATTGAAAATCAGCATACCTTAAGCTCTTTTCTGGCCTCCATTTATCAGCTCATAAGCTAATGACTTCTTGTCCATCCACACACTTCTATTTCTTTTATCTCTCATCCTACACTTGTAGATTAGGTACTTCTTAGGGACTTCTTTCTCACCCATTACTCTCTGCGTGGTAGGTGCCGGGTGCCTGCTGGTCTCATTTCCTTGCCCAGCTGCTCCCTTAGTTCCTGGGTCTTTGCCAGGCCTTTGACCACTCACCTATCTCTGTCCTCCTCAGTCATTCAGTTTTTGAACGCTTGATGGCCTTGGACCTGCTTTCTCATATCTATGCCCTCATGATTCCTATTTTTTAAATCAGGTCATGAATCTGCTCTTTTTCCCAACCAGTTCTGTGCCTCCAGCTTCCGTGTCTTAGTTCTTCATGGATTCCCTGAGAACAGTAGAGTGAAGGAATTACAGAAACAGTCTAAGTTAGGTAAGGATATTGAGTAACATTGCTAAATTAATATTTCCTCAAACTCCACATACACCTTAAACATCATTAGTCTACATTCTAATAACTTAAAGGAAAATTCTCTTGTGTTTTAAAACAAATTATACACTTTTCCATACTATGACACATAGATTTATTATTTTTTGAGCCATACCAATGATGTTTACTGGCTATAATAATATTTACTTTGTATATCTTTAAAATGTAAGATCAATGAAGATCAATATTAATCGGTATCTAGGAACATATCGATCTCCTTAGTGGGTGTGAAGGGCTGGGGGATGGAAGGAGGAGGGTTGGAACTTTTGTTTGTATTAGGATTTGATCCAGAGTCTCTAATGATAACTGAAGGATCATAAGATAGAAAATGTGGAGAATGATTGCTCTTGCACTTCTGCCACCTATTATTAGAGATATTTCATTTTGTTCCTTTTGACAGCCCAAAGGAAACTTGCCATGTGGTGACAATGAAAGTAGTGAGGAGATACGCTAGTATCAAGAAAAAGTAAAGCCAAAAGTGTTTGAGTGAAATTAGGGCCAAATTCAAAGTGACTAAAATTGTCTCCCAAAAATGTTAATCTCCTTCCTCCACTTAGACTGGTGCCTCTCAAACATCAGATCTCAATGTAAAAATCTCTTTTAAATTCAAATTTATTGATTTTCTGTATAATTTTATGACTAAGATTATAATTTTTATGTGTGTGTTTTTTTGCACATAGACAATTAAATAGGCCATATAGATTGTTTCAGGAAATCACTGATTTATATATTTAGTCATTCATTTCTTCATTTATTCATTCAATACTTACTAGGAGTGCCAAAAAGTCACTCTATATATTCTTAAAGCATAGCTAAGTGACCATAAGCAAGTTACATTCTCTCTCTGAATTTTAGTTTCCTATCAAAGATAGGAAATCCTCGCATCCACCTTTCAGAATTGTTATCAGAATTTAGTGAAATAAAATCATTCAACCCAGCATGGTACCTTGTACAGGATATATACCCAATAAAGGATAGCAATTATTATTGTTGCTATTATTTTAGAAATTTTGTTTTTCTTAAAAATGCATTCCCAAATAAACGACTGTGTTTTGGATTTGAATTTTCGGTGACTTCTAAATTGGCTTATCCTAATTTCTATCAGATATGAAAATATGGGGAGGGCTGTTGAGCTAACAGCAGGCAGTAATTCTTTCCAAATGACCTTAAAGTTGTATTCAGAATCTCAAAGAGGTCAACACTCTGGCGTTAAAGTGTTTCTAAATTTAAAGAGTTATGAAATTGGGAAATTGCTTGGACCGTGAGATGCTTGGGTTCAGAATGTGTCTCATTTGCCCCTAGTGCTGGCATAAAACCTGGGACCAAGTATGGAAGAGACTTGCCAAATTCTTGGTGCTGTTGGCGGGTTTTCTCTCTCAGGTGCTGGGAATGGTTAGGAACAAGACATCTTAGATAAAGAGTCCTCGTGATTCTCAGACAGCAATAAAGGGTATGTTTTTGTAAATTCCAGTGGGTGTGAAGAATTAATAGCTGGGAAAATTACTGTTTCTGTGAGAAGAAATGACAGTTTATTGAGGCAGACAGAGTGGAAGCCATCCCCTGGGAAGGAACCGAAACAGCTCCAGGATCATTCAACAATGATAAGCCAGGGGAAGTGGTTTCCATCCAAGTGCTACCCACGCCCTGGCATGAGGTTCAGCCCAGACAGACTGTGAAGGCAGCTTATTCCGTCTGTACTTCTCATTCCAGAAAAGAAGAGTCAGGGGAGAATACCTCGCATTGTTCCCTAACGTGTTCAGTATTTGCAGAATATATTTAGTAATTTAGACCCAAGTAAAGAGACAGCGCATTCTGGAAAAAGTACAGAAATTTAAAGACCTTGTGGAATTTGACTTCTGTGTACTTTTCTATCTCCCAGGTTTGGGTCATCTGCAAAAAGACGCCTTCCAGGTTTTTCCAGTCATTGATAGAAATTGGTGTTCCCTTCTCTTTGTCCATTCTAAATGCTCACTGTCTTCATGCCTCCTATCATCCTCTTTCTTATTAATTTAGTTACCCAACAAGTATGTGGCACAAAGAAGCATACAAATTTGGTTAAGACACAGTCAACATGCTTAAAAAATGGTATGAAAGATAAGACACTAGATGCCAGGAAGATAAGATATACAAAAGCTCAGGAAGAAAAATAAAATGTTGCCATTTAAATTGATAAAAGTATTGCAGCCTTCTAAGGCAATAGCATAAAGATGGATGCTTGTTTTAGAAGATATCCTAATTGGGTCATTTGGAGGTGAAAGCTGAAACCCCCTGGGCATTTGGACTGTGGGAACAAAACAAGAAAAGAGCTGAATTACTCTGCATCATGAAGTGAGAGAAATTAACAACTTACATAGCAGTGAAAGTATAGGACCCAGAAGAGAGGAAGAAGGAGGGCAGTGCCAGGAGCTTCTAAAAAGGAAGAGGAGGCTACGCAATATGATGTAGATGGAGACTGGAGGAGAACATTGACCAGAAAAATTCCCTGTGGAGTGGTGGGAGAGGGACTTTAGAACAATAATGACCTGGGAACAATTTAAGTGGTTTTCAGCTCTGTAATGTAACTATCCTTCTCAGATCTTCGATAAAAGTCTGTTCTACTTAATAGCCAGTATTAATAGGGCTTTGGGGAAATGGAGGACATGGGGTTCAACTGCGGAGACCAAGAGTGATGGCTAGGTGGTGAATCATTCAGGGCCATTTCCAGTGCAGCCTTCAGCAAGAATAGCTCAGAAGAATGCAACTCTCCCCCACACACCCTTATCTAAGAATCCCGTAGGAATGGAGCGTGGGAGGGTTGGGCTTTTGTGGATTTCCCGCAATACATGGGAAGGGAGATCCAGCCATTCTTTTTTTTCTATATTAAAGGAAATGCTATAAGCATCCATAGGGTTGTTTTTTTGGGAGAGAATTAAATAAGTTAGTCCATGTCAAGGGCTGGGCATATAGTAAGTACTCAATGTGTTTTTGATATTATTATTTTTATTATTATTTGAGTAGCTGGATTATCAAGTCATAAATAGATAACACATAAGGCTGAGAAGGGCTACTAAAGTGACATAGACAATATGTGCTCTAGGGTATTAATGATGGGAGAGATTACTTCTGGCATCATTTATGACAGAAAGGTTTGTGGAGGAGACAGACTTCATGCTGGGCATGTGGACTTGTTTGAGACTCTGATGAATGACTCTAGCTCCTTGCAGAAGAGGAAAGGACAAGGCTTGTTGGAGAGAGAGAAGGAGATTCATTTGGATCTGCAGCCAAGGCTAAATACAGAAGATCAGAGGAAGTTGCATTGGAAACTTAAACTAGGCTTAGACTGGGACAGCTTTGAATGACAATAGGCATTCAATAGGCAGAGTGTGAGTGCACCACAGGTATCATGGAAGGATTTTTGAGGAGAGAGTATAAAAATAATAGCAGTCCTTTAAGGAAATTAACCTAGTAATAAACCAGTAAATTAACCTGGTTATATGACTGGGAAAATGGAGTTCAGGAGTAGGACAGATGAAGGATAATTTCTTAGTGGTTTAGGCAAGAAGAGATAAATGTAGGCATGGAGTGGTGATAGTGGATATGTAAATACAGTCACATATGGAAGAGATCTGCCAGAGTGAGGATCAGCAGGTCCTGGAGACTAGCTTCGGCCTGGGGAAAGGATGTGGGGCTGGGAAAATAAAGGAGAAAGTAAAGCTGGTTATCACACTTTAGATTTGAACCTGCTAACTAGAAGAATGGTGGGTACTGAAAACAGGAGAACAGGTATCAAGTACTTTGGGAAATGCTGTTATTTAAAGAGGAATGAAGAAGAATATCCAGATGAGGAGGGAGAAGACAGGTAGAGGGGAGAGATTTTAGGTGGGGCAGGTGCAAAGAAAATGAGAGAAGAATTTCAAGAAAAAATTGACACATAAAAGTTTCGGGATGAGATAAATGAGAAGTAGAGAAGCTTTTGTTAGCCCGAAGTCATTTAAAGAGAGTGGCTTAGGGAGATAGAAGTTTAGTAGAGCTTTGAAGAGAGGAGGAAGAGTCTGGGTGATTACCAATCAGTTTTTTGAGAAGTTTGGAGGCAAACTGAAAGGGAAAAGTTAGGATGGTGATCGAAGAGTAGGAAATATTATGTAAGGTTTGTTGGTGAAGATTTTGGAATTAGAGATATAAACATATTTTCAGGCAAAGGAATTGAGGAGTAATGAGGGGGTCAAATCTCAAGAGCTAGGTTACTGAGCCCTGGAAATCTTTGTGAAGCAGCTGTGAGAACCCGGATGTGGGTTGCTCTTCAGTAATATTTTGTGTATTTCTCCACTGGTCACAGAGAGAACAGGGCAGATGGATTGCTAGGGGCCCCAGCACTGGAGTTTGCCAGTAGCACGGCAGAATGTCAAGAAAGAAAGATATAATAAAAAGTTGGCAAAGAGTGTATTTAAATAGCTATCCATGGCATCTGGG
Organism: Homo sapiens; assembly: GCF_000001405.40. Classification (NCBI taxonomy): domain Eukaryota; kingdom Metazoa; phylum Chordata; class Mammalia; order Primates; family Hominidae; genus Homo; species Homo sapiens. The sequence goes on along the minus strand of NC_000006.12, from coordinate 46,962,107 downwards.
TTTCGCAGGAACGTAAGGGTAGCTTGCAGTAGTGGGAAGACTACGAAGGAGGTACAGAAGAACTGGGGCTTTCAATAAAGGCAGAGGTCCTGTAGAAGTGAGGAAAGATGGTAACAAAATATATCCCCTCCCCATCGCCCCCACAAATTCAAACTTCATCATCTATTTTGAAATTACAGCAGTCCCAGATGTTGACATTCTGGGACGCAGCAATCACAACACATGGTTATTTGCTAAAATAGGACAAAAGTCATTGGCATTGGGGAGCTCAAGGAAGTGAGAAACATCTTAAAAGGGAAGATGCAGAAATGACAGACATCAATTGCAGAGTGAGGGGTAAAAGTGTGAGCCAGGTGCCAGTATTCAGGGAACAGTGGAAGAGCAAGAATGGTGGATAAGAATGAAAGGAATGGAGGGCTGACAAGGAATGGAAATAATTTGTGCCTCTTGGGGCAGGCACGGTGACCAGAGGGACACCCAAGAAGATGGAAGGGAATCTGAAGATAGAGGCTCCAACAGGGAAGGAAGCCTTGAACTCATTCTGCATTGTGCAAGCTGGTGGGGCACAGAAATGTCTCAAGAGGAAGCAATTCAGGGTGCAGAGACCCAGGGAGACCTGCATGACCAGGGGCTTTGACATTATTACTGTAATGTCTCTTGGGTGGTGAGGTGATTTCCCACAGTCACATCTTTAAAAAGACATGGCCTCTGCTTGTTTGACTTCTCCATCTGAGTCACCAAATGGCAAAGTTTGGTGTGAAGCTGAGACCAGGGCCATCCCTTGCCTAATATGAAAGCCAGAGGTTAGAGAAATTTAGGACATTTTTTCAAAAAGCCACAGCTTCCTCCTCTACCCCTATAACAAAAAGAAAAAAAAAAGCGTTTTGTTGTATTCCCAATCCACGTTGGTTTGTTGCTGAACTCCACGAACCAAACCAACGACCCAAACAAAACAAACAGGGTTTATACTCTGATGCAGAATGCCTAAGTCTAGTTGTTAAAGACAAATTCCTTTTTACATCAACTAAATATAATCATATCCAGTTCAAACTTCCAAAGATACAGAGATTTTTAAAGCGAGTCGTCTTTGGGAAATGTTTAGGTGTAGTTATTGAGGTTTCGCACATTCTCTCGTGAACATCCTCCCTTTTAAGATGTTTCTCACTTCCTTGAGCTCTCCAATGCCAATGACTTTTGTTCTACTTCAGCAAATCACCTTGTGTTGAATAGTAAAGGGTGTATGGAGTAGACAACCCCAAGCTGTCAGTAAACGCAGTAATCAGCTTCCCTAACAAGCAGGATGCTTGTCCTTAACTCTAAGGACACGAGGTTTCATTTCACGTGGAAAGAGTGAGTGAATCTGAGATGGAGCTAAGGACAGTACTGCCATTTCATCAAGGACGGAAGATAATTATGATTGTTCCTAGGCTTCTTTTTCTAGAAACTTTTTTCTACCTCAGTTGTAAATAAAGAGTGAAAAAGAACGTGTCTACTCTATGACTCAAAATGAGTCTGTTTTTCGAAATAATAGTTTAGTGACTTCTTTCTCTTTCTTTAAAAGACAACCTACAGAGAAAAACAAGCATCTGTATTACACACCATGCAGAATTAAACATTGGTATTTTGACTTTTTTTTCTTTTTTATTTCATACATAGAATACAAAGAAAAACCTCTTTATTCCCTGTTTAGTCCTATTTCATGCCTTCTTCCTCCTAGACTGTATTGTGTAGCTTTTCAATATATAGCATTGTATATGTATTTTTTCTACAACTGATCTTTTTCCCTCTGGCTTTTTAAAAAACTTTTACATGTATTTTTCCCCATCCATCTTGATACATACAGACTTAATTTATTATTTCTGTAATAATATCAAAATTTTTCTATTAATGTTTCTATGATGCATATATATATATTTGTATTATAATTATTTTGAAGAGTGTTGCAGTTGAACACTCTTGTGTTTCTCCTTGTATATATAGGCAAGAATTTTCTAGAATATATGATGTGACTAGAAATTTGAACTATCCTGGACACTGTGAAACTGCTCTCCAAAGTGGTTTACTGAATTATACTCACCAAGCAGTGTGTGAGAGTTTCTAATTCTTCCCAAAACACTAAGCAGGATTTGAGAATCCCTAGTTCCCTAAAACACTTGGTTTAATCTATGTATGTATGTATGTCCCCTCCCTCCCTCCCTTCCTCTCTTCCTTCCCTTTCTCCCTCCTTCCTTGCTTCCCTCCCTCCCTCCCTCATCTTCCCTCCCTCCCTCATCTTCCCTCCCTCCCTCCTCTACTTCCTTCCTTCCTTCTTTCCTTCCTTCCTTCCCACTCTCCCTCCCTCCCTCCTTCACTTTCTTTTCTCTCTCTCCCCTTCCTCCCTCCCTCTTTCTTTCCTCCTTTCTTCCCTCCCTCCTTCCCTCCCCTTCTCTCTCTCTTTCTCTCCCTTTCTTTCTTTCTTTCCCTTCTTTCTCTCTTTCTTTCCCTTCTTTCTCTTTCCTTCTTTTCCTTCCTTCCTTCCTTCCTTCCTCCCTTCCTTCCTTTCTCCATCCTCTGTCCCTCTTCCTCCCTCTCTCCCTCTCTCTCTCTCTCTTTCCCTAACACCTTTAGTTTTAAGGGAAATATATGATAGCTGTCAGTTGCCCTTCTTTAGGCCAACATTCCTTTTTTCCCAAGAACAATGCTACTGATGTTTTACATGTTTATTCCTTCTTTGACGGGTTTAATATTATAGTGTCCATACTTCCTTTTTATTTTTATGTGAAATAATGAAAGTTATAGAGCTCCTTAATAGTCCCCTCTTAGAGCTCCATCTTCAATGACAAATGTGATATTAGTAGTTGGCAGAGAAAAACTGACAATGAAAGGAGAGCCTCACCTCTAATGCAGGTGAAGACAAAGCTCGTGTGTCAGTCTGTGATGGAGTCTCCCTTCACAAGTCTACTCATGGTTCTTGCAGAAAGAGCCACACGTTTGTGGGAAGTGATCTTTAAGCACCTCGTAGATCACATTTGTTGTATTATTTGCCATTGATCATTTATAGTTCTCATGATTACTCCAAAATCAAGAATCACTGTTCTCAGGAACTTCCAAACTTCCAAACTTCCACACTGAGCTGTTAGATAAGTCATTTCCCCTGCTCTAAATTACAGAATTAATGGCAAATTCATTTTGAAAATAAAAATTAAACAAAACAAAACAAAAAGGCCTTATGTTTGGCTGCTGATCTGGTACTAAGAGCTTTAGTGAGTCAAACCAAACTGATTGGCCAGACCGATCCTTAAAGATAAATTATTTTATATCTTTGATATTTAAAAATATAGATTGTAAGTCACACACACTAAAAACACAGCAAATATAAAAATTAAAGAGAAACCAAACCACACAAATATATTTATGTTTTCTGATTTATTCCTTTCAAAATGTCACTGTCCCCTATGTTGAACGCTTTGCTATAGCTGATTGATAGTAGGACATTTCTGAATAGTTGCCTATGTGGCAAGAATTCCTAAAAACACTGTCTTAAAAAATACTGAACACCTGAAATGTATGCCCTTTGCTTATCAAGGTTTTCTTTCCTCCAAGGTACTGGTTTTAGTGAGTCCAAACCTAGGCCACTTTCACCATATTTAGTAAACCCGTGTCCAGTTATTGTTTTACATAGTTCTGCTTTGGGCTTTGCCTGTACTCCTGCCCTAACTGAAACTCTGTACACACCTAATTGTTCAGCTGATATCACTTTGTCATTCACTTTCATAATCAACACACTTAGTTTATTCCCTGTTTTTATTTTACATACTCAAGGAACGTATAAAAATAGGCCAAATATTTAAGAAAACAGTTTTGCCATTGAAAATTCCTGATACAACTTGCTGTAAGCACTATCACCTGCCTTCTGTTAAAAGACCATTTTCAAAAGGTGAAATCCTGACTCCAATATAAAATGACATGTGAAAGAGATTTTATTTAACTCATTAATTAATGAAGGGAGTGGTAAAACGTTAGAACTTATTCAAAGGGAAATCCCAAGAGCAGATATATTTATATAGAGACAATCAGGAATGCTGAACTGAGTTTGCTAAGAGCTACAAAAACTGGCTAATATCCTAACGTGCACTAAAATTTAATGTTTGAAATAACCATTTCTATAGGGTGGAAGGCAATTATATATCTACTGGACAAAACTAATGTGCATTTCTATGGTCAAAAATCATTTGTATTACTATTAGTTTCTACGTCCTTCAGAATTATTAAACATCCAGTCAAAGATGATCAAATGTAGAGACCCCTATAGATTCAGCTCTCCAGCTGTAAGTTGTTTGCTAGAAAACTCTCAACACTCTGTTGACAGGACACCCAGTCATCTTTTCCTATTTTAAAGCCTTTCACTATTTTTTCTGACACTTCCATTTCCAATGGAAGTAATATCCATTAATTAGGAACCAAATTGAGACTTCATAAAGTAAGTTCAAATGATTGGCTTAATAAATATCTTTGCTTTGTTCTAGATAGATGCATATATTAAATGACAATTAAATGCACAAAACCAGATATTGAGAATCACCTATGTTTTGATTACCTTTACAGATGATAGAGTATGGGTCTTGTTACTGCAGCTTGTACTCCAATCATCCAGCCTCACCTGGGGCTTCTCACTCATATACAGTCCTCGTCAACACACAAAGTGACCTCTTGATTCAGGGGAACCATGAAAAGTAACCAGAATATATGCTTAGAAATTCCAGACGTAATATTGTCATGGAAGTATTCAAAATCATGAAATAAAAAATGACTATGTGGTTTAATAATGTTTCAAAGTCCAAACAAAATGCAGAAGCTAACTGTTGTGTTTTAAGAGCGGTCGTGGCATGTCCCTAGACCCCCTTTTGCCTTTTGACTTCTAGAAAAACAGGCTTGATTCATCGGGGAGCCTGAGAAAGTGCAGGAGAGTCAGGCAGGGTGCACAGAGCCTGCCTGTGGTGCACTGCTTCCAGATAAATGCTGACTTCACAGGGGTTTTCCTCCCCTCCCCACCACCTCACTGTTTTCTAAGCTTTGTTCCATTCATGTGCTTCTTCCCACTTCTCCTGTCTTTATCCTTCCTCCCATATCCCTCCCTCCTCTTTTCCTCTTTCCTTTCCACTGCCCCTTCTTTCTCCCTCTCTCTCCCCTCACCTCCAACAGACTCCCATTTCATTCACCCTTGCTAACTTTAGTCCTCCTTCTTGTGGGCATTATCTAAGACTTCACTTTTTGAATAGAGGTTGTTGCCTGCTTATAATAATCTCTGTGAGGCAGCAATACACAGCATATGACAAACTGCAGCATTTTCATAATATTCAGCAATAGCTCCGCAATATCACCCGTGAAGTTGCTCCACTTTGTAAAACTATAACAACAGTCTTGTGTTTTCCTCTAAGTCATATATTCTCCTTTCCCTAACATGTAATAACTGTAATTAATTTGATTTTATTTTGTAAATTAATCAAAAATAATTTGATTTTATTTTTAAATTAATCAAAAATTAATTTGATTTTATTTTGAGACCAGGCTGGTCTCAAACTCCTGGGATCCAACAATCCTCCTGCCTCAGCCACCGGAGTAGCTGGGACTTGTACAAGTGCGCACCATCGCACCCAGCAATAACTGTAGTTGATGACGCTCCTCCTCCTAACATTAAACCCACACAAACCAGACACTGCTGGGTCCTGGATGCTAGGGATATAATGGTGAAGCAGACACAGTCCTTGACCTCACAGAGGGACAGCCCAGCAGGAGACAGAGAGACAAGTAGGCAGGCTTCCTTGCTTTAGTGTTATGAGAGAGACAAGCATGGTTTGCTTGGAAGAACACCAAAGGGGCCCAGAAATTGGAAAATGCATTCTGAAGGATGTCAGATTCAAGGAATTGGATCTTGGAGGGGAGGACATACTTCATTGAGTGGAGAGAGGTGGGGAAGGAGGGAATGAGAAAGGGCATGAGGAGAGCACAGGTGAAAGTGGGCTTTGAGGGAAAGTAGAAGAGATTGGCCATTGTGCATTTAAGGGTTTGACCTATATCCTTAAGCTCCTGAAAGATTTTAAGCATGGGAATCCCACCATGAAGATGGCATTTGAGAGACATTACCCTGGTTGCTGAGAGGAGAATGGATAGGAAGTGAGGGAAAATATGGGCAAGGAGACCACTGTGTGATTTTTACTCAGTGATGTGTTTGTGGTCTTTGCCTGCTCACACCCGCAACCCAGCATCCACCCTCCTCCCCCTCTGCTGCCTTGCAGCAGCTTCCAAGTGTGCTGCTGTTGGAGGACTGACTGTCACCCTGCTGAACACAATGGAGGTAGTCCAGGTCTCTCAACAACTCAGCTTGTGAAAATCCACATGGCCCAGAGTTCCCACGTTCTTTCTACAGCCAGGACTGGCTTGGTGAGTCTACGGCCTGGTACAGTTGCATAGAGCCCTGTGCTCCAGAGAGTCCCCACACTTGCTTTAATGTTCTATTGTCACCATCTTGAAATTCTTAATTTTCAAATGAGTGGCATCACATTTTCATTTTACATGAAACCCCATAAATAATGTAGAGGGTCCTACTTCACTCCACGGATGGTGGCCTCCTGATAATTCTTTAAACTCTAAGGCAAAATGGCCTGAGGGCTTTGGAGTCAGTCCAAGATTAAGAAAGATCAGACTTTCCAAAGACAGAGCTTAGGGGGTCTTGCCTGAGGCTGGGAATGGATTCTTCCAGGGCCTGTTCTAACCTGCCTGTCATCAGCTGCTCTGTAATATGACATCTGGACTGGGGCCAGAATATGCTCCAGCTCAGTGGAAGAAGATGAGGACATTCTTGACTTTTACAGAGTTAAACACTTAGAGGAACTTCAGGAAGAAAGCACTTGGTAAAAGGTAAAGTTGGCTGGCCCATCAGCTCCTTGCCTGGGGTCCTGCTGCTTCTTTTCACAGTTCTCAGTATGTTTATTCTCTTCTTTCCAGTGGCCAGAGGACAAGTTTCCTGTTTCCTCTAGGGAGCCTGGAGAGAGGCATCAGGCACCAAATATAGGAAATCATGTGGAGAGGATCTCTTATTTATTACAGTCCCCATATTACTTCCCTCCCCCAAGCCCCCGCCCCCCACCTCCAGTCAGTCAGTGTCTCCCGTCTTCTTCCTGCAGCAGAGAACAGAAGGCAGTTCACCTCTGCTCCCGACAGCCTGGGAACCCGCAAGAGCCCCAGCATTTGAAGTCTGGTCTTGTGAAACCCCACCCTCCTCTGGCTGTGTGATTGAATGGGATGCCCTCGAGGTTCACCTCACCTGAGAGGGTTTTGGGCAGATCAGCAGTAAGGTGTTAAATTTTAGAAGCCTGAAAACTCCAGAAGAGAAAGGTAGGTACCTGCATCGTTTTGATTTGCCATGTTAAATGTGAATCCGGCTGCTCTGGAATAGATGTGCATTTCCACGTGGCTTTTCTAGCTGGCTTCACGCTCTCAACCTGTGTGTCTTGTGGAGATTTACTGATTTACAAGACTGTGAGGGGCAAATAGTGAGATGGGATATGACATATGGATTTTTCAAATCTGTACATCTTTGGATAAAGAATGCCAGCCAGTATATAGATCATGGTGTCGATTCTTATTTTCTTTGGAGTGCAAATCTCATTAGAAGTAGTTTTTTTTTTTTTTTGGCTTCTGCATAAGGGGTAATTTTTACTAACTGCCTTTTCTTTTTAATAGTATAGACCTCTACCATGATTTCTTTATTACTCCTTTCTGAGGTTTTCAGTTAAATAGTAGATTTGACAGAGAATTTGCTAACAGAAATAGGAACGGGTGTTCCTAATTTAGAGTGCCTATGTGCTATAAGAAAAAAAAAAGAGTACTTTGTTCAGGGATCTGGTGGACTTCCACATTATTTTCTAGAATTTGTGGTTAAACAGTTGTTATTCCCGAGGTTTCCTGAAATTCAATACCAGTAGTGACAACGAATATCCAGGGATGTCTCGGAGGCTTGTGGTGGTGGTTGTCTGCAGGGATGGTGCTCACTCCTTAGCTGGGTGCTCTTGTTGGTCACCATTGAGGCTCAAGATGATAGGTCACTGAGACTCAGAGAGGAGCCAGGTCTTATTTAAGTACCACTATAAATTTCTCTGGATTTTTTTGTCATCTTATGTTTTTATTGTTTCATTTTGTCTTCACAACCAGCCTTTACTCTAAGAGAAATAATTTATACAGACTTCATGGAATATCAAACAATTCATACCTATTTATTGAACATTTACTATTCTTTTCTAGCTTATTTAGTTCCGATGCTCATAATTTCTTACCACTTATGTATTTTACCTCAATACAGTCTCCCTCCATTCTATCTTCCATACCCTGCTACAGGGGTCTTGGGAATATGCAATTCTAATAATGCCACTGTCAGTGAGATATATATATATATATATATATATATATATATATATATACACATATATCTATATATATATAATTTTTTTTTTCTGAGACTGTGTCTCACTCTGTCGCCCAGCCTGGAGTACAGTGGTGCAATCTCAGCACAACCTCTGCCTCTTGGGTTCAAGTGATCTTTGTGCCTCAGCCTCCCAAGTAGCTGGGACTACAGGCACGCACCACCACGCCCAGCTATGTTTTGTATTTTTAGTAGAGAAGGGGTTTCACCGTGTTGCCCAGGCTGGTCTCGAACTCCTGACCTCAGGTGATCTGCCCACTTTGGCCTCCCAAAATGCTGGGATTATAGGCGGGAGCCATGGTGCCCGACCTCAGTGAAATATTTCTATTGCACTCTGTTGCTTACAGCCTTGCTACCTAAAGTGTAGTCCAAGGACTAGCTGCATCAGGCATCAGTTGGGAGTGATCACTTGGGAACAAATTCTTTATTCCCTCCCCAGATTTACTGAATCTGCATTTTAATCCCTGGGTGATGCATATGCACATTAAAGTTTGAGAAGCATTCACTTAAAGAAGGTAGAAAAATCAAAAGTCGGCTCCTTATCATCCTGCCAGCCTCACCCTCTCAGTATCTGACTTTGCAACTAAACTAAGTACCTTGCATTTCCCTAATATTTGAATGCTCTAATGCCTGCCTATTTCTGTGTGTGCTGTCCTCCCTGCCTGGGACACCTCTATTCATCTTCCCCACCCAATTGCCCATTAAGGCCTGGTTTGTACACCTTCATTCCCCTCCATCCATCTTCTACTAAGCGGTTCTCAGGTCTGCTATTTTTCTGGTACTTAGTGGAATGTTTTGACATATCCCTAAGCACATTAAGTGATAGTTGCTATATTTATTTTGACTCTTGAGGAGTTATTGGTCTTCTATGTCTAAACCCATAGCATTTGGCACAGTTTTGGGCACATAGCTTCTGCTCAATCAATTTTGTTAAATGAATGAATGAATGAGCAAATGAATGTGTACATTGTCTGAAAAACCCTAATTATCAGATCGAGATCTATAGTTTGAATCTTCCAAGGATATTTTTAATCCCTATAGCATTTTCCCACACTCTTCTTTCTGAAATGTTGCTGGATTCATTTACTCACCAAATATTTTGAGTACTTTCCATGTGCCATGCCTTTTAGAATCTACTTCTTTACATCTATGTGACAGCCTCTTTCATTAGTTGTTTCCCTGTCAGTGCCCCTCATTCTCTGCCACTCGAAGTCAAGGACTCACTGAGTCCCTTTCACAGGGCAGGCAGTGTGCTATGTGCTAGGGATATGATGGCAAACAATATAGATGTGAGTCCTGCCTCCATGCAGCGCTCATCTGGAGGACTTACTTTTTGTCATCCTCTATGCTACCTCTCTTTCATGGAAGTATTAAGGAAAACTGAAATAAGCTTGATCCCTAACAAATGCTGGCACATCCAAGTAAAGGCCTCGAGAGCTTAAAGCTTGAAGTCAGTGTGGTTCAATAGAAAGACAGCTGAACTGTGCTTTGGGGCCCCACATTTGGTCCTGTACCTGCAACTATCTTGCCATGTGACCCTTGGGTGGGTCCACAACTTTTCTCTGAACCTTGAGTTTTTCAAGTGGTGAAAAAGACAGAGAGCTACAGGGGAGAGAATCCCTGATTTCAGAGTGCAAAGAGAAGACCATATCCACAGAGCCTCTGCACTCACATTCTCTCATGCTTCATGGTAATTTGGAAGGCGGTGCTCTGTATTTCTCTGAGTCAAGCCAGCTCGAAGAGATCTTAAGAGAGCCATTTTATTACTATGCCCACATGTTCAGCCATTGACATTAACATTGTGCTTTGGTAATTCCCCAACAGCACAGTTTGCCCGTGACTCCTGGAGAGCAGTGCCCTGCAACTCAGAGAAATCCATGAGACATTCATTGCTGGGTGCAGAGCTGCTTTGAAGCAGGTTAGATGAGGAGGGAGGAAAGGCCTCCATTAAGCAGTCCCTGCTTTAGGAAAGCAGCCAGGAAAAGAGGAGGAAGTAGCTCTACCAAGTGGTGCAGGAAAAACCTAGAAGCACGTAGACATATAGCCAGTTCCTGACATCATCCCTCACTGCAGCACAGCTAAAAGGATTCCCTTTCTGACTACATGTGGTATTCTCCTTTTTCCACCCAAAGATTTGTGTCTTAGCCATATTTCACCTAGAATCAAATGGTGGAGAAGGGCATAGTATCATTTTCCCCCATGCTTTGCCCTTCCATAGAGCACATGGACACTTGGGAGAAAGCAAACAGACACAGCCAGCAGGTTTAGGCTGAAGTAAACTGCCGAGGCGCTCTCAAGGGACAGCTATTTCTGTCTTCCAGCCTTCTTCTCTTCTCCCTCCATTGTCCAGAGCTTCCAAATGAGATGCCTCCTGCACCTCTAGAATCCCTTCTTGCTTCGTGTTGCTCCTATGCCTTTCTGCCTCCAGGCTTCCACCATGCCCACCTTGTCTACAGCTGCCTTTCAGCAACTGAATGTTTTCTGCTGGTAATTTCTTACCCACTCAAGTTCACCTTAATCTCTGTCAATAAACACACGTCGTAATAACAAAAGGGATATTAACCTGCATGAGAGGTTTCCAGTGGCCTGCCACAGATCTCAGGCTATAATTTGAGATCAGCCTGGACTATATCTGGCTCAATATTTCTTTTTTAATGAGAGGCATGTTGTGGGCTAGAAAGAGGCAGACCTGGTTTTTAATCTCCTGTCTTGAACAAGTGATTGTATCTTGCCAAGTCTTTGTTTCTGAAAATATGAACTAATACTTAGTGCACAAAGTTGTAAGAAGATTAATTATCTAAAGTGCCAAATAGGTTCCTTTAAAAAAACACCAAGTCAGCCAGGCGCAGTGGCTCATGCCTGTAATCCCAGCACTTTGGGAGGCTGAGGTGAGCGGATCACGAAGTCAAGAGATCGAGACCTTCCTGGCTAACACGGTGAAACCCCGTCTCTACTAAAAATACAAAAGTTAGCTGGATGTGGTGGTGCTTGCCTGTAGTCCCAGCTACTCAGGAGGCTGAGGCAGGAGAATTGCTTGAACCCGGGAGGCGGAGGTTTCAGTGAGCTGAGATTGTGCCACTGCACTCCAGCCTGGCGACAGGGCAAGACTCTGTCTCAAAACAAAACAAAACAAACAAAAAACAAAAAACACCAGGTCTTAAAAGAGGAGGTTGGCCAAGATGGTGAAAATGAGAAAACTGTCATTCACCAAACAGTTGAAGGATCATTCAGGGGACAATTAAAGTAAGAAGTACATCTTGAGCACATGAGGGCTGCTTTTAAATATTTAAAGGTTGCTCTGTGTGGGAAAAGGGAAGGCCAACAGAAGATCAATGGGTGGAAATTATAGCGCAACAGATTTCAGCTCAATGTGTGGAAGGATTTACCCACCATCAGAATCATCTAAAAATGAGTGAGCTGCCTTGTGGTGTGGTGAACGCCTTGTCCCGGGCAATGTTCCAGCACCCTGGAAGATGGACTAGTGGCCAGGGTGTTCCCAAAGGGATGCCCATAATGGGTGGAGTCCGGGTGATGACCTCAAAGGTCCCTTCCCGCTCAAAGCTATCAAGAGTCTCGTGATGTCAGTGCGGTGATCCAAGCCACCAAATGAAGGTCTGCAAAAAATATCATCAGGCTAGAGTGAGGATAGCTGACTTTTCACCAGCTAGCCCTACCTATCTGCTGCAGTAAGTTTAAAATAGGGTCTTAGTAACAATGGAGTAGGCTGGACTTCCAGGAAAGAGCAAAAAAGAAACGAGAACAATGAGGAGGGAAAACTTCACTGTAAACCACTCTTCTTGGGTTACTCTTTAACTAAATTATGGGTTACTTCTTGTGCTGCAAACACATTCCTATTTGATGGAAAACTGCCACATTTCTGTACATTTTCAGCTCAAGTAGAGTCAGGCAAATAACAGCAAGACTCAGAGCTTTGGCCCTGATTTCTCCTCTAGCTAAAATGGAAATATGACTACATGGATATGGGTTCCTAGCCATTCCGAGGTCTAACTTTAAAATGTGAAAAAGAAACTGATTCTACCATCTTCTAAGTTGCAAGGACTATGAATGGAATATTTGACTTTTGGAGAGAGAAGAAAGCTGGCTGGAACTGTCTGCCTGCTGTGAGTCAAGTTCACTGGCCACTGCCTTCTACCCATCTTTCCTTTTCTGCTACATGAACCACCTCAAGAGCAGTCTCTTTGTGAAGTAGGGATCTGGAAACTTTTAGAGAAGTAAGACTTAGGCTTAGGTAGACCCTATACACATCAGCAACCACTCCAGGCAGCCCCAGAGCTTTCTGTTAATACTTTATCCTTTGTGGACTCAAAGAACTTGCAGTTCTGGACCCTCACATGTTTCTGACCATGCTTGGGCAGCATCTCAGCATGCCTTTGCTTTCTTCAATCTCACTTTGAGATCCTGGGGGAAGAAAGCAGCAGTCCTTTCAACAGAAACAGTTATAAGCAAATGCTATATGTTTTCAGACCGAAACAAAGCCATGATATATTTTATTCTCAAGGCTTACCTAAGTTAGCTTTCTTAAAAACACTAATTAAAAAAAATCCTTTGAAATGTAATCAACTGTACATGACAAAATCATAGAAACCCTTGCAGACCAGGGTATTTATTTTTAGATGCGCATCAGCCTACCCAGCATAGCAAAGCCACTGTCTCATGTCCAAAGCATGGCCCTGGGAATTTCCTCTAACAAGGCTGTGTTTCCGCCCATTGTTGTAGCACAAAGGACAGAAGGAGGCCTGAGTAGAGGCTCATGTTAACCCCGCCTAGAGTAAAATCTGGAACCTGTCATCACCTCGGTTGGATCAATGTGGTCTTGAGGGCTGGGGTCAAGAGGGAGATTGCCCGCCAACTCTGGACAGATGCAAATGAGTAGTCATCCAAAAATATTCCAGAGACCGGTGACGGCAATTCAAAAGTAAAGCGTCAGCTTTCTTTTTGTAGTCAAGGATCTAAATCTCACCCGTACTGTGAAGTGAATTCTGGTCTAGACCTGAGACAGCGATGCTGTTTGAGGATCTTGGCTTGAATTGCAATTAATAAAGTGATTTTAAGAATATTTTGTTTTAAAAAAGCCATAAATCTGTGTACACACAGCCCCAATAAACACACACATACACACACACACACACACACACACACACACACACACACACTCACTAGAGCAAGTATCAGATACCTGAATCACCCAGAACTTTACTATTATTCTAGGCCAGTTTCTGATCCTTTATTTATTCATTGATGAAATGGGCATAACAGATCTCACATCCTATTAGTTTGGGGATAAATAAGGTATAATATTACAAATAATCTCACCCAAACTAGACTTTTGCTTAAGTTTTTGCATCTTGGTCCTAACATGTTTTGAGCTTCTTACAAGAAACTTGTGCACAAATATTTACTGTCAAGTCTCCAGGGGTTTTATTTGTTTGTTTTGCTACTACAGGAAAAGAAGGCCAATTTGTTACTTAATTGGCACACTTTACAAGCAAAGCTTTTCATGCCTTTGTCAAGTTCCTTCTACTCCTGGGGAAGGTCACTGCATTATTACTCAAAGTTGCAATGCTCAGGGCTATGTCTGGGGGTCTCCGTGAAAGATGAAGAGGTGGGTCTCAGGTCTGCACACAGCAGTCCACACACATCCTGTCCGGTGTTGAGTCTGTGATCTGCATTCCACAGCCCCATCACCACCCCTGCCCAATCAAAGGCCCAAGGAGCAAGGGGGACCTGCACGTACAAACACCAGCCTGAGCAGGGACTGGGTTGTTGGCCTCTGCTGGCAGGTGGATGTCCAGGTCCCCCCTCCAAGGTCCGCAGATTCAGGAAAATGTGCTGTAGCCCTTTGGTGAGAATGTGAGAATGTTAGTAAAAATGCCTTCATGGATTGTTTTGTTTGCAAGTGTTTATTATCAGACACCCCTCAGAGGTTCACAGGGCAGGTTGCGAATGTCCGAAGTGGGGCCTGGGAATTTCCTTCCACAAAGCCTGTGCTTCCTCTCTTTGTTACTCCTCAAAGAACAAGTTGGAGCATTACTAGAGATCCTTACTTAACCCTTTATCCTGCCCACCACTTCTTCGTTTACATTACAGAAAATTCACGCTGCCAGCCATCTAAGGAGCAAAAAGATGTTTGGGTTTTGGTAGTGGTGTGCACCCGCAGATGTGCACATATGTGTGCATTTGTGTGCATGAGTGTGCATATGTTTGTGTGTTAATGGAGAGGAAATAGGTAAAGCACAAAACGTATTGCATTTTAAAAGGTTTTCATTCAGTGTTATGACATGCAGCCATCATTGGTCAGACCAGAGAACACTTCTTTCTTTATCGTAATATGTATTCCCATATGCTAAAAATGATGACTCAATTGCAGTTCCCTGTCCCTAGGGAAGGGCTATCTCAGAATTATAGTTGCTTTTCACCTTTGGAGTCTACTTATTGGCTAAAGCTGGGGTATAATGAGTTGAAAGGTATTTCAATCAACTAAGAATTATTTATTGAATATATTCTATGTGTCTGAACTCTACTAGGTACTAAGAGAAACCAGAGATTCTGCCTGCAGGAAAATTCAAGACCATATATTTATACATATATACAAACACACAAACTCAACGTGTTGCAAATGAGAGTGCAAAGAAGCCAGATATTTGTATGGTCTAAGGCCAGTAAAGATTAGAAGAGGGACATGGGCCCTCACTCAGCCTGGAACTCTTCAATTATCCCCAGAGACATCTTTATGGTGTCTTCACCGTCCTTAAATCTCCAAGCACTAGCGAAGCCCAGTGTGTGCACCATGCACATACACATGTACACACTTGCACACACAGCCTGCTCTCAGGAAACGGCTGTGCCTTCTTGGAGGAAATAACGCCATTGGCCTTCTCACCACCAAATCTGTGCCAGGATCAGCCTCAATACCCATCTCTTTTGCCCTCCTGTTTTGTCCCAAGGGAAGAGGGACCCTTCCCTGCCTCCAGAGCTCAGCTCTCCCGTGCTCCTGCCCTTTATTCCCATAGCCTCACTAGGCTCACCTCTTATTGGCCCTTTCCTGTTAGCATTTAATTATGCTTAGATCCTTCTCATCTTAAAACAATAGGAGCAGAAGCTCTTCCTAACCCATATTTTTCCTCAGCTGCACTTCCATCTTCATTTTCCCTCACCACAAAATTCTTGAAAGGATTATGGCGATTCACGTCTTCACATCATCACCAACCATTCACATTGTGTTCTGTCTACGCTACCCCAGTGTACCTCAGCAAATGCTTTTGCCAAGATTCTCTTTGACCTCTGTATCCTCAAATCCAACTCATTTACTGTCAGCAGGACTTCACACTGTTCTCCACTTCCTCTAGTCTTGTCCCTGCCTTCCAGGACACCAATGCTCCTGGCCTCCCTCCTTCTTCTCTGGCTGCAACTTCTCAGTTGTTTTTTACAGGTTCCTTTCCCTCTGCCATTTCCTCAGCTTCCCAATGGCTATAACCGGGGCCAGCCACCTCTTCTCCATTCATTCTTTCTCCCTACTGTGGTTCATTCCTCTGCCTGGATTTCTCTTTCCTGCCTTCTCTGTTGATATAGTTTGGCTGTGTCCCCACCCAAATCTCACCTTGAGCTGTAATAATCCCCACATGTCAAGGTTGGGACCAGGTAGAGATATTTGAATCATGAGGGCAGCTTCCCTCATACCGTTCTCATGGTGGTGAATACGTCTCATGAGATCTGATGGTTTAATAAATGGGAGTTCCCCTGAACAAGCTCCCTTTACTGCCACCATGTAAGACATGACTTTTCTCCTTCTCACCTTACACCATGATTGTGAGGCCTCCCCAGCCATGTGGAAATGTGAGTCCATTAAACCTCTTTCCTTTTTAAATTCTCCAGTCTCAGGTATGTCTTTATTAGCAGCGTGATAACAGACTAATACATTTGTCAAGTAAACGATCCTCCTAAGCCCATTTTAAATGTCACCAAATTACTTCCTTTTCACAGGTCACCCCATCCCTGTGCAGAACTGATCTCCCTGCTAAGTGCTTTGCAGCACTGTCCCAAGCCTGTTTTACAGTGCCTTTTGTGTTTGAAATCTCAGTAATTGTTCACATGCACTTCTTTCCTAGGACATAGGGATGCCATCTTATTCATCTTTTTACTCCTCGCCCCTAGCACAGTACCTGGCACATTAGGTTTTTAATCAGTATTTCATGTAGAGTTAGGAACGCAAAAGTGTCACTTAAGTGATTTATCTCTTCTTTAAGTGAAATAACATCTTGTTCTCTTTCAGGATGGATGTGTTCATCCATTTTAATTTTAATATAATTTTTGAAACTTTAAAGCACTCACATATAGGTTACTAACAAACTTCTACCTTTTTCTTAAAGTCAAAATCACAATTCTTAACACTTCCTATATGAGTTTTAAAGTCCTGTTTAAAAGCAGAAATGAATGACACTTGGACTTCACATTTTATTTAAATCATCACTCAGGCAGAATTTCCAAATGTGTCATGAGTGACACTGCATATTCATGCACCTGAGGTGGGGTTGCCATGGTATAGCATAACTAATATTTTTCAAGATCGTCACTTCACTGCCAATGCTGGTGTTGCATAAATTTTCCACAGCGCACCTGCAGAACTTGTCTACTCTTCTTTCAAAGCCATGGAGATTGATTTACTGACCTGTCTGAAGGGGAACAATGGTGGCCACAGAGAATGAGCCTAAGCACTGAGCCAGTACAGATTCCACCCAACCTCCTGTCTCCCAGAAGTTCATAAGACAGGGATGCATCTTAGGGTACAAGGCCAGAGGTTCACTCAACTCTGGGTGGCAGATGGTATGCTACACCCTCTGTTGGACTATGAAGATAAAGTATGTGCCCTGCTCTTTATTTTGAAAGATCTCATCCTTTTAAAAATCTCTATTTTGGGTTTTTGTAATAATAGATGTATAATATATTAGTATAAGAGAACCGTAATGACATATTTTATATGACATATTTATATTTACATGGAGATGCAAAGCACAGTTTGTGCAAGTGTGGTCTAGAGATGAGCAGTAGATAAACTGGCTGGATGCTGATCAAAATGCATATCTCTGGGCTCTACCTGAACCTATTAAATTGGAACCTGTGTGTGTAGGAAGATGGGGGTAGGAGCAGGACAGGGAGCAATGCTGCAAAATCTGCATTTTTCAACCAGCACCTTAGAACAAGAGTCCCCACCTTGTGGGCCATGGACTAGTGCCAGTCAGTGTCCTGTTAGGAACCAGGTGACACAGCAGGACATGAGCCATGGGAGAGCCAGTGTTATTGCCTGAGCTCCACTTCTTCTTGAATCAGTGGTGGCATTCGATTCTCACCGGAGCTTGAACCCTATTGTGAACTGTGCATGCGAAGGATCTAGGTTGCATGCTCCTTATGAGAATCTAATGGCTGATGATCTGAACGGTTTTATCCTGAAACCATGCCCCTGCTTCTCCCGCTTCTACTGGTCTTCTAGAAAACTTGTCTTCCATGAAACCAGTCCCTGGTGCCAAAGAGGATGGAGACCACTGCCTTAGAAGTACTTCCAAAGTATGATGCACATTTAGTTAGGCATAAAAAACAATGTTTAGAAAATATCTACCAGCTTTGTTTAGAAAAGTGTTTACACTGGTGGCAGAAGGGTCCCTCCCTGTATTTCTCTGGGTAGGTTAATGATTTTGCAGTCCAGGCTTATGTTTGCAGGAACATTCTTCCCGCTGAATTGTACCCTTGGTCTGGACTACAGTTTGGAAGAGAATTCTGTATCGCTTTGTACCATCCTTTGAACCATCGTATGTTTAACCTTTCATTTATGTTTCAGCAGCCTATCTTGAAGCATAATATGGTATAGTGACAAGAACTGGGTTTGGGATTCATAGTCTGCCTCAAATTTTTCAATTTGCTAGACTTTCAATCTATGTAGATTTTAAACCAGGTTTGGCAAGTTGTTTAACCTTTCTGAGCCTCCTTCTCTAAAATGGGAGTAGCTAACTAGTTCATGGTGTGTTGTGAAAATTAAATGACATTGTGCATTTAAAAAGCTTGTTAAAAAACACTCAGCAGAGACCCTGTGATGGAGGTGGTCCTCAACAAGAGATAGCAATTAAAAATAGCAATAGTATCATCATCATCACCAACAACAATAAACTTGCTGTAAGAAAGAAATCATCCATAAGTTTCCCAGCATTAAGATAGTATTCTGCACAAAGTAGGTGCCCAGAAACATTTGTCCAGTGAATGAATATCCTATTTGTGAATATGAATACATATATTGGGAAAAGTATAAGATTTAAAAAATAAAAATCTGTAACCAAACTGCCAACACAACATGATGTGTGACTGTAGATCGAACCTCAGCTGCTCTTGACAAAACTTAGCAACTTTCTGCAAAAATCATCCATTTTCTCAGAGATGGTCTACAAGTTCTCCTTACTTACTTTAGCAGGCAATTATGCTTGTTTTTTTTTTTGTATGTGTAAGTTTCATATCTGATGTAAATTTCTAAATCCAGGTTTTTTTTCCTCTTTTGACTTGAGACCCACCTTTAGTCAACAATTTCCTGTGTCAATTTTCAGGGACATGCAGACTTTATTTATTGTAATGGATTATCCTTCAAAAACAAGACTTATAATTGAGGAATTGGTCAATGCCTATAGCCTATTTACTGATATGCACTAGGTCCATTTTTAAACCCAATAACTCAAACCACCAAACCAAATCCACACGCATGCATGAGTGCATGCATGCACACACGCAGACACACGCACACATCTCTCATGGTTATGCATGTGGGATCTCAGCTGTGGACTTGTAAAGTAGTATGTCAAAGAAAGAGAAAAAGGAAGAAAGAAATATTAGCAGTCTAGAGATAAAATAGGCATATTTAGAGAAAGAAAGAGGATGAAAGAGAAATAGAGAGACTATGAATGAAAAGTGTCCTATGTGCAGGCTTCTCATGACAGAAGCATCTTAGTCTTAGGATTTTCTGGTCCATTTTCTTCCTAGCATGGAGGACTTAATACTCACAAGTTCTGCTCTAAATACTTAATTTGGAATACTTCCTTTAATATGAGAAAATTGCACCGTCTCTCTTTTACACATAAGAAAACTGAGGATCAGAGAGATTAAGTAACTTACCCAAATTTAAGTAGCTAGAAGTGGTAGAACTAGGACTTCAACCCAAGAGCCTCATGCCATAGCCCATGCTTTTACCCTCTTAAGCATCTCTAATAGCGTGCTGCGTTAGGGATTCATTCATAACAAACACAGATTAAGCACCTGACTACTCTGTGCCAGATACTGCGCTAAGTGCTAGACACAAAACAGTAGATAAATGAGGTCCTACCCTGGGGTGGGGTGTGAGGTGGCAGTATCACAGGACAGTGGAGGAGCCCATAAATAGAGCATTGTAATGCAGTTCAGCAGGTGCTTTGACAGGGGGAGGAGGTGATGGGAGGTGTACACACTACTAGAGGGAGTCAAAGGGAGGCTTCTTACAGGGAATGACCTTGACCTGGGCCTTGAAGGACAGTGAGAGTTGGCAGACTGGAGAACACAGTGCTTGCAGGGTGCTAAGGATGTTCAGAAAGGTAAAGTAAGATGACAAAAAAGGAGTAATTAGCTTGACTGTGGTCATCACTTCACAATGTATACATATAGCAAAAAAGCATGTAGCACACCATAAATACACTTTTTATTTGTCAGTTGTACCTCAATAAAGCGGAAGAGAAAAAAGGAAGGAGTAGGAAGAGGCGAAGCTGGCTCTTTAGGCAGAAGCCCTGATAATGAAGCATCTCGGCTGAAGATAATTATGTGTGGGGAGAGAAGAGATGGCCCACAGATGAACCTAGCAGCCCATCTATCTGCCAGTGTTTTTCTAAATGTATGCAGAGGTTCTGATACAGCTGACACAGGCCTGGGGACCATCAATAGTTTCTCAAAGTGAGAACCACAATGGTAAAAAAAAAAAAACCATGCTCTATCTCAGTGGTTATTAAACATTTGTGCACATCAGAATCACCTGGACAGCTTGACAGCTTGTTAAAACACTGGTTACTGGGCCTCACTTCCAGAGTATTAGATTCTGGAAGTCTGGGGTGGGCTCTAGAATTTGCCTGCCTGCCTTTCTTTTCTTTCTTTTCTTTTCTTTTCTTTCTTTTCTTTTCTTTTCTTTTCTTTTCTTTTCTTTTCTTTTCTTTTCTTTTCTTTTCTTTTCTTTTCTTTTCTTTTCTTTGTTTCTTTCTTTCTCTCCCTCCACCTTTTCTCTCTTTCTCTCTCTCTGTCTTTCTTTCTTGACAAGGTTTCTCTCTGTCACCCAGGTTGGAGTGCAGTGTCAAAATCATAGCTCACTGCAGCCTGAAATTAGTGGGCTCAAATGATCCTCCCACCTTAGCCCCACAAGGAGCTAGTATTACAGATGCTTGCCACTATGCCTGGCTTTTTATTGTTTGTAGAGACAGGGTCTTTCTGTGTTGCCTAGGCTGGTCTGAAACTCCTGGCTTTAAGGGCTCCTCCCACCTTGATCTTCCAAAGTGCTAGGATTAGAGATGTGAGCCACTGAGTAGGCCTAGAATTTGCATTTTCAACAAGTTCCCAGAATGTTGGGGGCCCACATTTTTGAACCACTTCTCTGTCTACTGAGCAGACTCTGAGTGTGAAGCCAAGAACTTAGCCAGAACTATTTGAGTGATTCTTAGGCTGCACTAAAATTTGAAAATTCTTGGGAGGAAGAATTACTAAATCCCTTATCTTCTTTGCTGTAAGTGCTCCTTTAACTTTTAGTTATTTCTGTAATTTAAGAAAATCCAACCCAAATATTCCTGATATTCTGGTTCATTTTTGTCTGTAAGGGGTCAAAATATAAGGACTTTTAGGGATCTTTGGAATTTTAAAAATCAGCCCTTTGAAATTTCTCTTTGCAAAGCAGGAAGTCACTTGTTGCCCAAAGCAAACACTTGAGTCAAGCGTTTGCCTCTTTAGAGGGCTTCAGAGCTGTGGCTTTTTAGCACACTTCTCTGCCCTAGAATGGTCTGAATCTGAGTCTTTACAGGATGGGTTATGCAGGTGGAAATATGAGATCTGTGTCTCTTGAGTGTGGCCAACTGGCTAAGGCTGAAATATATCCTGAGGGCTGTTATTTCCTCCATTGTAGATAAGGCAGGAGGAGGCTGGGAAATCCAAAATGCCCTCAAAAGAAGGAGAATTGGAAGGATGGATAGGGAAGAAGAGGCCCTATGTGCTTCTTGTCCCCTTTGCTTACCAGAATCCAACAAAAAGCAACTATCTTCTTTAATGTCATGGTCACAAACTAAATTTCTCAAAACAAATATTTAGAAGTAAAAGATCGATGTGAAAAGTATAATAGCAAGTGGCTCAATTAATCTTTAACATGAGTGATGAATCAAGAGTTGCACCCCTTCACCCCAGGTTATACCAAAATCCGTGCACACTCAGTCTCAAAGTAAGTCCTGCAGAATCTCACATATAGGAAAAGTAAAAGTCAATCATTAGTATTGTTGGTTTAGCATCCAAGGAAAACCATATTTTTCAATCGGTGTTTGGTTTCAGATACAGAACTACAAATACCAACTGTATGTATTGAAAAAAAAAATCCACATAAAACTGGGCCCTTGAAATTCAAACTCCTGTTATTCAAGGGTCAACTGTAATTGAAAATCACAAGGAAATAAGTTCCTGTGAGCATTTTATAATCATTCTAGTAGTCTAAACTCCTCCATCTATAGTATTAAAATGTAAATGCCATTGAGAATATCTGGAAGTAGCTGGAAATCCTCATTCATCGAAAGTGGATTCAATTCCATTTACAATCTCTATTATATACAGAAAAAATGGGCTAAATACATGCTTGAAGATTTTTCAGCACTACGTAAATTTTCACCTTTAGTATACCAGTAAAATTAATTAGTTGAAGCTCCCCATTCCATGTCCTCACAAACAAAATTCAACCTTTAGTGAAAGTCACTTTTGAATTTTGAAACAATGAGTTCAAAAGGAAGCTACTAAAAATAATTGAAATTAACAGTGATTGTATAAAAAGGAAATAAACAGAAAATTACTTTTATTGGGCCCAAGAGACAATACATTTTAATTAAGTTACTCTTTCTCCTCATTTGTTTAATTTTCACACACAGATTTTAGTTGAAGTCACATATACTAATTTGTTTACCTACTTATTTACTGTGTGTCTTCACAAGTCTCTACACTCTTCTCAAACCAGTGCCCTCCTGTTTCCTGTGCCCCTCCACACCTTGAGCCCACCTTGAGCCCTCCTTAAGCTTCAGCCCTGCCTGTCCCCAATCCAGATACCCTGAAACTGGCCACTCAACGAACCATGTTAAAGCAAGATTCCTGCCCCACAGGTAGAAGAGAACCACTAGTTAAAGGAGCAAGCAATGAGTCCCTGGGATTTTTGCTTTTATGTAATCAGAAAAGGCTGGGCGTGGTGGCTCACGCCTGTAATCCCAGCAACTTGGGAGGCCCAGGCTGGGGGGATCACGAGGTCAAGAGATCGAGACCATCCTGGCCAACCTGGTGAAACCCCATCTCTACTAAAAATACAAAAATTAGCTGAGTGTGGTGGCACTCACCTGTAGTCCCAGCTACTTGGGAGGCTGAGGCAGGAACATCACTTGAACTCAGGAGGCAGAGGTTGCAGTGAGCCAAGATTGGGCCACTGCACTCCAGCCTGGTGACAGAGTGAGACTCCATAAAAAAAAAAAAAAAATCAGAAAAGTAGAAAGAATGAAAAATAAGGCTAGTTTTGGGGAGAGGCTTTGTGAAGGACTCTGTGGTAGAACATGTGTGGTCATCTTTAGATTTGTGGTTTTCAGAATTTGGTTTGCACAAGAGTTACCTGGAGAGTTTGTTAATGATGAAGATCTTAGGCCTGTACCTTGAGACTCTAGGCGGGGGAACTCACAGGGGGAACCCAGAAGTCCTGGTCAGGGGACACCCAAAGGGTTGATTAAGCACCTTACCCATGTGAATCTCTGCAACCTAGTGCAGTGATCACTAAGGTGCTGATCCCCATCCACCAAGATGCTCCTTCATCTGGTGGGATTAGGGGGTGAACTCCAAGATTTTATCACTGGCTTAGAGGACCAGTCACTTCCAGTGGCCTCACCTATCAGAATCTGTTGCCTTTTTCACAGCAGCCCCCAAGTTTCTCATTCTCATTGGCTTCCAAGATGACTGAAAGAGCCAAAAAATACAGAAATAGACAAGTGCTATTTGCCAGTCAAAGGTGTTTATCAAGGGTTAGAAGAGTGTGGGAGGAAGATACCACACTCAGCTCTGATTTGCTTCTTATGAGATAGCAGGTGATGGTGTCTGAGGCCAGCAGAAAGGAAGGGAAAGGGAGGATACTGCTGTAGAAGGCACCTGGAATGTTATTCTTCTAGCAAAGACTTTTCAGAGTGAACACTGGAATTCATTCTGCAGGCTTTCCAGAATTAAAGAATGTACATTTTTCCCAAACACTAAAATTAAACTGTAAGTCATGTTTATTCATAAGTTACATGTAATAGGAAACATTTCTGGTATTGATAACTCTGAATCAGTAGACCCTACCCCCCAACTTATTAGCAGTCTTGCTTTCTGTGGTTTCAGCCACTCATGGTCAAGTGGGGTCGATAAATATTAAATGGAAAATTCCAGAAAAAAAATTTATAAGTTTTAAATTACATGCTATTCTGAGCAGCATGATGAAATCTCATGCTGTTCATGCTGCCTTACCTGGAATGTGAATCATCGCTTTGTCCAGTTTATTTCTGACCATTGGTCACTTAGTAGCTTTCTCAGTTATCAAATCGACTGTCAAGATATGTATTGCAGCACCTGTGTTCAAGTGACCTTTATCTGACTTAATAATCGCCCCAAAGCACAAGATTAGTGATGCTGGTATATTATATAATTGCTCTATTTTATTGTGAGTTACTGTTGTTAATCTCTTAACTGTACCTAATTTATAAATTAAACTTTATCATAGGTATGCATGCATATAAAAAATGGTATATATGGGGTTTAGTACTATTGATGATTTCAGGCATCCACTGGGGGTCTTGGAATGTATCCCCCTCAGATAATCAGGGACCACTGTGTTGCCTTGCAACTAGAATGGTGACGAATGGTTGGGAGGACTGAGGTACACATTTTAAGGTAGGAGCCACAATTGACCTGAACTGCTCTGCTTACTAAAATAAGAAAATAAAAGATTTAGTAGAAAACCCAATGGCATGAAATCTGAGGCAGTGAGGGGCTGGGAAAACATGAGGTAAGTGTCATAAGGGGAATTTCAGTGACATGGGAGAAAGAGGGGCTTGATGCCACCCCATCAACACACACACACTCACACACACACACACACACACACACACACACTCCTTATTGCCTGTACCTTGCTTCATGTTCTTCATAGCATTTTTGCTCATCAGACATATAACTCATTTGTTTGTTTATTTTCTGTATTTCTGTATCAGTCAAGGTCCTGGCAGAAAAGAAGTGACATTCTCAAAGGGTAACAGAAGAGGTAAGAACAGTTAAGTCAACATAGAACCGACAGCATTGAGCAGCCATGGGTTGCCTCTCATTAAGTAAAAAGGGTCAAGAAGGGTGGGGAGGTAAGAGAGGTGTCAGAGGAACCTGCCAAGATCTGTGGCTATGGGAGAGGGGGATCCCCCAGGATCTGTGGCTAGAGGGCAGGAACACAACCACTGCCAAAACTGCAGCCTGGAAGGAGTTGGCGGGGAGAAAATGCCTAGCTCTCCAGTGCTTCCATACTACAACCTCCCGCTGGGATCTCCCACTCTCCCTACCTTCCATCACCCTCCCAGAGGACAAGGCACAGTAGAGTGCGGGGCTAGCCTCCTGGGGCACAGAAAAGGGCAAAGATGGACCTGGAGGGTAAACAGAGGCTAGCCAGCACCTCCCTCAACTAGAGTGCAGACTCCTAGGGGACAGTTGTTTTCATTACTTCTTATCCCCAGGGCCTAGAACAGTGTCTGGTGTGTAGATTTTCAATAAATGTTTGATGATGGAATGAATGCGTGCATGATTTGGAAAGAGAGAGATGTCGAAAGATTAAAGCAGTTTCCTAGCGTGTGTGACGTAAACTCACCTACTGCCACTATTATAGTATACAATTAGATTTACCCTTTCTCATAATGCTTTCACATGAAGGGATATTTCGAGGAAGGCAGGTTTGGCAGGCAGATCTGGAAGAAAAGATAGAGAAGATACAGTAAGGACCTCAGCACCATATGACCAACAGCGAAACCACAAAGTCTGAAGTTTAATGCTCTAGAATCTACAGGTGATACAGGCACGGGAGTGTTCAAGCCCCAGCCAGCCCCCATCCCAGGGAGGAAGGCCTTGGGCATGGGGCAGCTCTGGATTCCATCCTGACCAACTCAACCTCTCTGAGACTGATTTTCCTCATCTGTAAAATGGGGGTGAGGAGAGAATGCAGTGTTGTGAAGATTGAGCAGGACCCGACACACTGTGCCTAGGGTGGTGTAAACAGTAGGAGCCATAAGGATTGTTTCCGATGCAAGGCAAGTTTTCTAATTTTGAGATAGGTGTGGAAACTGCTGCAGTTGCTCTGCTTTCTGGGCTGGAGCCATTCATTCCGCATTCCTGATTAGGGAGAGGGTCAGGCGGTAATAGGACACCTCATTCCGGAGGACGCCTTCACCCCGTCCCCCTACAAGGCTTCCTGCTTCCTTCCTTCAGGGTCAAGTGGAGTCAAAGCTTGTTTTCCTTCTCACTCCAGGTCAGCATTACACAACACACTTGTTTTTTTCAGGTGACCCTGGAGGCTTGGAACTGCACTGACAGACATCTGTGCAGCCCTTCCTTCCTCTGGGTCAGGGAGATGTTTCCAGATGGAGTTGAATTCAGGAGCAGGAGAGGGACTTGGGGAAAAGGAGAAAGGCAAC
The DNA here is from genome assembly GCF_000001405.40 of Homo sapiens. Lineage (NCBI taxonomy): Eukaryota > Metazoa > Chordata > Mammalia > Primates > Hominidae > Homo > Homo sapiens. The sequence goes on along the minus strand of NC_000006.12, from coordinate 46,935,665 downwards.
ATTAGCTTCCCCTTGAGAAGCTGGGAAATGCCTTAGTGAATCGGATTCACGTGGCCTTCCTTTAATATGAGCTCTCTCTCCACTTTTATTTGATAGTGGCAAATTCTTCCTCTACCCTCCTTGGGTCTGTACCCCTAAAAGTACTGCTCTGAGATAAATTAGGCTAATGAAGAGAAAATGGGGAACCTCTGAATGAAGGTCTCCTGTGCTTGCATGAAGAGCCCACAAGAGACACTCTGGAATCCGTGACACCAGGGTGGAGTGGTGGGGGTTTCCCTCAAGTGCAGGCAACAAGGTGGTGCATTGTTCGTAGAGAATTTGAAATCAACAATAAAACTGACTAAATCATTTTTAAGGATTATCGGCTGGGCTCAGTGGCTCACGTCTGTAATCTCAGCACTTTGGGAGGCCGAGGCGGGTGGATCACGAGGTCAGGAGATCGAGACCATCCTGGCTAACACAGTGAAACCCTGTCTCTACTAAAGATACAAAAAATTAGCCGGGCCTTGTGGCACACGCCTGTAGTCCCAGCTACTCAGGAGGCTGAGGCAGGAGAATGGCTTGAACCCGGGAGGCGGAGGTTGCAGTGAGCCAAGATCACACTACTGCATTCCAGCCTGGGCAACAGAGCAAGACTCCGTCTCAAAAAAAAAAAAAAAAAAAAAAAGAACTATCACCATATGGTGGTGATCCCAAACAACATCAGTGATTAAGTATTTTTCCTAAAAAATCTATTGAAGGTCTAAGTTCTAAACAATTGCTACTATTACTGGTGAGTTTCAGTAATATAAGCTGCTAATTAATGTACTTTTATTTATTACCTTTTAATAAATAGTGTTCTACAGAGAAGGTAATTCAGAAAACTCTCATTTATATAGCAGCTCCTGACACAGAGGAACTCAGCTACATATGTTTGTTCCAAGAGTAAGTTTCTAAGGGTTTGGGACTGTTGAGTTTGCCTGAAGTCTCTCCAGCCTCTGCAGAATGACACATCCCTGCATTTGAACAGTAGATTAAAAACACACAATGTTAGCATGGTGTTTGTAAAGAAACTGAACATATGTAGCTTCAATTCTGTCATTATATGGGACCTTATAGAGTTTTTATTTTTGTTTAAAATTTAAAACAGTGAAGAGTGCAAACTTCAAGGCATACTATTATTATTTGGCACATACAAATTTGAGTTCACACTTAAACATTTCACTGAATTTTAGTAGTAGCATAAAGTAAAATGTTTTCTTTTTCAGTCAATTGCTTTAAATCAAAAGAATTAGTCAAGCAAATAAGGATTATTGCTGAAAATAATGGAGGGGAAAGTCAATAAAAGATCTGGTCCAAGTGTCAACTCTGCTAGATATCTCCATGGTCCAGAATTATGTGTGCTGGCTGCTCTCTAATTTTATGTATAGAAGTGTGAGTGTGTATGTGGCATAGGAGTGTGCATGCATGTGTGTGTATGTTTGTTTTTGAGAGAGAGAGAGAGACATTAGTGGATTCGGGTGACTCAGGGGCAAGAGGTCACTCATAAGATTGCCCATATTTAGTGAGAGCCCAGAAGGTTCAAATGAAGAGTCCCAGACAAAGATGTGCCGTAAGTATGTGCACACACTGCTGGGTAAAACACAAAGTCTAGATCTTAATGGCTTTCAACAAAATGGAAAAGTGAACAATTTGAGGAATTCCGGAAGAAACTAAAAATAGATGTGGTTTTCCCTCCCTTAATATTCCAGGTCAGATGAGGCAAAACCAAGGGCGATGGGTCTGGAATAATCGTGTAATTGTTGATATGTAGCTATGTTTTGTATACTGTGCTTCAGATCCAAAAATAGTTTAGTGGTCCTGAGAGGAAGACTCTGATAAATAGAAGGTGACGTAGTTATGAAAGGTCTTGAACTTGGAAATGTGGACCCCCTCATTGTGCTGAGATAGGCCATGGGAGCTGTGGAGGGCTGAGCAATTTCCCTGAGGCCCGACGACAATCTGTACAATGCTAGACCATTTTGAATTGCAGTAGCAGCCACTGTGAACACCTTTGTCTTCAATCTCTTACCCTTTAAATTCCTAAAATAGAAAGCTCAGGCTAGAAAGCAGAGCAACTCACCTTCATTAGTAGCAACCTGATCACCAGGCCAACTAGGTCGGTCCATCTCTCTGGGTTTGCCATTGTGGTATGAGACAGAGAAGACCAGTGAATAAAGAGGGTAACAAACCAATGACATATCCACAACTTGGACCTGGGGAGACAGAGAATTCAGTGGATTTAGGGGAAAGCCACTTGAAGTGAACAGCTAGTGCTTTTCTCCAGTATTAAAACAAGCAAGTTGTTTTGAACAGGAGTTACTTTACTGAGCGATATGTGTAGGACATGGAAATTATTTATCCTTGTATTTTCTTTAAAAACGATTCACTACAGGTAACATAAAAGTGGTGCTTTTGGGTACCAAGACCTTGCTAACTATCAAGTTAATATTTAGTTCCCCTAAGCTCACTCACGAGCTCTGTGGTTTTGCAGCATTCCACGTCTCTATGCTTTTAAGAGGCACATTCTTCCTTCTCCCCAAGGAGTTGAACTTCAGAAAGTTTGATTAATTTTCATATATGCTTCGTTTTCCATTCCCATCACTGCTGCCTCCAACTTTGTGCTTCTCCTCAGTGATCTTATTTTTGGCCATTTCTTGGCGCTGAGTTTCAGAGCCATTGTTGTTTTTCATAGACACTGGCGTCGGCCAGTCTTTTTTCAGATTTCTTTCTCAAGCAAACATTGTCATTGTGCATGACATATTATGTATTCTTGAAAGGGCATTTTAAAAAGAATACATCATCCCTCAAAGGAATTGAGAGGAGTCTTAGTATAGGGACACGATTATTAGGCATTAAACAGGAGCCCAGGAGCAATGACTCTGTAGGGAGGTGGGATGAATATTTGAGGGTGGTAATTTTCACCACACAGATGATTCATCTGGTTGACCAGAAGGTGATACTGATCTAGCGATGTCACCCTTCTATTGTAGGTCTTATAAATTATTGAGCATCTGTTTTGTACTGGGAATTTCTAGCTCTTCCTCAGAAATTACTTTCACTATGGTTAAGGTTGTGGCATGGGGGAGCTCTGTACCCCTATTAACAAACAAAGGGCTTCAGGGGGCATTAATGTGCACAGAAAACCCTTGTGTGGATATACTAGCAACCACAACCATGCTGTGACTTTTCTTTGGGGTATACTGGATTCCACTAACAGTATATATCCTACCAACTGAAAAAGAGATAAGAGGTAAAATCTGTCCTTGATTTAATTACTTATTTTAAAAGTACTAATTGAATACCTACTATGTTCCTTTTAACAGTTACCTAGCGTTTTAGTTTGTCTTTTCTTTTATAACCTTACCTCCACATTAGTCACTGCTAACTAATATTTTTTAAAACTAATGGTCAAAAAATATTTTTTAAATGATCAATTCTTGAGTGTTCAATTTGTTCTTTCTTAAATAGGTTCATGTACTGCACATGAATAAAATTCAGAGGGATCCAGAAACTTGCATGGTAAAAAATATGCCTACTAAATCACATTATGTTTTAACTGTATTTCAATATAATTATTTTCATTCGTTATCTTATATATTCTGTTTTGTGCATTTACAAACATTATTCTAAGAAGGCTTGCATAGCCTTCACCAAATGTACAAAGAGGTTTATGGCAAAAATTAAATTGATTCTGTTTTAGTCTTTTTGTTTTATTTTTATTTTTTGAGATGGAGTCTTACTTTGTCACCCAGGCTGGAGCGCAATGGCAAGATCTCAGCTCACTGCAACCTCTGCCTCCCAGGTTCAAGCGATTCTTCTGCCTCAGCCTCCCGAGTAGCTGGGATTACAGATGTTAGTCATTCTTTTAGTGACAGTCAGTGAGATGCAAACCCTCAGTCTTCATATGCCCAAAAATATTTTTATTTTGCCTTCATTCATGAAGGTTCTTTCAAGTGTGACACCAGATGAGGTCACCCTGGGAGAAAGCACAGGTGAAAGAGGACAGTGGGCCCCTGGGCCAAGCCTTAGGCACACCAACTTAAGGAGACCGAGAGGAGGGACTGCCAGGGCAGGAGGAGAGTGTCATAGAAGACACAAGAATATGTCTTGTGGTTTATAAGAAGGAAGAAGTGGCCAACTATGTCAAATGGTGCTACAGGGTCAAGGGAGATGAGAACAGCTAATTGACCATTGGTTATGGCAACCTGGAGACTGAGGGAGCTCCCTGAGAGCTGCTGTGATGCAGAAGTAGGGAGGGAAGATTGATTTGACTGACTTTGAGGCTGGAGAAGAAGGTTAAAGAGGTGGAGATGAGATCTAGGTATTTGGCTTTTTAGTGAAGAGCTGTGAAGGGCAACAGAAAAATGTTTCAGTAAATGAGGGGAAAGAGAAAGACGTAATGTCAAAGAGATACTCTATGTTTGTGTGCTGATGTTGCTGAGGAAGTAAGAGGGGACAGCACCCAGAGCCCAGTGGAAGAAGGGGCAGGCCTATCATCCTCTCAAACTGGAAAGAAGACCACAATGGGTAGTGCAGGTGCAAGAAGATTAGAAGTTTTTATGTAGGAAGATGAATGTTTATTATTTTTTTTCAAACAGCGTCTCCCTCTGTTGCCCAGCCTGGGGTGCAGTGGTGTGATCACAGCTCACTGCAGCCTTGACTTCCCAGGCTTAAGTGATCCTCCCACCTCAGCCTCCCTGGTAGCTAGGACTACAGGTGTGCACCACCATGTCTGGCTAATTTTTGTATTGTTTTGTAGAGATGGGGTCCTACCATGTTGCCCAGGCTGGTTTCAAACTCCTGGGCTCAAGGGATCCCCCTGCCTCAGCCTCCCAAACTGTTGGGATTACAGGCGTGAGCTGCCGCACCCAGCCAAATGTTTCATTTAATTGACTGTTTTCCAGTGAAATATGAGGCAAGGATACTGCTAAGACTGAGGAGAGAAGAGAAGGTGTGAAATGGCCATTTCAAGGAGTGAGAAAACTAACATAAATAATAGGATTGCCAGTTTATGTGGCTACAGCAATTCCACTGATAATTGGCAGAATGATTTTTACATGCAAGCTGCATGCCAGCCCATAAATAACTGCTCTCGGAAATACCATCCCCACACCATTTCCCACTTCTTTCTACCCTCATTGTCCTCCTGTTATCTCTACTGTCATCCGTGTTAAATCTTTAACTGCTGGTTTAAATTAGTTCACACTAATATGGAACTCACTGGAAATGGAAATGAACAATATGTAAACATTTCAAAGATACCTGAGTCAGAGTAGGGGCAGTTTCTTCACTTAAAGCAATTTGTCTCCAAAAGTGTAATTTTAGGAATGAGGTACAGATAAACAGGTTTTCCCGTTGCTTCCCAAATCCTGCTACAGAAGTGACAGTTTATACTTCTGATGTCACCTGGCATCTTATTTTTCATACTGTGGTGCCATTCGCTACACTTTTAATTAAAAACTGTATTCTAATATGTTAAAAAGAACCACTTAACATTCTTCCATGAAAGAATATAGGCCCTGGAGGCTGGGCGCGGTGGCTCACGCCTGTAATCCCAGCACTTTGGGAGGCTGAGGCGGGTGGATCACCTGAGGTCAGGAGTTCGAGACCAGCCTGGTCAACATAGTGAAACCCCATCTCCACTAAAAATACAAAAATTAGCTGGGCATGGTGGTGAGTGCCTGTAATCCCAGCTACTCGGTAGGCTGAGACAGGAGAATTGCTTGATCCCGGGAAGTGGAGGTTGCACTGACCCAAGATCGTGCTGCTGTGTCCAGCCTGGGCAACAAGAGTGAAACACTATCTCAAAAAATAACAATAATAAATAATAATAACAAAATAAAAATAATAAGAAGAATATAGGCCCTGGAAACATTGAGCTAATTTATTTAGAATGCCATTTCTTGCTCTAAGTCATGAGCCAGACATCATAAGGAAAAGCCAAACATCGTTAAACAAGTTTAACACAAGTTTCATATTGCCTCTTTCTCTGCTCAGAAATCACTACTTCATCTTAGACATTAGGTATATGGATAACTACCCCACCTGTACCTGTGAAATTGTCCCAATATAGGGGTAAGAGAAAGGGATATCTTTTTTTTTTTTTCATCTTTTTACTTTCTTTTTTTTATTTTTATTTTTATTTTATTATTATTATACTTTAAGTTTTAGGGTACATGTGCACAACGTGCAGGTTTGTTATGTATGTATACATGTGTCATGTTGGTGTGCTACACCCATTAACTCGTAATTTAGCATTAGGTATATCTCCTAATGCTATCCCTCCCCTCTCCCCCGACCCCACAACAGTCCCCGGTGTGTGATGTTCCCCTTCCTGTGTCCATGTGTTCTCATTGTTCAATTCTCACCTATGAGTGAGAACATGAGGTGTTTGGTTTTTTGTCCTTGCGATAGTTTGCTGAGAATGACCGTTTCCAGCTTCATCCATGTCCCTACAAAGGACATGAACTCATCCTTTTTTATGGCTGCATAGTATTCCATGGTGTATATGTGCCACATTTTCTTAATCCAGTCTATCATTGTTGGACATTTGGGTTGGTTCCAAGTCTTTGCTATTGTGAATAGTGCCGCAATAAACTTACGTGTGCATGTGTCTTTATAGCAGCATGATTTATAATACTTTGGGTATATACCCAGTAATGGGATGGCTGGGTCAAATGGTATTTCTAGTTCTAGATCCCTGAGGAATCGCCACACTGACATCCACAATGGTTGAACTAGTTTACAGTCCCAGCAACAGTGTAAAAGTGTTCCTATTTCTCCACATCCTCTCCAGCACCTGTTGTTTCCTGACTTTTTAATGATTGCCATTCTAACTGGTGTGAGATGGTATCTCATTGTGGTTTTGATTTGCATTTCTCTGATGGCCAGTGATGGTGAGCATTTTAGTCCTCCTTGGGAAGAAACCGTCTTTAGAAAAATAGTGTGATAGGCACCTAGAAAGCAATTGAGACTCAGACCTCTAAGAGAGTAGAGGGCCTCATGCATAAAGTGAGGGGTGGAATATGTTTGTTATCCCCATAGATAGAGGAGCCAATGAGAGAAGAGTGGAGATTACAGGGAAGAAGGGAAGAGAGGTCAGCAAGATGGTGGGAAGCTGGCACTAGAGAAGGTGGGAGTCTATGGAGCGCTCAGTGAAGAGGTGGTCAGAATATCCCAATAAAATAGTAACATCCACCCTTCCAGTCACAACTTGGTTATTTTTCTGGTTGTAAATATGACTTTAGTCACTCCTTTACCCCCAAACTTTAGGTTCACATTTACTGGGTGTGTGGTGAAATTCAAAAAAGGGGCTGTTTTTCTTTTGCACCAACCTAGAGCCACACAGACACAACATACTAGGAATGTGGCAGTTCTATGGGTTGACCAGGCCAGGAGAATATAAACATCCTTAGGAATTCCCAGGCACCCTGAGGTGGGCTCTGAACTTCCACAAGCTGGAGAAAAGCAATTTTATCTAGAATTTTGATAGACCAGGATTCACAGCAGGCATTTGGGTTATGCTTCGTCTGGAACCCAATCTGACTTGGGTCAGTTATTCTGTCCCCTCAAATGTTCCTGTGGTTGTCACCCCACTTTTCAGTATTTCCCTGGTTAGAGTCAGGTAAGAATCAAATTGAAGCATTTTAGCCAGAGCATAGCCTATGCGTCTGTCTCAAGAGGGCAATACAGCTATTTGGCATGATGTGAGCTTAATTCTAGCCTGGGGAAGTACAACGTGGAGAAACTTCTGCAATAAAGCTTGCTTGTTGACTTGTTGATGGCAAAGCTTTGTTTGTGGGTGTTGTCTGAGAAGGAGGTTTCAGGCCTTTATCGCCTATTATGATGCTGTTCTGAGTACTCTATGAAAGCTGGTACCTAGGTAAGTGGGTGGGACTTGGGGGTTGTGGATGGAAAAGAGACTGCCTAACTGGTGCTGGTCTACTTCTGTGATAATGATGTTAACAAGGAAATTCTGTTGCTGGCTTGCGTCAGATGTGTTATCTGGATTTAATAAATAAAGAGAGGATAAATGTTGACAGAGTTTTTATTCTTCTCGTCAGTACAGAGGTGTAACAGGAGTTTACCTCTATGTGTCCTTATTCTACTTACAACCATTATTTCTCCTACCAGAAAATTGGGGATGGGAATGCATGTGTTGGTGGGGGCTGGGGGTTCACCAGAGCATAAGGTAACAGCACGGGATGCAGAGACACAAGATCTGAATTCTAAGTCTGGCTCTGACACTAACGCTGCTTGTGACCTTGGTTAAGCCTTTCAACTTTAATACTAAATAGTTGGAACAAATGATCACTAGCTCTGCCCACCCCCCTCCACCCACCCCCGCCGCCCTTTGCTCTAACATTTTTTTATTCTGATTTTCTCCTGGCATGGATGACTCTTCAGTACATATTTGTCTAGTGGTTTTGGCATTATGACTGTTCACTAATCGCCTTGATAAATTCTGAGGAAATTATCTCTACAATCAGAGGTAAAAATGAGGGAAACTTTTTTGGGAGTCAAAGGAAATGTTGAAGCACTGAAAATAGCATAGAATGATGGAATTTGGATGGGAGATGGTATTGTGAGGACAGGGCTTTGCAGTCCCAAACCAGGATTCTGCCTGATGTTTGCAGATCAGCCTCGCTGTTACTGCAGTATATGGTATCCGCCATTGGAGAGTGCCCGCACCCAGGATGTACGTAAAGAAGTAGAGGTTAAAACAGGAGTGACTGCCCAGTGTTCATGGACAAAATGACATGTGTACATTGAGAGGAAAAGTGTAGCTTCCTTCTAAATAGATTCCCTCCTAGGCCAAGACAAGAAGGAATGCCATGTCCTCAAATACCTGCTCTTCTCCATGGGACTGGGTTGGAGGGGACTGAGGGAGGAAGAGTCAATGACAAGTCGATGATTCTGAAATTATGTGCATCACAGCTGAGGCATGTGGGTGACGTATTTCATACCATGGGCATCAGAAGTGACTTCCTGCTACATAGACAGCATGTCATCTCTAAGAGCTGAAAGTGGAATGTGAAGGCTGTGGACGGCTCACAGGCCATTGGTGGTCAGCGCTCCCCGAGGATAGATCAATAAGGGTCAAGAAAGAAGTGTGGATGACACCTCAACGAACCATACCTCAAATCTGCACTGCCCCCCCCCTCACCCGAGATGCTGTCTCTCCCTCTTCTAGGAGATGGCAGAGGGGGTAGTGCTAAGAGTAGAATCCAGAAAAGGGTCCTACTTGGAGGGTGACTTGGATTTCTGGCAGAAGCTGGGGCATCACTGGAGTCATAACAAGTGCTGGAAGGGAGCTGTCAACTGTGTCCAGTTGGCTCAAAAAATGGAAGCTTTGCAATCTTCCAGGGCAAAACAACATCAATGTCTGAGAGAAGCATACACAAAGAAGGTGTAATAACACTGTCTATTGGTGGAATGGGTGCAGTAGCAGTAAGTGCAAACAAAATCTGAGTGGCTGCAGCTAAGCACAGATATGACCAATTCCATTAGTGGAGGCTCTGCCAAAATATACACACCCAAGATAAGAATAAGACCATTTGTATACTATGAAACTGCCCGATTATTTGCCAGTTCCTTCCTTGTATAAGGACAGATCAGTGCCAAAGGAGAATTTTCTTGGCCTCAATATAGAAATACCAAAAGAGAGCTGACCTTGGGTCAAAAGGGTTACCAACGTCTGGTTATGGCTTAAAAAATAAAAGAAAATAAAAAAAAGCAGGGCTTACCCTGCCAAGATATGAAGGTAGGAGAATTTCACAAGTTGAACTATTATGTACTTTAGCTATGCTGGCCAGGGCTGTGGCGTTAATAATTTTGCTTGTGTGTTACACTTTCAAATATTCCTCTGCAATGAGTCAGTTAAGCAGGCAACAGAGTTTTGCTGTTGTCACTCAGGCTGGAATGCAATGGCGCAATCTTGGCTCACAGCAACCTCTGCCTCTCAGGTTCAAGCAATTCTCCTTCCTCAGCCTCCTGAGTAGCTGGGATTACAGGCACCTGCCAACACGCCCTGCTAATTTTTGTATTTTTTAGTAGAGACAGGGTTTCGCCATGTTGGCCAGCTGGTTTCGAACTCCTGACCTCAAGTAATCCACCTGTCTTGGCCTCCCAAAGTGCTGGGATTACAGGCATGAGCCACTGCACTCGACTTAGGAGCTTACCTTCTAGTCCAGGGATGCAAGGTGGAGACTCCAGCAAAATTTAAAAGTGTATTATAGTGTACCAGAGATGATATGGAAAACTAAAGCAAGTAGGGGGGATGTGGAGTGATGAAATGTAAGATATGGCTGTCAATGAAGGCCTCACTAAGAAAGCAATGTTAGGGCAAAAGTGAGAATGAGGTGATGGAGTGAGTCTTGAGGAAATCTGTGCAAAGAGCATCCCTGGCAGGCAGAGAGAACAGCAAGTGTGAAGACCCTGAAATGCAAGACTGCCTGGTCTGCAAGGAGGCCAGTGTGCCTGGAGCAACATGAATGATGGGGAGAGAAGGTGGTGCAGATCATGAAGGTCTCACTGGCTGTTGAAAAGACCTGTGCTCTGACTACGGGAGATGAGTTGAGCACGTGTGGACTTTATATAACTTGTATTTTATAAGGACCATTTTAACTGCAGTCTTCAGAACAGACTATAAGTGACAAGAGGAGATGCACAGAGACAGATAAGACACTGGTGATTATCCAGTCAAGAGATAGTGATGGCTTGGATGAGAATGATAGCAGCAGAAGGGGAAGAAGTGCCAGACTATGCATATATTTTGAAAATAGAGCTAACAAGATTTGATGACAAATTAAATGTAAAGTGTGCAAGGTAGGACTCAAGGATAACTCTTAGGGTTTTGATCTGGGTAACTGGAAGGATGGAGATGCCCTTTGCTAATATGGGAGAGACTGATGGTATAGCTAGTTTGGGAGGGATGATCAGGAGTTTAGTTTGGGACATGTTCTGTTTGAGGGCCTATTGAACAACTGAAAGGAGATATCAAGTAAGCAGTTGAATACGTGGGTCAGGAATTCAGGTGAGAGGTCTATGATAGAGATAGACATTTGGAAGTCATCAGCACAAAGATTTAAGCCAAAACTAGTAGAGATCACCTGGGAAATAAGTGTCAACAGAGAAGGGTTTCAAAGACTGAGCTATGAGACACTCTTACGTTAAGAGGAAGAACCAGCAATGGAAAATGAAATGCAGAGTTTAATTTTGCTTGCTTTTATTGATAACCCATTATATACCAGCACTGTAATACGAGCTGGGCATAACATAAATAAGACTAGTGCCTGCCTTCAAGGTGCTTACAGTCAATGCATTAGATGGATTGTTTGAATGCAGTGTGGTAACTTCAAAAAGACATGCATCTGGCAGTGTGGGATCAGGGAGAAGAAATACTTGGCTCAGGCTGGGAGAAATAGGAGGGTCCTTGGAAGAAATAACACCTGGAACTTAAAAAGAGACTAAACGTTACCTGTGTGAAGAAAGGAGAAGGGCAGAGTGAAAGAAGGGCAGAAGTGAAACAGCTGGGAACATGCTGGAAAATATGTATTTATTTGGTGCTGAAATTTCTTCCTGAGAAAGTAGGAGCTTTGTCTCTAATGAGACTGTACCTTACAGCCATGAGAGACATTTCATATTAACAAAGTGATAACATGACTGGTAAATTATTCTCTCTACGTTTGCAGTTGGGTTCAAGAAATTTGGGTTCAGCCACCAACACCAACGTTTTAGAATTCAAGAAAACGGCTGCTGTGACAGTCAATTCCAGCCGTAGCTACGACAGGGCAGGGTCTCTCCATCCACAGTTCATTCTGGGTTGCCGCTGAGGCCATATGGTGGTTGCATTTTTTATTTGCTTTTGTTTTCATTGTAATGTGTGTGCAGCAAGCACATAGTGTTCCTAACAACAAGCAGGGAACTGTGGGCGAGAAGAATTGCTCCTCAGGGAAGGAAAGGGACAGCCACTTTGACAACGCCCATTCCATGTTAGACAGCCTGCTGCACCCAACAACCAAAATACGAGCAGGAAAAAAGGCAGCATTTGCCCAGGAACTGCATCCCTCAGCAGGCTCTTTTTAAGTTAGGGTGTATCCAATCTAACGTGTAGACTACAGTTGAGAATCATTATCTAGAAGTGGAATAATAACATTTTGGAGTTCATCCTCTTCTTGCCCAAATACTCTGGTCTCAAGCCTAAGTCCTGCTGGTGGTTGCTGACTTGCTACAGGCTGATAGCATGACAAGAAGGGAAGGCAGCTGGAGGGGAGAGAGGATGAACTTGGAGGCATTGGAGCCCAGGGCTCCAGAGAACAACAAACAGTTACTAAACTCTTCCTCTTCAGTTTCAGCAGAGTCTATAAACTCAGTACTATTATTATCCCACTTTCACACACAATAAAACTGAATCTCAGGGCCAGGAGCAGTGGCTCACGCCTGTAATCCCAGCACTTTGGGAGGCCGAGGCTGGGGATTACCTGAGGTCAGGAGTTTGAGACCAGCCTGGCCAACATGGAGAGACCCTGTCTCTATTAAAAATACAAAAATTAGCCAGATGTGCTGGTAGGCACCTACAGTCCCAGCTACTGGGAAAGCTGAGGCAGGAGAATCGCTTGAACCCAGGAGGCAGAGGTTGCAGTGAGCCAAGATCGCGCCACTGGACTCTAGCCTGGGAGACAGAGCGAGACTCCGTCTAAAAACAAAACAACACTGAATCTCAATAGGGTCAAGTAATGTGTACCCGGCCACATATAATTGGTGGGACTAAAGCATCAGTTCCTACAGTCTGACTCCAGAGTCCTTTCTTTGACACTATGAGGAATTCCCTGAAGATACTCTTGGGACTACCTGCATGGGACTCACCCGAAGCACTTATTTCCAATGCCGATTCCAAGCCAGGCCTCATTCATCAAACTTTCTGTGGGCAGAGCTCCAGAGTAGAGAGTCAAACAGCATTCCCCATCCGTGTTCTGACCTTGGGAAGGGTTCTCCTTGGGCCTCAGTTTCCTCTTTTGTAAAATGAGGATCAGTGAGGTCACTTCCAGTTCAAAAATGAGCTGACTATAATTCATCTTTAAACCCAGCAACCTGGATGCAGCCTGCCAACCAGGCCTTTACCATATATCTCCTTATCTTTAAATATCCATGCTATTGAGCGGTATTTTAAGTACCACTAAATTTATAGTTTGATACACAAATACTCACAGAGTTTCCCTGGAAACCTAGGAGAACTGGACGTCCCTCCAATATGGCATTTTTGAGGTACAGCCCTCCCGCGGGGGAGGACTAAGCAACTTCTCTAGGTCTCTTCTCTTCTGCGGATTCTTTTTTTCTCTGCTTTCTTGGCACTGCTAAAGACAAAGAATTCATCGATAGTCTTAATTTTCCTTCCTCTCTGAAGTTACAATCTAATTTAGTGGTCATCTTTTAAAAGTTGAAACCAGACATCCTGTACTTCTCATTAGCTCTAACCTATGTTTGGTTTGCTCTGGTTTTGCTTTTCTGATTTTTTTCTTTGGAGAAAGAAAAGTGAGAACTAGGGGCATTGGCCAAACAAGTCTGTCCACTTGGTGGAGAGGTTTCCAGATAAGAAGGATCTGAAGGACTTCCCATGGGCGTGAGGGAAATCGCACACGCCATCCGGGGAAGAGGACCAGGAAATCACTTTTTGTTTTTAAAACAGCAGCGCGGCTCTCAGGGATGACTCTGTGAGACTGGGAGGATCATAGCTGGGGGAGGCTGAGCGTGGGAGCGGTGCTGCCAGTCCTGCCTGAAAACGCGAAATGAGTCTTGCTTGGTTCTCCCTCCACTGGGCGTGAGAGCCCCTGCCCAGGAGGCCCAGGACAAATGGCCCCATAGTGGAAACTGGGAAGCTTTTAGGCATCTGATCAGAGCGGGAGCCAGCCGGGGGACCACAGTGCTGGACAGGTAACAGACATTTCTCCTACTGCGGTCTGTCATTCTGTCTCCCTTTGTAGCAAGACCTCAGGGGCTCCTAAGTCACTTCTCTTAAGACATCTTCCACTTACGATCCTCTTTGCCTGCTTTTCTTTTGCGTAGGTGTGATATGTATGTTGGGAAAGTTAAGTATGTCCAGTCAAGAGCATTGTGCATACTGTTGGTCCAGTTAATGAGACTATATTAAAGGAGATGGCGTATCAAGCAACTAGCTGGGATCCTTTAGGATTTTCTTAATAACAGACTTTTTTTTTTTCAAACAAGTTCTCTCGTCCTTAAACCAGAAAATACTATAAAAACCAGTGCATTCATGAGCTACTGAGCTGCTGCTCTTGCCAAGAGCATTTCAGGGCCAGTCGGCCATTGCTGTGGTCAGGCTGAGGAAGGAAGAGGCTGCATCCCAGTAGCAGGAGGAGGGAGCCCTGGCTATTCGCTCAGCTTCGGGAGAGTCCTTCCAAAGGACAAGGGATGACCTTAGAAATGTAAAATGTAGGCTGCAGCCTCCCACACAGGACTGAGGGGAAAGGAGTTTGTAGTCAGCATTAGGAAGGAGGTCAGTAAAAGTGCTGGGGCTTCAGGGCCAGGCCGACTTGTTTTGAAAGGAGCAACTCTATGATGTGCGGTTTGCTTAAACCATGTTTTCTCATATTTCAGAAAGCCAGGTCATGCCACTTCACTACAGCATTTTTTCTTTCATAAAGGGCTAACGTAGTTGGTTTTTCAATGTAGGTTATTTTTGAATTACACAGATAATACTTGACTATATTCTTATCGTAAAAGAATATCTCTAAATAGATTTTATTTTTATTTTTATTTTTTTGAGATGGAGTCTTGCTCTGTCGCCCAGGTTGGAGTGCAGTGGCACGATCTTGGTTCACTACAACCTCTGCCTCCCGGGTTCAAACGATCCTCCTGCCTCAACCTCCCAAGCAGCTGGGATTACAGGCACCCGCCACCACACCCTGCTAATTTTTGTATTTTTAGTAGAGATGGGGTTTCACCATGTTAGCCAGGTTGGTCTCGAACTCCTGACCTCAGGTGATCCACCTGCCTCGGCCTCCCAAAATGCTGGAATTACGGGTGTCAGCCATCGCAGCCAGCTTTCTGTTAACAGTTTTCAATTGCACCCCCAATATACACTCTCTTCCCCCCCCCCAAATATTATTCTATCAATTGTTTTCTGTGTTACCAGTTAAAGGCTTTATTTTCTGTTCTTCTGAGCTCTATAGGACAAGCCGGGGCACAGGAGTACAATAAATTCTCATTGTCAAGTTCTTGTGATTTATCCTAAACTCCTTCCTCTCAGTGAAAGATAAAATGATACATGGGAAACATGAATAGCTCTTTTAACTCTTAGAAAAGTATAAAGAGTTTTACTCATTTTTACCATTACTATTTTGTGTTGGTTTTGGCTTTGACAATTAATAATATTAGTAACAACCTCCTAAGGATTAAATTCTAGATTTGCCAATTAGTGGTTTGGGCTTTTCCCTTGAAGGGCATCAGAAGTTTCTTATTCTAGAAATGAAAGGGGAGAAGATAAAATAACAGGAAATTAACTAGATAGATAATAGCTAGATTGATAGATAAAGTGGCCCAGAGAACGTAGAGTGAAGACAGGAGAGATTGCCCTTTTATTCAGTGGATAATAAATGCATTTAACAGATCGGTTCATTTTCCATCTCTTTTAGTCTTCTGTAAAAAGGTGGCCTTCCCCTCCCCACCAACAATGTTAAGAGACAAGCAAATAAGGAAAACATCACTATGAACAAGTTAATACAGCTTATGGAGAGAGCCTTTGGGAAAAAGGTATAAATAAGCAGTATCAAACCCAAGAATAATACGAACACTTTCAATAGCTATTTCATATTTTCTTGTTCTTTACAGGGTTTCTCCACCCCAAACTATAGAGCCACTAGGCCTTGCTGATTTTGGACGTTCTGTAAAATTTGCCTGCCTTTGTCCCTTCTCCAGATCTCTGGCTACTCCGATGAATCATTTCTTCCAAGTGCACAGTGTTAGCCACATGAGAGACCTCCACTGAGGCCCTGTAGACTAACACTGCCTCACTTACTGAGTGTGGGTTTATTGACTATGATATAGTAACCTCACTTACTGCGCTATGGGGTACTTGGGGGCATTTTGGAGCAGTTAAAAATATCCCATGGGGTCCCACCTCCTCACGTTAATGAGGCTAATCTGTCTCCTCCTAAATATTATGCATTCAATCTCTTGTATTTATATGCAACTTTTTAGTTATCAAAAGACTTTTATGCCTCTTCTTTCACCATGTCACAGGTAAAGCAGGTAACTTATTCTCATCTAATGGAATACAAAAACAGGAAGTTCAGAGGTTAATTTATTTGCCTCAATGGCACAATGAATTTTTTTGGAGGACTGAGATGAGAAGAAACTCAGATTACTGTCTTTGCAGCCCCATTTTTTTTATGTCAGTACTATGAGGATAAAAGTCATGTGGAATAGAGAATTGATGCGATTGGCTGGATTCTGTCAGCTTTGTAGCCACATGGTAGATGTTTGCTGGGAATCTAAAGTTAGACTAAACTATTGCTTTGTCCAGATATTAGCAAGTTCTATCACCTGCTGTCCATCGGCGTCACCCTAGGAACTTAACAAAGAGAAAACAATGTCTAGACACTTTGCCAGAGAAACTGAATCACTATCTCTGAGGATGGGGCCAGGGCATGGTTAGATTTTTTGTTTGTTTGTTGTTTTTAATCTCCAAAGTGATTCTATAATGCAGCTGGGGTTGAGATTCACTGAGTCTTGGCTGTGTAAGATACAGTGGCTAAACTGAGAAGCAGAAGCAATGGCTGTTTATGAAGCCAAGAAATTAGGACCAAAAGTGTCAGCAGCAGTGCAGATCATTAGAATTCTGGCTGCTGCTGTCTTTCGGAGGAACAGACACATCTGCACATCAGAATGAAGAGGAGATTTCCGACACCTCCAACAATGGCATTGACTTTCCAGTTTTAATTGGAACAACCCCACTGACTTCACTGTAGATATGTTGGCTCCCTAAGACTTGCAGATTTTACAAAGGCAGATTAAATGTTCTAGATAAACAGGATGTGCTCTTCTAATGCCAGATGACTATCAGATCATACTTTTTATTCAAGGTCACTTTGCCATGTTGTGTCCCAATCCCAAGAGAAAGGGGAAAAAAAGAAATACTGATTATCCTTTGCATGAGCTGCCACTTTCTGGGTTGAACTAAATATGAATAGATGATAAGTCATGGATGTTTTTTAATTATAACGTTTCCCTACAGCCTTTTCCCCACTGACATTTCTTGATATAGTTCAAGTTAGTATCTCTCGTCAGTGCAATGTTTGTCTCCTTGATAGAGAGGACTACCGGGCCTGTTCAGTATTTATCTCAGTTTCCCCAGGACCTACGAGTTTCTGCACAGAGTAGGTGCTCTAATAAGGATGGTTGAGTTAAATATACATATTAGCTAAGGGCACACCATGATTCACAAGTTACTTACCAGCTCAACATTTCAAATCACATGGTGTGACTCTGGTCATGATGGTTAAAATAACTGGAATCTTCCCGGCTTCCTAAAAGGTAATCGCCAACGTGAAATCTTTAAAATTACAGCCTAGTAGAATCACCTACTCTGGAGTGACTTGCTAAGTGCTGTGGAATTGCAAAGGCAAAGAACCTTTCTCTTAATCAGCTCAGACTCTTAGTGGAAAGCAAGTTACAGGCATTGAGAATTTTAATAACAAACAATTTTTTTGATTGAATTTGTTTTAATTATTATACTTGAAGTTCTGGGGTACATGTGCACAAGGTGCAGGTTTGTTACATAGGTATACATGTGCCATGTTTGTTTGCTGTGCCCATCAATTCCTCATTTACATTAGGTATTTCTAAGAGAAAACCAAACACTGCATGTTCTCACTCATAAGTGGGAGTTGAACAATGAGAACACATGGACACAGGGTGGGGAGCATCACACACAGGGGCCTGTGGGGGGCGGGTGAGGGTTAGGGGAGGGATAGCATTAGGAGAAATAACAAACAATATTTATCGAGTATTTGCTATGTGCCAGGGACCATACTCAGTGTTTTATAAACATGATTGTTAACCCATTTAGTTGTTCCAATAATCCTATGCCTCAAATAAAATCATAATCCCCATTTTATAGATGGGGGATCCAGAAAAGTTAAGTAAATCACTTGAGACAAAAAGCTAGCAAATAGAGGCACGTTAAGATTCCATCTCAGGCAGTCTGACTTCAGAGTCCATATGCCTAATTACCGTGCTATGCCTGAAAAACACACAGTGCTGAAAAGTGATCCACATGGCAGGACCAGATGAGTAGCTGAGGAGAGAAATGCGGTTCATGCAGTGGAAAGATATATCTCTGGGGAAGACAAAATAAGAGACAATATGCCATAAAGGTCAGAGTTCAGACTTTGGAGACAAACTTGGCCACTTGCCAAGTGTGTTTGTTTAGCCAAGGCTCAGTTTCTTCATCTGTAAAATGAAGATGATGATACTTCTCATAAACAGGATTATAAAGATTAAATGAGTCTAGTGCATGTATAGTGCTTAACCTAATGCTTGCCATATGGCAAGTGTCTGACACACAGCAAGTGCTTGATAAATTATAGTAATTGTTGTTACCAAATGAATAAGCAAGACCTGAAATAATGAGTAAAGCTCAGAAAGGAGAAATAGAGCATTTCAGTTACCAAGAATAGCGCGAGAAGAAGCTGCAAGGTAGCAATGCATTCCACTAATATTGTCTCTTAATATTTATGACAAAAGAAGGTACAATAAAAGCTGGGAGTGGGTCAGTTTGCTCTATACTCAAGTGTTATGGGAGAAAAATTGACAGAGCTCATTTTACATTAGGTCGTGGTGATCATGCTTGCCTGGTGAATTGGCTTAAATATTCTCTGGGCATTTGCAAACATTTAAAGTATTTAAATATGATCTAGCCACAATTTAGGAAGAATAGTGCTCTGGGCAAATAAATTCCCTGCTGTTGTGTTGGATTATTGGTCAGGGAAGAAAGGAGCGAGGGGCCCATTCAGGAGATTATTGAGACCATCTAGATGTAAGATGATAATGTCCCAACCAATGTAGTGGCCCAATGTCCAAAAAAGTGTGGTGAGATGACAATATCCAAACCGATGAGGGGCTCTGAGCACATCAGCAGCAGGTAACAGGACTTAGTACCCGGTCGAATTGCTGCTTCTGCTCCTGCACCACTTCTTGTGTCCAAGGACACCTGTGAAGCTGTGAGCCTAGGAAACAATGAAGCCAGCAGTTGGCACATCTGGGAAGGGATGGGTTAGGAGAGAGCAGTGGGACAGGAGACAAGTTCAGTTTTCGATGATCTGAATTTACACTCAAGTGGAAAGAGTATAGTTGAAAAGCCATGCCTAATATGTAGCAAAGAGAGGAAATAGGCATGCAGAGGAAAGAGATATCTTTGGGGACAAGAAAAGAGGCAATATGCCATAAAGGTCAGAGGCTGGAAATACAGTTCTGGGAATTCTCACATAAACTGACAATTAAAACTATGGAAGTGGATGAGCTTACTATAAGAAGGTGTCAAGAGAGAAGAGCTGTAGACCCAGGAGAGGTATTTGGCAGGGCGCACAGTGAGGCAGCTGCAGGATGATGAGGATGGGAGCATAGAAGGAGAAAAGGCATAAGCTCGGGAGCCTTGAGAACCAGGAAAGGGAAAGGGAAAGGGAGCGCTGCAGAGGAGGAGGCCATGCACAAATGGAGCAGGTACCCACCGCAAGCCAGGGAGAGTGAGGACTGGGGCAAATGTTGTGGGTTTGCCTCTACAGAATACTTTTCATAATGAGGTGAGGACTAAAGTCAAACTGTCCAGAGTAAGGAAATCTTGAACTAGCAAGGACTTTTCAGGGTACTGTATTTCTTGGGGTTGGGGGTGGGGGGATAAAGTAATATTTTTTTTTTCATTCTGAATAGCACACACATTATATGGTTAAAATCTAACAAAATCCCTGAAGAAGGAAATGAAGATTTAGAAGAGAAGTCATTGGCTAAGGACAGCAAAGCCATTTCTCAGAGAGATGGAATGGATGGGGGCCATAAAGGGAGGAAGTGCAGAAGGCTAAGGTGGCCCTGCCAATTACTGTAATGTTGGAATATTTTAAGCCACATTGCAAATAACTGCTTCCTCCAGCCCCTGGAGTGCCTCCCCACCTCTTCTTTAGTCATCCAGTCCCTTTCCTGGGATCCTACACAGACTTCCCTACAATCCAGCAATGACACTGCTAAGGTCTAGCCCAGCAGGAGACCCCCAGGCCCTGCTCCTGCACAGTGGACAGAGATTGTTCTGATTGGTCCATTATTATTATTATTATTATTATTATTAAAATAGTCAAGTATTATTTTGGAGCTTACCTAACACATGGTAGAACCACAGAACTGTGAAGCTTGAGAACAACCTAATGTAAAATGAGCTTTGCCAAGTTTTCTCACATAACATTTGAGTATAGAACAAACTGGGCCGGGTGCAGTGGCTCACGTCTATAATCCCAGCACTTTGGGAGGCCGAGATGGGCGGATCACTTGAGGTCAGGAGTTCAAGACCAGCCTGGCCAATATGGTGAAACCCCATCTCTACTAAAAATACAAAAATCAGCCGGGCATGGTGGCATGTTCCTGTAGTCTCAGCTACTTGGGAGGCTGAGGCAGGAGAATCGCTTGAACCCCAGAGTCAGAGGTTGCAGTGAGCCAAGATCATGCCATTGCACTCCAGCCAGGGTGTCTCAGTGAGATTCCGTCTCAAAAAAAACAAACAAACAAAAAAAATAAAAACAAACAACAAAAACCTGACCCATTCCACAGGGCTTCCCTCCGTCTGCAATTGGAATGCACCCCTGGGCATTGTTTTGCCATGGCTTAGGGAAACCCCTCCACATGGTGAATTAATGCAAGACGGACTAGATAAGAGCAGTTAGGAACTCAATGTTTTCACATAGATGGCAATCTTTTGCTTAAAGCCTAAGACCCACAGTGACTTAACAACAAGAAAAGAGGGATAAAAGGTTATCAACGCCGCCCACATGTGCAGTGTGTTTTGGAAAACTTGATCCTATTGTGTACAAACAAATGTTCCCCTGTAATCTGATAGTACTGAACTGCCCTGACACAATGCTGCTGCAGGGCCTGATTTCAAGGCAATGGAAAATTAAATAGGAAAAAAAATGTCTTCAAGGCAGTTCTTTAATTGTTATTGTGTCCCATGTTTGTGTTAAATAAATATTTAGCTTATATTTTTGCTTGTGCAGGAGATGAATCATCTAATCAAATAAGGTCAGCAAAGATAAGTCTTACCACCTCTGCAGCTGAAAATACAGATTTATGAAGGCAGGCTCTTAAAGTTACACTTAAGGGTTTTTTAATCTGTACTTCTACAGTTCAGGGAGTAGGTTGCTGATGGCATTCTATCCTTATTGCAACTCTGTATCTCATGGAGATGAGCAGAGTAATAATCATAGTAAAATTTGCAATGATAGTCCTCCTGAAAGTTGGCATTGCCATCTATCATCCACCATTAAAAGTAACTCTATTCTTTAGTAGTAGAATGCTTGTATGTGCTCATCTATTTTCAGGCTCATTTAGTCTCTATTTTGATAAGTATATGTTTGCAAAAGGGCTGCCTGATCGTAGTCTGTATCCCAGAACACAAGGTTTGGGAGACATTAGGGTATATGCCGTTGGCTGTTTTCAAAGGTCACAATAGTGTGTCTAGTTAGCCAGATGCAGGCCAAGGTTTAGTAAGAGGTATGATTTCCCTTGATTTTGTACTAATACAGTTAGTTCCTTTCTTAAAGAGAAAGCTATGCGTATAACATCACCTACTGCGTGGACGTGAAAGCTAAGCAGCTTACATGTGGGAAGAACCTTCACCTTCTACTTCAATTTACAAACAAATTTCGTGAGTTTCATGTACTCACCATCTCCAAGTCCTCACTCCCCAAACACTCTATAACTCTTCCCAGTACAGTTTCTATCCAACCATCCCAATGGGATTTCCTTTGCTGAGAGCATACCATGTCTCCAAGTCCAATGAGCAATATCAGTCTCCTCCTTAATGGACTTCTTGGCACCACTGGACATAGTTGACCACCCCCTTCTTCTTCTTCTTTTTTTTTTTTGAGGTGGAGTTTTGCTTTTGTTGCCCAGGCTGGAGTGCAATGGCGTGATCTTGGTTCACTGCAATCTCCACCTCCTGGGTTGAAGCAATTCTCCTGCCTCAGCCTCCCGAGTAGCTGAGATTACAGGTGTCCACCACAATGCCTGGCTGATTTTTGTATTTTTAGTAGAGACAGGGTTTCACTATGTTAGGCAAGGCTGGTCTCATACTCCAGACATCTGGTGATCCGCCCCCCTTGGCCTTCCAAAGTGCTGGGATTAAAGGCGTGAGACACCTGGCCCAGCCCCCTTCTTCTTAAAACTTGACTTTCCCCGGTTTCCTTGACTCCACTAGCCTTGTTTCCCTCCTGTTCCTGCCTCTCTGGTTTCATTCCTGTCTCAGGCGATTAGCCACTATTTAGAGCTGGTGGTGGGAGTACTAAGAAGAATTTATCAAGACAGTCGTAGGTAAAGAAAGGCAAATTTATTAGAAAAAGTATGAAAATATGTTGCAAGGATGCAATGGACAGGCCAGCAAAAAGGGGCTGACTGTAACAAGACACAGTCTTGCTGGGGATTTTATAGAATGTTGCTTCTATTGTGTGCTGAAGAGGGCTTTGTGCAGTACTGATAATGCCAAGGTTGCAGTGAGCTAACTTGCATTTTTTTTAATCAGCGAAGGGTCTGGTCATAACTTGGGCACAGGAAGATTGTGAGTTATTTGCACAGGAGGGCTATGTGTTCTGGACCATGAAGAAAGGCAGACTTATAGCTTATCTGCTTTTTATTTTTGCTGTCCCCTGTTCCTGCCAGCCTGATTCTTTTTCCCTAATTAGGACTTCACAATTTCCAATCATCTTGGCTTTGTCATGTTTCTTAACTGGACCTTTGATTGTTGGAATTCTGTAGGACTTGTTCCTAGGCCTCCTTCTCTACTCTCTATTGCCTCCCTAATCAATCTTACCTAATCCTGTTGTTGCAATGACAAGTCCTCCCCATCCTGGCCTCTGCTCACCTCACCCCGTCTGCCTCGTACCCTTCACCTGCTCTCTTTTCATGTTCCAGCCACTCTGGCCTGCTTGCAGCTCCTCAAATGTGTCATGCTCTTTCTTCACCTCAGGGCCTTTTCACATGATCTTTTTTTTCCACCTAGAACCATCTTCCTCCCCTTCTTCCAAACTCCCCTGTTGTTTTTAGCTAACTCCAACTTATGCTTTAGGTTTCAGCTCAAATAAATACTTCCCCTGGAATATCTTCCACAAATCCCTAAGACTAGGTCAGGTCCTTCTGGTATAGCCTTTTGTAAACAATTCTGCACAATGGTTAAAGGGATGGGCTCTTGAGTTAGACTTTCTAGGTTCAAATCCTGGCTCTGTCACTTACTAGCTGTGTTATCTCAGGCAAGTTATTTAACCACTCAGTGGCTCAGTTAATTTTATATCATACCAGATCTGTACCCTTTAATTAGATATCATACTAGAACCACCCCATTAGAATTGTAAAGACTCAGTGATTTAATATTGTCGGTGCTGAGTTTAGTGCCTGGTATATAGTAAGTCCTCAACAAATATTAATATTATGATTACTGTTCTCGGTAGCACTTTCACAGTCATAGTTAAACAATGAATTGAGTAATTTATTCTTTAATAATGTTCATCTACTTCATTAGACTTTAAGCTTCATGGAGACAGGGACCGTTGTCTTGTTTACTGCTACTTCCCCTTCACTCAGTAGAACTCTTAACATGTAACAGGACTTAATAAATGTTTTTCCAGTAAAGGAATACACAAATGAATAGATAAGGGAATAAATAGATTTACTTCGTGCAATAGATATAACAATAAATATAATACAAGCAGGAAGGCTAAAGGCCTAGACTAAGTGTGTGTAGGTGTTCAGGGGAAGTAGAGACTATTTATAACTGGACAGATCAGGAAACCTTCATCTGTGAGGGAGCCCTTTGCCTGGGCATTGAAGGATGGGTAGAATCTGAATATGCAGTGATTGTGTGGGGTTAGGGGACAGGAAAAGATGGAGATTAATAAACCAAATAAATGATAGGGTTATTTTGGTTTCGCCAAACACAGAAAAATTGTTTGACAGTAATTACTCCTGTCCCTCCCCAAAATTAATTCTCAAAGTTTGACTTGGCATTTTTACTTTTGCGTGAGCATTGGAAAATCTCTTGCACTATTTTAACTTATGAAAAAGCAGCTGACTTTGGTAGTGAAAGTATTATAGATGCTTATTACATATGCTAACTCTTCTAAATAAAGTCCAGGTTATGGAGAGCCTTGAGGATCAGTGAAAGTGATTTCCTTTATTCTGAAAGCAGGGAAAAATTGAACAGGGAATGTTGTGTGAAGAGTACTTCAGGAAAACCCATCTTGCCTCTCTGTAGAGAGGGAGCAGAGAAGTAAAGAAGGGAAGCCATTGCCATGGTGTACATGAGGGGCAGAGAAGGCCTAGACTGTGTAGTAAGTCAGAAGTGGTGAGATAAATGCAAGATAGTTATGATTATTCTCAGAAGTTAACCAGAGTGAGCCTGCATTTGAGTTGAAATAACTGTGAAGAATTTTAGACTCTTAAAATAGTAACAGGACTTCAAGAGACCAACTCCTGCATCCCAATTTTGAAATTATTGAGTGCAGTCAAATCCCTGGATTTACTGATAAGAAAACAGGCTCAGAGAGATAAAGTGACTTGCCCCACATCACACAGCTAATTAGTGGCAAAATGAGGCTAGAAGTTTTTTTCCAGTTGCCTGGTCAGGTGTCTATAACTTATAATTTGTTTGTTTGTTTGTTTGTTTGTTTGGTTGGTTGGTTGATTTCCCACCAAGAAAATCTCTTAGCTCAAATGGCACCTTGTTCTCAGGAGAATAGACTGCTTTGTTTATAATTTTGCCACTACCGTCTATCAGCTGTGTGGCCTCAGTGAATTAATCATCCTTCTAAGCTTCCTTTTCCATGTCTGAAAAATGGGGGTAATTTAATAGTATCAGAGGCTCCTTGAGAGGGTTAGAGGGCGTAACCCTTGCAGAGAGCTCAGCAGCAGACCTAGAATATAGTGAGCACCCAGTAAGACAGGACTCCTACATTCATTTTCACTAGCAATTATTACCCACCAATTATAATTAATAACCAATTAATAACCACTGGCAATTATTACCCACAATCCTATCCTACAGTCATTGTCACCAGCAATTATTACCCACCAATTATAATTAATAGCCAATTAATAACCACCAGCAATTATTACCCACAATCCTATCATAAATGGTTGCTCCAACTGTCGGAGGATATCATTGGCTAAAATTTTGAGAATCATTGGTAGATCTCTTGGAGTTCTGACGAACTCAGCTCCTAGCCACCTCTGAGCTCTGAGACACTCAGCTCTTTCTAGGCCTAGTTTTCTGATCTCAGGGCTGATGAAGGATTTCTAAGAGAAGAGTTGATCTTAAGCACTGATTGTTTCTCTATTTTTTATTTTATTTTATTTTATTTTATTTTATTGAGAGATAGGGTCTTGCTCTGTTAGAGGTTGGACTAGAATGGTGAAATCATAGCTCACTGCAGCCTCGAACTCCAGGGCTCATGGACTCAAGCCATCTCCCCACCTCAGCCCCCTGAGTAGCTAGGATTATGGGTGCATGCCAGTGCACCTGGCTATTTACAAAAAAAAAAACTTTTTTGTTTTTGTTTGTTTTGGTATAATACAGAGTCTCAGTTTGTTGCTCAGGCTGGTCTTGAACTCCTGGCTTCAAGTGATCCTTTCTCCTTGCCCTCTGAAAATGCTGGGATTGCAGGCATGCATTACCACACCCAGCCAGCACCGGTTGTTTCTAAGGGTTGTAAGAACAGGCCAGTTCCACAGTGAAGCTTCCTGGTGCATAATCACTCTGCAAGAGAATGCCATTAATGGTGGCTTCAGGGAACCCAGATCATTCATCCTCCAGATGCAGTGTTGCTGAGAATCTTGATGACTTATTCCTGGCATATGATGTCAGGCTGTGCTTTATTTTCCTCTCCCTGTCTTCTAACTTCACAGACAGGAAAATAGAGTCAGAGGAGACCAGGAAGTTGCTCAGAGCCGCAAGGCTAATACTGAGGGCTAGGGCATATTTCCCAGCTTTGGTGAGTTTTAGTAGAGAGTGTCCTGGATTTTAATTTAAAAAGAGAAGGAGATCGGGAATGACATCTGATAATGTTCTTTCTTTCTCTGCCTCTGTTTCTCTCTTTGTCTCTCAGTCTTTGTCTGCCGTTTACTCCAGGAATTTTAGAAGAAATATGAACTTTTAGGGAATTTAGCATTAAAGGGCCCCTACTGAAGACAAACTGCCTTGAATATGGGATGCTGCTCCATATTTTTAACTGGATGAATATAGACTTTTCCCCCACATTGGCCAAGTTAAACAGTTTTTGCTTGCTTCCTCACAGGTATGGATACCTGTGAGCTGGAAGGTTTATACGATTAATGATGCAGGTTAAAGAAAAGTTGATCTTTAGGTCTCTACCCAAGTGTGGCAGCAACCCCAAAAGCTGAAGTGAATTTCAGCTCGTGTCACTGTTCCCATTGGTCAGGTCCATTCCATACAGGTTGTCAAATATATTGACTATTTCCTTTCTTTCAAAGTGGTGGCTTTCTCCTTTCTTTTGAGTGAAGAATCCCTGACATTTGTGTGTAACTGATGACTGTATATCATCTTCTGCATCCAGAGAACACCCGCCTCCCCGTGGTAGCATCCTTCCTACATCTCCATTTCTTTTGGCTTGCAATCTTGTTGTCAACAAATAAGTCAACATAGATAAGAATGTTAATTTATTAAAAATAGTCTCAGCAGAGGCAGGGGTGGGGGAAGATGGGGACAGTATTGGCCAATGGCCTGTACAAAAGGGCCAGACATGACTATTTGAAAACATTGTAATTCTTGCTAACTGACCAAAAAAAGGATGCAATGCCAACACTGGGAAATCGTAGAAAGATATGGAGCCAGCTCTAGTCCTTCTAGTATGTGAGTTCTTCCTTGGTTATCAGATTCGAAGGGAGGCTCATTAACTATTCAGTTACTAAGTCTCGTCTCCTTGATTAACTGCCTCAGTAGGGAACCAACTGAGGTTGGGGCCTGAAAAGACTACTTTGCCTCCTAAATACCTGACTCATTCTGTATTAGCCTGTTCAATACCCACAAAGACACACTGTCTTTCAAAAAGGAAGATAAAACTTCCAATAGAAAATTAAGCAGTACATTGCTATGATTTCCCCATAGCAGATGCATCTGGTCTTAAACAACTACTATAACCTAAATTGCAAAGCATTTCCCCCAAACCATTGAGTTGCAGAATTTAAAAAATGTGTTTGATTGCCAAATTTGCAAATTGGATCAGTTTTCCAGTTTTCCACTGAGGAAGAGGAAAAGGTGGCAGTTGTCAGCTGGCAATTGAAATACAATTTTCCCTGGCATGTAAATCTTGCCTATCATCAGTGTGTTATCCTGGCCATGCTTACCTGGCGCTCCCTGCAACACTGCAGCCAAAGCCTGCCCTTCTGGATGGTTGCATTCTGGATTCTATTGACGATCAGAGTAATAATTATTGCAGCCTGCATTTCTGGAGTTCTTCATGCCTTTTAATCTCATTCGAGTCTCAGAAAACTCTGTGAGAGAATTAGGGGAGGTACAATTATCCCCGTTTTACAGATGGGAAAACTTGGACTCAGAGAAGACAAATTACTTACACAGGACACAGTTAGTTTCTAGTAATCCTGGATCCTAACCCATATCTTGTGTCTCTCAGTCTAGCATTCTTTTCACAACAACACCTGGGCATAGAAAAGCTACAAGGAGAGGAGTGTGCACAAAGTAGATTGTCTTGGTCCCTAGACCTTCTAGGGTGGAGGTTATTCCGTGTGACACCCTACTTTTTAAGTGAAAAAATGTCAAAAATGATTCATCTCATCACCAAAAAGCTATTTTCATCATCAGCATTATAAAATGAATTTTAAAAAATCAACACATAAGGCCAGGCATGATGACTTACGTCTGTAATCCTGGCACTTTGGGAGGCTGAGGCAGGAGGATTGCTTGAGGCCAGGAATTCAAGACCAGCCTGGGCAATAGAGTGAAACCCTGTCTCAAAAAATAAAAAAAATAAATAAATAAAATAAAAAGAACTCAATGAATAAGATGGGATATATAATGATACTAATATTCTATATTATGCACTATAATATGAAATAATACTGTAAGATACAACTTACATTTTTTATAACCAAGTCCAGCAGTTTTCATACTAATGGGTCATAGTCCATTAATATGGGTCATGATGTCCATTTAATGGGATGCTACCAGAATTAAATTAAAAATGTGGAAAGATACTCTATGATAGAATTGAAAATACCAAAGTATATTGCATGTAGCGAAAATGAATAGTGTTCTCTGAGTCTTTTTGTTCATAAATTATGTGTAAGTATTTCTTACTCAAACATCTGCTACCTTTGTCCTATTTACAGGCACCATTCTCAGCCTATCAACCCGCATTCCCCTACTGTGACCATTTCTTCACCCAAAGGTCTGGGCAGAGAATGCTAAGTTGATTCCTTCATGCTCCTCCTTCCTTTTGTGTCTCTTTTGAAAAGTTCTTGTGTAGGATGACCTTTAAGACAGGGCTTGCGAGTTCTTTTTCCTTGTTTAAGAAATAAATTGCTGTATATCTAAACCATCATATTTCCATTTCAGGCCAACCAACTCAAACTTGAAGACATGAAATCCCCAAGGAGAACCACTTTGTGCCTCATGTTTATTGTGATTTATTCTTCCAAAGCTGCACTGAACTGGAATTACGAGTCTACTATTCATCCTTTGGTGAGTTATATCCATATCTGCTATAATTTTTCTTGTCACATTTTTCTGATTTCCTGACTGACAATGGTTCTTACAAAAAGTTTAAGGAGAAAAAACTTTAGGGGGAGAAAAAACATTCTTCCCATAGTTGCAACATAAGAAAAAATGTTGCAAATGAGGAGAAGGGGTGAATGTAAACTCAGGTCAGTGTATTTGCTGGGCTACCACTTGCTATATTCTGAAATAAGTGGTGGTGTCAAGGGAACACCAATGTAGCTTCAAGAGAGACCTCCCAGGGTTCCTTCCTTCACTAAATTACAACCACTAGGCCTAAGTCTTCCACTCTGTTAAACTGACAACAATAACAACAAAGCAGATTTGAAGGATTGAGCAGAATGTATGTTCTCAAAGGATTTGTTTTAACTGGGACATCAGGCTAGAACACATTCCAAAAGACATTAATCTGTGTGTGTGTGACAGTCACAGACTGATATAGCTGAAGGGACCATAGACATCATAGAAGACCTTTGCTGACAGATTATTCAGGTGGTTTTGTCTTTGGAAAGTCAATGAGAGTTTAGCTTAAGTAAAGGGAGGGATAAGTACCCCCTTATTCCTTATGGGAATTTTCAGGTTATTCCTTACTTAGCTTCTCCCTGCACCAGAGACAGGGCATGTTACTGGTTGGGAATCTTTGAAGACTGATGTAATTCTCTCTGTCTCAATTTCTTCATCTGTACAATGATGCTAATAGTAGTACTGATTTCCTTTTATTGTTATGAAAATTAAATTAGTTCATATCTATAAGATGCTCTAGAACAGTGTCTGGCACATAATAAATGTTATGTGACTGTTTGCTGTTATTGTTTCTCTTATTGTAGTAATGTTTTCCACTTTTTTGTTTTACATATTTCAGTTCTATTTTTTTGTCAGTCATTGTTGTTAGAGGTTCATTGGTATGTTTTTAGCATTATAAAATGCCCTTCTTTGTCCTACTTTGTATGTTTTAATTTAATTATTTGTCTACTATTCCAATTGTCATTTCTGCTTTTGTTTGTGTGTTTGCCCGATTTTTGTCCTTTATTTTTTCAAGCCTTTATATACCACTTTGTTTTATGATTCTCTTGTAAACAATGTGCGTTTGATTTTTTTTTCTTTTAAACCAAACTTGAGCAAGTAAATTTGTATAATTTATTCCCATTTGATATCATTTTCAAAATGCTTGATCTTACCTTCAGGATTTTGTTTCACGACTTCATGTACTTTCTTCCTCTTTCCATTTTTGGTTCTTTCATTGTTTGACCTAGGTTATCTTTGTCTTTTCTTTATTTCTTTCATGACTTGGGGAATATATATGGTGTGTCTCCTCTTCCAAACCCCAGTGTGCAGAGTACAACCTGTACACTCATACACAATAGCCTTCCTATTTAAATAGAGAAGGGAAACATTTAAGCTTCTTGTGAATTCACATAGTCAGTGCAGAGCTCTGGCTATCCAAGGCAGGTGGGGTAAAAGCCAGGGCCTGAGGTGATCTCAGCAATGGGGTTAGCTTTGCCTCTGTTCCAGCATTTCTTAGTGCTCCTGGCTGCAGCAATGCCTTCTCTCTATGTCACATCTGCCCTCCTAGTGATGGCCCTGGCAAAGCCCCTTCATCTGCCTGGTGGTGAAGGCTGGTCAGGGGATAAGCTGACCTCCTAGAGATCTTGGTGGAATGTGAAATCCATCTTCTTGGAAGCTCCTACAACTCACCTCAAAGGACCCCACTTTTCTTTGGTAGATCTACCCTTCAAGGTATAATGTCTTCATGCAACCCAAAGGCTGAAGACTCCCATTGGAAAAGTGCACTTGAGCCTGCCTGATCAGTTTATACTGCCCTAAGCTGCCACCCAGTTTCCATGACTGACCTTCTGCCATCTTAAGTGACACATGTATGCAACATCTGGTGATGGGCTTGGTATTTGAAATTGTGAAAAAATATGCCTAACATAAAATTTAACATCTTGAAACCATTTTTAGGCATACAGTTTATTAGTATTAAGTATATTCACATTATTGTACAATAAATTTTCATAATTTTTTCATTTTGCAAAACTCAAACTCTATACCCATTTGTCAATAACTCCTCATTTCCTTCTCTACTGACAGCTGCTGGTTACTACTATTCTAATTTCTGTCTATTAATTTGGTGATTCTAGATAACTCCTGTAGGTGGAATCATATAGTATTTGTCTTTTTGTGGCTGACTTATTTCACTTAGCATATTATCCTCAAGGTTTATCTATGTTGTAGCCTGTGTCAGCACTTCCCCTCTTTTTAAGGCCGAATAATATCCTATTGTACATATGTCTATGTTTTGTTTGTCCACTCATCCATCCACGGACATGAGTTGCTTCCACCTCTTGGCCATTGTGAATAATGTGCCTATGAACGTGAATATACACATGTGGGGTAAAGGGCTTTTAAAGGGTGATGATGTAGCTCAGTGCTTCTCAAGCTTTCATGTAAGCATGGATCTGCCCAGAGACCTTCTTCAAATGCAGATTTTAGCTCAGGATGCTTGGGTGGGTCCCAGGATGCTGGTTTTCAGACATGCTGCCCTGGATCCTGCTCCAGTGACCATCTTAGAGTTACAGGCTATATATGCTCAACTTTGATGTCAGGTCTGAGTGGAAGCCCAGCTCTGACTCTCATTAGCTTTGGAAACTGTCAACTTTCTTCGTTTCCCTGAGTCTGTTTCCTCTACATGAGAATAAATCATATCTCCTTCATCTGTTCGTTGTGAGGCTTCAATGTTCTACATGCAACCCACAGCACAGTGACTAGCACAGAGCCCAAGTGCTTATGAATTTGTAGCTATTTTTAATATTCTAGTATTAGGTTGGTGCAAAAGTAATTGCAGCTTTTGCAATTACTTTTGATACAAATAAACCCCTCTGAATATGCTTATGTGAGGAGACATTGCTAGAGGATTCTTGCTCAGACAGTTTTCGAACACAGAAGCAAAGATGTTAAATTGGAAGTTTCAGGTCAAGAAAAAGAGGCATGTGTGGCAGGGCTCGGGTGAGTAGGGTTAAGATTTGGGAAAGCAGGAGCCTTTGCTTACCTTCTCGTTTGCCATCCTGTTCCCTGGGAATTTTCTTCTTCATGAATAAAAAGCCACCTCTCATTCCTGACTGACTACCCACCCCCACTCCAGGCCACCCTGCCCCACCACCACTACAATTATTTGTGAAGTCATCATGTCCGACAGGTGGGGCACTTCCTGGAATTGGTGACCTTGTCTTTTCCGGCTGAAGCTTTGCCTTCAGGAAATTCCCTCTGGACAGCTCTGTCCACTGTGGCTCAGACAGTCCCCTGGGGACCTCTACACAGATGGAGCAGGCAGGGGAGGTCCAATTGGAAGCTCTGTTTTCTTGTCTGAAGTAAATACACTGCCGAGCACTGGGAGCCCTGGCAAACCTGTGCTCCCTTGTGAGATCTACCCAGCACCCAAAGTGTAAGAGGAAAGGCAAGTGCTGGAGTCCCACAGTTCCCCAAACTGCGATAACATGAGGACTCAGGATGGTAAGGCTGGTCCCCAGTGAGCCCCATGCCGGCAGGATACACGACACTCACCACTACCAGAGACTGCACTGAGCACCTGACATGCCTCAGCACTTATTATTTTTCATAATGTAAGAAACAGAGGATTCGAGGGAGTGAATGACATCTCCTAAAAATCTGAAACTGTGGGATTCACTTCTTGGTGTGACCATTTGCTCTATTCAAATCAGGTCCGGTGACTTGGCAGCCAGATCTTTGTAACTCCTTGAATCTGGGGATGGCCAAGAGCATTTACCCATCTCCATCCCAACTCCTCAGAGGCTTCATTGCCATCAATGTGCTTTTCCCTCCATTATCTCCAATGATTGTAGGGCTTAAAATAGTAAGTAGGCTGCTCCCACTGGACAACGAAGAGGCTGTAGGTGACAGAGCTGTGGAAGCGGCACTTGCAAAGATGTGGCCTGAAAGTTCCAGATGATCACCATAAAGATTCCGGAAATCTTCAGAAAGTAGTGTTTCCAAAAGATGGCCTCATGTCAATGGATGCGCTGCTTGAAAAGGCAGTTTTCTGCACCTCACCCCAGACCTACTGAATCACACTGGGGGCAGGGGAGACCAATGATCCTGATTCTTACAAAGAGTTGAAATATGCTGCATTAGATAATTGAAATATATCTTGATTTTAACATGTAACTGACAAGACAAGAGGCAAGACCTCAATGCTTTAGTCCTATTGGAAAGCAGAGAGAATGAAAACTCGACCTGGGAGAACTGCCCAAAGGTGACCATTGGCGGTCAAGTTCTCCTGTGTTGTCTGAGTCCCCTAACTGTTGCCTTGAAGTGTGGACAGAGAAAGCTCCCAGTGGCCACTCCCTCCTCCCCACCAGGCCCCAGAGAGGATGGAGGCAGGAAAGCACGAAGAACCTTCCTTTTGCCTGGGCAGAAAGCCAAAGCATTCTCCAAGGGAAGCTGGGCTGGAAACAGTCCTATACATTGACTTTGCACCTTCAGTTCCTGCATATTCAAGTACATCTAAAATAACTTCACTGCAAATAAAGCAGCAACTGGGCTTTTGAAATTCCAATCATCATCCATCATTCCCCTATTTATTTCTTCAAGAACGTTTATGAACTATCAAGTACACAGTCGCTCCCCATTTCCTATTGACTTTAATACATTCCTCAACCAGTACCTCCTAAGGGCATCAGCGAGGGGAACAGGTAAACCTTACATGGAGTGGTAAATTGCGGACATCTGATCTTTTCCTAAAAATGTAACTTAGTAAGAGGAGGGAGACCAGCCAAGGGAACTGTTCACTGGAAAGGAGGAGGGAATAGGAAGAGGTTATACAGACACCGAGAGAAACGGCTCTGGGTAAAGAGAGACCCGCTCCCTGAGACAAAGCCAGTTTCCCAGGACTCTGCTGATAAGATGATGCAGTGCCTGCGTGGACAAGTGCAGACTCTGGAGCTGGCTGGGTTTGAATCCTGCTCTGCCTTTAAAGTCTGTGTGATCCTGGGCAAGTTACTGGACCTCTCTCTGCCTGTGCTTTCTTATTAGTGAAATGTGGATAATAACAGCATCTACCCTTGTCTTGGCACAGGGTGTTAAATACATCTTAGGAAGTATTATGTTTGTCATTGTGATGATGTGAGATAACTAGAAAATAGTGGTAGACAACCCTGACGGCAGAATGAGCTCTGCCCCAGGTGGCGGTCATGGATGCGTGGAGTTCAGGGTAAAGCACAGATCTCTGTGGG
Organism: Homo sapiens; assembly: GCF_000001405.40. Lineage (NCBI taxonomy): Eukaryota > Metazoa > Chordata > Mammalia > Primates > Hominidae > Homo > Homo sapiens. The sequence continues at coordinate 46,901,378 of NC_000006.12, read as the reverse complement.
CAGGGGTTATCTGGGAGACTTCAGAGAGATGGGGCTTTTCTATTGAGTGTGAAAGGAGTTTGGAGTGGAAAATACATCACAGGAAAACCTGTAGGCAGGCAGGGATCAGCTAGGAAATCCTTGTCAGGTCAAGGTATGGGGTAGGCTCTGTTACCAGCTGCAGAGCTGGTGGTGATCCCATGAGTGAAACTGATCAATGCCTATTCTTTAACAAAAAAGCTACAGGATGAAGGAGATGAACTTCACAGAAATGCACCAGGTGGCAGGTGCAGCATGATGCCCCCAGAGCATCTTGATGCCCCCTCCCTGAATAGCATTTACCATGTAACCAAAATTACTTTCACGGCCTTACATTTATTAATCATTTTGTCCTCGCATCAAAGTTCTGAGATAAGCTATATTCATCCCCATTCTATAGGTAAGAACTGAGGCACAGAAAGATTAAGTGATTTGCCCAAGGTCATACAGACATTTTATGATGGAGCTAGGATTTGAACTCAATGTCTGCAGAGTCCTTACTTTTAGTCACCACACTGTATAATAATAGCTAAAATGTATTAAGAACTTACTATATGCCATACTGTAGTTTGCTTAGTTCTCATAACAAACCTATGAAGTTGATATTGTTATTATTCTCATTTTACAGGAAAAAAACCCTGAAGCTCAGCGAGGATAAGTAACTTCCCCAAGGTCACAAAGCCACAGAGTAAGTGGCACAGTCTTGTACCCAGGCAGTCTGACTCTAGAGCAGGCTTTCTTAGTTCCTACTACAGAAACCAGCAATAGAACCATCCAGGAGAAAAAGGATCAGATGTAGAAAAAATAATTTCTAAGCACACACAATGGTTAAAGAGCCCTAATACAGCAGGAAGATTGGGGTTAGGACAGGGTGAGTGTTGAGAAGGAGGTCGTGAGACTTGTCTCGAAGGTCACTGGGATGACTCAGTTCAAGTCAGGCAGAGAGTACAAGTTTAGAACATTATAATAATTTATATTTTTGACGGGATTCAAACTGCAGGAACTCTGAGAAAGTCAGATATGATGATTTCTTCTGTTCCTGGTCTAGAGGCTGGTCTAAAAAAAAATGAATTCCTAGGTCACACTACAGTAACAGCTCCACTTTGTCTTCCAAACCATTTCATTGCTATGTGCCCAGCATCCACGGGACACATGGTGCTAACCCAAAGTCTGCAGCCTTAAGCTCAGCTCCAACATTTAGGGGTATCTAAGCGGGGAGCCACAGTGAAAAGACTTCTCTAACGTTAATTGACAACTTTCTCAAATGTTCTTTTCAGAGTCTTCATGAACATGAACCAGCTGGTGAAGAGGCACTGAGGCAAAAACGAGCCGGTATGTAAACTCTTGCTTGGCAATCCCTTTTATAAGTTGACTCAAATGGTATGTGTTGCAACTTTTTAAAACATTGTAGTCTACATAATTCAGCCTCCAATCACATCAGGGTCATATAGTGCAGTGTGATTTCCAAAAATAATTACTAGGAAACTCCATTCTCTACCAAATGACAGTAACTGGATCATAACAACACGTAAGAACCCTCCTTCCCTCCCCATTGCCATCACTGCTCCTCACATTCCTAGGATTTTTCTGTGGCTCCCTCCTCAGCTGCCCTCCCGCACCACCAAATGGTCTACTTCTCTGCCCACCATCCAGAAGCCTTTCTTTTTGCTTTAAAAAAAAAAACAAAACAAACAAAAAAAAAAACTTCTTTTACTTAGGACTTTATCCTGTGAAGCAATCTAACCACGAGGCTCAAGTCCTCCTCCTCTGTTTCCCACTCCAATTTTCCCACTCACTTCTAAAGCAGTGATCTGGAAAATACAAGACTCAGCCCTTTGGAGGGTTAGGGGTAGGTGAAGAGCTGCAAATTCTGAAACACCGACCCTCAAATCCCATCCTGAGTGGACCCTGCGCAGGTGTCAGGTCAGGGCCGCAGGCTGGGTATTCCCAGGACCTGGTGCTCCCACTCCCAGCATAGAAGCCCTTCAAAAGCACAAATCGGATCCTGTCATTTGCCCCCATAGAACTCTTCATGGGCTCCCTTGGCCTTGGAACTAAAAGCCAATCCTCTGCTTGTGACTCACCAGGCCTTCTGTGCCTTTCCCACCTGATCTCCTTCTGTTCCCTTTCACGTCATCAACACCCTGCCCATCATCCCCCTTTGTTTATCTGGGAGACCCCCACTGAAGCCTCAAGTCTTATGAACTCTTGCCCTGTTAGGCCCTCCATCCATTCCCCAGATCATCAGAGACTGCTTTTCCTGGGTTCCCATTCCCCTTGATACATTTCCATTCACAACATTTGTCCCAAAGCACTGTAATTATTTTACCTCCTCTTTACCACCCCCAGTAGAGGAGAGCTCACCTGCGTTCTCCTCATCTCTGTAGCCTGGCATCAAGCTCAGTTTCTTTCTCAACCAGTGAGCGAATAGATGAAGCACTTGCACGTTCACATTACAGCACCTTTCTGAATTCCTATCGGAAAACGTCTGCTGGCTGAGTGTCTGTACCAACTATCTAGAAGGAAAAATTTTTTACCCTATCACATTAGGATGGAATCATTTTTTCAGCCATGTGTGACTTGATCTAGTGAGTCTAAAAGAGACAGTAGGCTGCCAAAGAGGGCAGGCTTACCCTAAGATCAGAGTGGAGGCATCTGTTCAAGCCTTTCACGGTGCAGTGGCCAGACTCAACTGTTGTCCAGCGCTTGAAATGAGAATTTGACCACATTCTATTAAGCTCTTAAAATACTATTTGGAAGATCATACCACTGTTGGTTTTCCCTCTCTCCCTTTCTCTTCCCTTTCTTTTCTTTTCCGTTTCAGCCTTTGTTTTCTTAGCCCTGTGGGATCCCATGCTCCCTTTCTCCCTCCTTCCCTGAAGTGGCCTATGGCACAGTATATACGTTCTGTGCTCTAAAACAGGTATCATTACCTCTACCCCATCCCGACAACCCTTTAAACTTTTCTGCACTCTATGACAGGAACAAAGACAGAGATGTGCTCATTTGGTATTTTGAAAGACTTTGGCTTTTTAAAATCAAACTACTGGCCAGTGAGTTCCAGCTCCAGGTTTCTGCCAAATTCTTCTAAGGCTCAGGCTGCTGGCTTCCTCAGGAGCAGTGGGTGACTACAGCTGTAAAAGGAATGTCTTCCTGCACTTCTGAGCCAGGCTGTTTATGACCCGTGGTGACAACGTGAGGGGGTAGCCCTTGGGGAGGAAACCATTTCTACATCTAAGGATTTGACATTCCAAAGTTTTTCCAGGTGTGCTTTCATTAAAAACAATCATGACAATGTTAAATCAACATGAAAAGATGTTTTCCATTTATTATACATGGACCTCTGTGTTCTTGGGCCTCTAGAGTCATTTGGGAAGTGTTAATGAATCAACCCATCATCTGCAGAAGATGGATTGGCCTTGGTACTTTTACAAAATCGCTGAAGTAAGAAATGGCCATAGAAAAACCTAGGTACTAGGCCCCAGATATCCAGAATGTAAGTTGCAATTAAGAACATGACTCAGCGTGGTGGCTCACGCCTGTAATCCCAGCACTTTGGGAGGCCAAGGTGGGCAGATCACGAGGTCAGGAGTTCGAGACCAGTCTGACAAAACTGGTGAAACTCCGTCTCTACTAAAAATAGTCGTATTCCCAGCTACTCAGGAGGCTGAGGCAGGAGAATCGCTTGAACCCGGGAGGCGGAGGTTGCAGTGAGCTGAGATCGCACCACTGCACTCCAGCCTGGGCGACAGCGCGAGACTCCATCTCAAAGAGAAAAAAAAGAACACGACTCTCCAGGAAAATGATGAAAGGAAGCAACAGAAAATGTTACCTTCAACAGGATGCCACATGGAGGTGTCTGTGTTCTGCTTGGTGGGTGTGTTAGTTAAGTGAGGTGTTAGAACTGGGCTCTGATTTTCAGATTGCTATTCCCTTTTACATACACATACCTCTCCCTTTCTGAAGCCTGGATGCCAGAAGGATACAAAGGTTCTAGGAGAAAAACAATTAGGTCAGGAGTTTTTTTCTTTTTTTTTTGAGTCACTGGACAAAATCTTTAGCATTTGGAATAGAATCATCTTTAAAGATAGGATCAATACTTATATTTATTCTCAGCACACCATGAATTTCTACCCATGTGACTGGTCAGTTACATAACCTAACTGGCCCCTTGAATTTATATGTGTGTGTGTGTGTGTGTGTGTGTGTGTGTGTATATATATGCATGCATATGTCTGTGTATATGTGTATACATGTATATGAGTGTGTGTGTGTGTGTGTATACTGTTGTCCTTCCCTTGGTATCCATGGGGGATTGGTTCCAGGAACCCCTCAGATACCAAAATGTGCATATGCTGAAGTCCCTGATATTAAATTGTGTCAATTTGCATATAACCTATGTACATCCTTGAATATGTTTTAGATTATCTCTAGATTATTTATAATACCTAGTACAATGTAAATGCTATGTAAATAGTTGTTGTACTGTACTTTTTAAGTCATAGTGACATGAAAAAAAGGCTGTACATGTTCGGTATAGACAAAATTTTTAAAAATATTTTCCATCTGAGATTGGTTGAATCCATGGATGCAGAACCCCACAGATACAGAGGGCTGACTGTATTATATTACATATATATATATATGTATCACATATATATGTATCACATATGTATGTCACATTTACACACACACACACATATATCTCACACATATTACTTTATAGGGTTGTTAGGAAGATTAAATAAGGTTATGTTAATATTACTTTTAAAATGTTAATTGGATTATCTGGTGTTTATTTTTCTTTTAATAGTTTTTTAAAGAAATTTAAACAAAGAAAATCGATTTATTTATAAAATAGTGTTGCGTTTGAAAGGGCCTGATCTACCTCCAGTCCAGAGAAGGTATTCTGTACCACTTGAAGGCAGGGGCACAGATGCTGTGATATAGGAGTTAGCATTTTAGGAAAACTCTTTCAAAATTCTCTCAGGAAAAAGAAGCCTGCATGAAACCTAGAGGCGAGAAAAAGCATGGAGCTGCCTGTTAGGACAATGAGTGGCTGTAAGGGAGCAGAGAGAAATAAGAATGGGGGAAAGATCCCGAGTCATGTCACGATTCCATCAGGAAGTAGATTCTGGATCAGCTGAGCGGCTGCCACAGAGAGGTGACTGATGAACTCACTTAAGTGAAAAGTATCCCCATGGTTATGGCTAAATAAATTACACGAAGAAATTAGTGCCTGGGAGACCAGCCAGGAGGCTCGGCAGTCTAGACATGCGACTCTGCCATGGAGTAAGATAGGAAAGAAGCAGAGGAAATGCTCGCCAAAGACATTTTGAAAAACACAGCAAAAGGTCTTGGACAGATGTGACTTGGGGATGAAGGACAGCAATAATCCCTGTGACTCTTCAGGAGTGCACAAACCTAGGAGATGGTGCTTTGGGGAGGTCACAGGTAGAGACCAGAGTTGGAAGGAGAAGCTTGTTTTGGAGGTTTGCAGACAAACTCCAAATTTAGTCTTATGGGGACTCTTCATGGGGGAATGAAAGTGGATGTTTCTTATTGGTTAGAAGTAACACAAATATCAACTGGCCAAGTTCTCCACTCCAGCTTTCTGACAGAAGGGGCGTGTCTTGGAGCCTGGTGCTGAAGAGCCCCAGTTGATTATTCTCCGGCTTTAAAGGAATAACTGAGGAGAGGCAAAACAGCAAGAGAGGGGCATTCAGGATGTCCAAACCCTGCACTGGATGCGCTCACATTTTCACATCTATTTAGTCAGAGTAAGGTTCCTCCCAGATTGGGTCTCTGGCTGCTAGCACGGAAATCCTGCCCTTTCTGCAGGCCTAGCAACCTGGGTGTGCTGGCCCTTTTAGATCTGGGTCTAGGAAATGCCGTGCACTTCCCAGGTTGAGGAACAGACTTTTGGGTTTTCATGATTGCAGCCTTTCTGATGATGACATGTAGCCCTGAGTGCTCTGAGCCGGCAGTGATGGTGGTGGAGTGAGATAGAAGACCTGGTGCTTTCAGGCTGGTGTGTGGAGTTGGTTTTAAGCTTGACATTTAATGTTGGGAGTGTTTTGCTTTTTTAAAATTTTTCTGATTAATGTTTTTCTTTTTTGTTTGTTTTTTTAACTATACCAAAGGTGAAGCCTGATAGGAATAATGTTAGCGTTTCTTTTTTTTTGAGACAGAGTCTCACTGTGTCACTCAGGCTGGAGTGCAGTGGTGCGATCTCGGCTCACTGCAACCTCCGCCTCCCAGGTTCAAGCAATTCTCCTGCCTCAGCCTCCCAAGTAGCTGGAATTACAGGTGCATGCCACCACACCCAGCTAATTTTTTGTATTTTTAGTAGAAACAGGTTTCACTGTGTTGGCCAGGATGGTCTCCATCTCCTGACCTCATGATCTGCCCGCCTTGGCTTCCTAAAGTGCTGGTATTACAGGCGTAAGCCTCCACACCAGGCCCTTAATGTTAGCATTTCTTGACCTATCAGCACACATCTGCATAAAATATAATCATTATATTTATGATAATCAGAATTACTATTTTACTGGCAACTATATGCCAGACACTTTGTTAGGGGTTTTCATGTAGGATTCCAGCTCTTTAACAATAATCCTGCAGAGAAAATACTACCTTTCATTTACAGATAAGCAAAGTATGGCTCACAGAGTTAAATGACCTGCCCAGGTCAGAAGACATTCCTTCCCCATTCTCTCTGGCTCCAAAGTCCATGCTTATAGCTATGAGTTATAGTTTTCAACATGTGTTCCTGGTTGGCTCATGAAGTCTCATTTCATGGCTCTTGGAACAGCTTTGTAGTGTAAGGAAGACTGGTATATCTGCCTTCATCTTACTAGGTAAGATGGGGCTAACTTTGATGATTTGGGTATATGGCTATCTAGTGGAATGAATTCTCTTCCCTAGACTTCACAGTCTGGTGTTTGATGACACAGTGCTGCCCACTTTCTCCTCCATCTACACCTGCCAGGTAGCCCATAGCCTTGGGTTCTGATGATTTTCTTCTTTGTGAACAAATCTTTCTGAAACCTGAAGAGAGAATGAGATCCCTTCACTGCATCTGCAGAGCAATCACACAGTAGTAGACAGACAATGCTGCCAAATTGCCACCTTCTAGAATATGTCAAGAAACAAGCCAAATGGTAGGTATCTTTTGATATTTACTTGCTAAGACCAACAGGGAGAAACAGGAGAGCCAAACCATCAATGGTAAAATTGCATTGGCCTCTTTAGTCAAGAGGAAGCCAAACCAACCAATCTCTTTTCTCCTGGGTGAAGTTAGCAGGGAAGAAGTTAATTTACCCATCTACTTAAGCTCTGGCTCTGACAAACCATAGTTCCCATTAGTGTTTCCAGGCAAAAGTAGAATTGTTTGCTTAAACAGCTGTGATTAAGACCTAAATATCTTGGTTGCAGTTTGTGGCCAACTTTCCAGAAATGTCCCTGTAAGATAAGTGCTGTGTGGCTGGCAGTGATTTATGGGAAAGGAGAGGGGAAATCCTGGTTGTCTTGTGCCTCCTGGGCCTGCTGATAGGCCTCTGTCTGTGACACTGATGACACCTGGAATTGGCTACCTTCCACATAGGGCATCAGCGAGCCAGAAAAATCTAGATAAACAATGCCAGGGGCAAAGAAAACACATTAAACTATCAGGATTCAGACATCCTGAGGAGCAGAAGAGGATGAGAGTGCATCCAAAACACACACACAGAAGTTGAGGAACTGTCCTCATGCCTCCTGGTCCCTGGTAGTCTGGAGAAGGACAAGGAATGTTACTTTACAGGCTCTGAAGTCCTCAGGTTGAGCGGGACAGGTGGGTTTGGCATTTCTAAGCCTAAACTCTGGGCCTTCTGAGGGAATGAGGTGAGAGAGCCTCTGACCCCACCGCTATGTGGGTCACGCTGATCGCTGAGCATCTAAGCTGCTCCTTAGGTGCTGATCCTGTCACCTCGGTGCATTACAGGGGAAAAAGTCTCAGCCACAGCCTCTATGTTCTGTTTGCCTATAGGACCATGATACTGTTCCAGGCTTCAGAGGAGAAGAAATGACCCAATTTCAAGTGCGTACTGGGGGATTGAGGGCATCTTCTTGCTATTCCTCAAGCAAGCCAAGAGGGTTGCTATCTCAGGGTTTTAACACCTGTTTACTATTCCTAGAGTGACATTATCCAGAGAGCTTCCTGGTTCATCCCTTACTTCATCTGAGTCTCTGCTCAAAGTTTACTGCTTGAGAAAGGTCTTTTGTAACCATTCTACAAAAAAAAAAAAAAAAAAAAAAAAAATCCCTGTTGTCCCCATCACTCTTGCCTTCCTTTATTAAATTAAAATGTAAACTTATCTTTTGCCTCCAGTATAATGATGAAAGATCCTCAAAGACAGGGCTTTGCTCCTTTTATTCACCCTGTGTCTCCAGCTCCTAGTGCAGTGCCTAGAAAACAGGCATTCAATAAATAGTAAAATTACAGGTAAATCATTAAATCAAGGAACAAACAGATGAGCGGAGCAACGCTTAATATCAAAATACATGAGTGTCAATGACAATGGGTCACAATGCATTTTTCCTGAATGTGAACTTTTTCTTTTCTTTTTCTGAGATGGGGTCTATCTCTGTCTCCCAGGCTGGAGTGCAGTGGCGCAATCTCGGCTCACTGCAACCTCCACCTCCAGGGTTCGTGTGATTCTCCTGCCTCAGCCTCCCAAGTAGCTGGGATTACAGGTGCCTGCCATCACACCCAGCTAATTTTTGTATTTTTAGTAGAGATGGCGTTTCACTGTGTTGGCCAGGCAGGTCTCGAACTCCTGACCTTGTGATCCACCCGCCTCAGCCTCCCAAAGTGCTGGGATTACAAGCGTGAGCCACCGTGCCTGGCCCTGAATGTGAATTTTTAAGACATTTATTATGTTGAATAAAATTAAACAAAGGCTTACATAATTCTTTGATTTATTATTAATCATTTTGCCTTTGAACTTGATTTTATTTTAGAATTTACTTTAGGAATTGTATATCAAAGTTCTAAAGACACATTTAACAATAATAACTCATATTTTTAATAGTACTTTAAAGTTTACAAAGTGGTCCCATTTACTTTGGTTCACATGGGCTGAGCTCCAAAATCTCTCTCTCTCTTTCTGTGTGTGTGTGTGTGTGTGTGTGTGTGTGTGTGTGTGTGTGTGTGTGTGTGTGTATTTGTGTATTCCCTAGGTGTATGTAATCCTCAGTTAAGTTTGGGGATCACTGGAGTAGATGATTTCCGAGAGTAAGCCAACAGCCTGCTAAATTACAGTGGTGTTTTTGAGCCTGTTTCAAATAATTGAGTATTTTCAAGGAGAAGGCATTTCCTTCTCTATTCGAGGTTCCCCATCCATATCAGTTTCTACAGAGGTGACGCTCAGGCTGAGGGTGATTCTGAAACTCTTTTTAGAAGCTGTTGGAGAACATAAAAGGTAAAGGAAAGAGGTCCTTAGAGGCTGGGTGCTCACATTAACAGCTGCAGGAATGCTATAGACTGAAACTTGCTAAGGTCACAAGAGCCTTTCCTCTTAGTTCTTGATGCTTTGGCTTGGCTCCTTGTAAAATCTGAGCAGAACTGCCTTGGTTTCAATGGGGAGTGATAACATCCGTGAATCACCATGTGCTTTCTAGGCACACACTTGTTCTTCAGTTGTGACTGAAAAGAGCACAGGGGCAGACATGACCCTCAGGCAGGCATTGATATTTTGTGGGATCAGGTCCTGGGATTCAACAAAGCCAGTAATGAAGTGGATATGATATGAATTTGTTACTGACCTCACCCATCCAAAAGGCAGCTACCATCCAGGAAATCCTGTTTATATTTATGGGAGGATAGTAGACTGGCATGGCAAAGAGGATCCTGGAGGTAGTGAACCCTCTGGAGGATATAAACGTTGCTGCATTACTTTTCAGGAAAAAGAATGTGCGCTAAGGCAGAACTTGTAAATATTATGCAGCCTTTCTCCTCGTAAATATTCCCAGTGGACCACATAATGTGTCCATAGTTAGAATCACATAAAATAAGATTAACCATTCTTCCAGGAAGCTTGTTTTCATCACAGAACCATTGGAGAATCAGAAAGTCAACAGGAAATTTTAGGCAATGCCATACTATCATCACAGGCTGAGTTTCCGCATTCTTATAAAAGTCACTTTATTCTATTTGTCAAATACATTTTTATAAAGAAGAAGTATACCTTAATATTCACTCTTAATTTTAGGAAAATATGCGACAGACCTTTTTTATAGGCTGAGTTAATTGCAGAAGCTGAATGATGCCAGGATGAAATAATTCTCAACAAGGTTGATGGGTAAATCCAAAGACCTAAGACAAACAGTTTTCCAAGCTAAATGAACAAATGTTACAGCTTTCTGAAATAAACATTCAACAATTAGAGTTTCCCAGGATAAACTTACTCTATTTTAGTATTTCACACCAAGAGTCCTTGGAATATTTAAATCTTGAAATATTATGGGAAAATTTTTTGCCCTTTTAACATAGAATTTTAACTTTATGGTACAATAAACTTCATCTTTTCAGATAGAATGTAAATTTTAAAGTAATCATTTTATAAGTATTCACTAATTTTTTCCTTATTTTTTTCTTTTTTTTGAGATAGAGTGTCTCTCGCCGCCCAGGCTGGAGTGCAGTGGCACGATATCAGCTCACTGCAACCTCTGCCTCCTGGGTTCAAGCGATTCTTCTGCCTCAGCCTCCTGAGTAGCTGGGATTACAGGCACACGCCACCATGCCCAGCTAATTTTTGTACTTTTAGTAGAGACGGGGTTTCCCATGTTGGCCAGGCTGGTCTCGAACTCCTGACCTCAAGTGATCTGCCCGCCTCGGCCTCCCAAAGTGCTGGGATTACAGGCGTAAGCCATGGCGCCCGCCCTACTTTTTTCCTTATTTAACTGACAAGATAAAATATTTTCAATGACTGGGCACAGCAGCTCATGACTATAATCTCAGCACTTTGGGAGGCCAAGGCAGGCAGATCGCTTGAGCCCAAGAGTTCAAAACAAGCCTGGGCAACATGGCGAAACCCCATCTGTACAAAAAGTACAGAAATTAGCTGGCCGTGATGGTATGAGCTTGTAGTCCCAGCTCCTCGGGAGGCTGAAGCCAGAGAATCACTTGGGCCCAGGAGGTGGAGGTCACAGTGAGCCAAGGTCGTGCCACTACACTCCAGCCTGGGCGACAGAGAGAGGTCCTGTCCAGAAAAAAGAAAAATATTCTCAATTTATCTGTGTAAAACTTTCTTATTCCTTGAAGATTCTTTATTAAGTATTAACTGTGGCCATGGCTTCAGTTATATATTCTAGCCAAGATTAGGTCATAGATCTGGTCAGTGACAGAGAGTTTCAGGTTTAACAAGAATTGATTCGTCATTTATTTATAATGTGGTGAGCTCTTTGCCAGATGGAGTAAGTAAGGCTAAGAGAAGTGAAAGAAACATGAAAGAAACAGTTCCTGCTCTTGGGAAGCTTAAAACTGTGGCCCAGACATGATGTGGTATAGAAAACTATGTATATATATATATATATATACACACACACATAATATATTATATATAGTGTTTATATATAATATATAACGTTTGTACAGACTATATATATAGACTAGACTAGACAGTCTAAATATAGTCTATATATGTATATATAGTAGTCAATATAGACTACCATAGTCAAGGTGGATCTGTTCCTCAACACACACCTACCTCAGGCAGGCCAGACTATATATATATATATATATATATATACACACACACACACACATATATATATAGTGTCTATATAAACATAGAGTAGACTATATATAGTCTCTCTCTATATATAAACTTAGACTATATATAGCATACTATATATAGACTTTAGTATATATACTATATAAAGACTATAGTCTTTATACTTTATGTAGTATATATACTATACAAAGACTATGTAGTCTCTATACATAGACTGTATATGGACTACTCTATATAGACTACTGTATATAGACTATATATACTATATTACTATACTATATATACTGTACTATATATACTATATAGTATATATAGTAGTCTATATATATAATTCTATATAGAGACTGTATATACTATATATACTCTCTCTATATATTTTATATATATATATATATATGTATACACATACACACACATATACATATATATTAGCCTGCCTGATGTAGCTGTGTGTTGGGGAACAGATCCATCTTGAATGCAAGCCAGGTAACCACCCGGAGACAATTTGGAAAAACAATGAAGAGCTGAAAATCTCTTTTATTTTACTATCCAATTTGCCAAACTTTTGTTGAGCACCTCAACAAAAGCAGTGTCCAGTTCTGAACACTGGAGATACAGAGGAAGAGCAAAGAATATATGCTGTTTCCATAGGCTAAGGGCAAAGAGAATTAACTGGGTGACTTTTCCCAGATGTCTTCAATCCATGCATGGTTCAGCCCTTAGAGTGTGCATCTATCGAATGATGCATACTGCAGATGAAACACTGACTCACTCCTTTGAGTCCTGACTGTGACATATTTTGCCCGAACAGTTCCCAGACCCTCCCTGCTATTCTCTCTGCTTCCGCTCTTGCCTCGTTACATTCCATACTTCACACAGCAGTGCTTGGCCTTGGACACCAAGGTGGTGAGTAAATAAACCTTCTTTTTCTCTAAAGATTTCATTAGAAATTCCTAAGGGTTGATAGACCAACCATTCACATGTACCTGTCATTACCTTTAACTGCTGAAATATCCATCATGATCTTACTCCATCTCCCATGGTAAGTTCTCTCAGCCTTCATGTGCTTTCATTGCAGTTGCCACAAAAAGTCCTACGGCTGAAGAATACACTGTTAATATTGAGATCAGTTTTGAAAATGCATCCTTCCTGGATCCTATCAAAGCCTACTTGAACAGCCTCAGTTTTCCAATTCATGGGAATAACACTGACCAAATTACCGACATTTTGAGCATAAATGTGACAACAGGTGAGTAAGAGACCCATTGCTTCAGAATAAATGATTGGATGTCTTGAGACAGACTGTCTGAGCTCCTGAGTATCAGAGCAATCTTTTACTTAGTAGGCAAGTGAAATGACTCACCGAGACGGATGTGTGATTCTGTGACTTCACAGCCTTCCTGAATGAAGCCTCTATCAGTAAACTCTGCAGCCAGAGGTTTCTTATTTTAAATGGTGACCAAAGGTTTGCTTGGTGGTTTGTATGATGCTTGTCATAAAGTGATCCCAAGATATGGCCAGGTCCTTCATAATAAACTACTGGGTCCTCTTCCCTTGGGCAGATAAACTACTGGGTCCTCTTCCCTGTGTCCTCCTCCCTTGGTATATCAATGGACACAACAAGGACTGGTTCAAGATATTAGTAAGTACCAGATACCCTTCTCTTTGGCATTATAGGTCAGGAAATAGGAAACAGGTACATGCCTGCATCAGAAGCAAGGCATTAAGTAGAACCTCTTAGGCCATAGATTGGACTTTCTGGTTGCAAACTCTTTTCCAAGGTCATGCTAACTTCCCTATGTCTCCAGAAACCATCACCCAAGACTTGGTATACAGTAGAAGTTGTGAGATAAGGCTTCCAGTTATCTGATAACAGGGAATTGTTTTTTAAATTGGAAAGCACTAATAGATGTTGGGTTTTATTATTCTAAAATGAAGGCAAGAAAAAATTCCTGTTTTTGAAATTCTTCTTGAATTCGCATATTTCAAATAGTCCATCCCAATGTCGGTACATGCATTTTAATTTTTGATTCTTAATATATGTTACTCGAAGTCATAGCTCCCTTATCACTCCTTTTGGATGCCATTTCCCACTGATTTCTACCATTAGCACTAATTTCCTTGAGTTAGTGGTTTTCCAGTTGGATGCCAATGTGCATTATGAGTCCTTCAGGAGCAGTGAACTTCTGCTGTGTTTCCCACTGTTTATCCATAGAACATCTCACCGAACTAGGGTACTTTGGAAAATACATAAGAAACACCCTTCTATGTTCCCACCCGGCACAGATCTTTTGCCTTTAGAATAAATTATTGGATAGATTTTAGTCAATTTTGCTTCCCAAATTTTTTAACAGAAACCTTTTGGTATCTCTGTAGGTGCTAGTAAGTGAATCCAGTAAACAAAACAGACCAAGTATCAAAAATAGTTTTTTGTTGAACAACTTGTGATTATAGACACTTGAGCTTTAGTTGTGAGTTTATCTTACATATATTCAATATAAACATACTAACAAACTCTCTCTGATTTTTTTCTACTAGAGATGGGATGACTTCAAGAGGCTTCACCATCTTAAAAACTTGGGTTAACAAGCTTCTCAATTAAAATGCAATTGACCTTGGAAAGTTTAATTTATCCTTCCAGAAAGACTGGTCATTCACACATAGAGGGGGTGAATCTTTTCTGATAGTGATCTATGAAACAGGTTTGACAAAAGTGGATACTTCAATGTGGCAGAGAAAGCCTCAGGCTCATGGACCTCAGGACCAGCAGGGAACAGCTAAGAGGAGTTGGCCTAAAAGAGGAAGTGAATGGGATGGGTGGGCAATGAAGGTTAGGCCTACTGACCATGGCACTAATGTCTAAGCATCCAAACTTTCACCATCTTCCTTTTTCCATCCTTCCCTCGCCTCATTCTTCCAACAGCCTACCTTATGATCCTTTTTTAGTAATGGCAAATAAAACTGAGGATATTTAAAACCGGACAATGTGAGTAAAGCACCGAACAATACCTGGGATATGTCAGGTGGTCTGGAAGTGGTAACTTTTTCCATTCTCCTAAGGCATGTTTGCATTTTATGTGGGACTCAAAAGTTCTTCAACTACTCCTCCCATAATGCTCCCTTACAAAACAGAAGACAATAACAAAATTGCTTTAGCACTGGAATTTCATGTCAGTAAGAGAGATTTCAACAAGTGGGATCCTGTTGGCTATCCTCAAATTACCTCTAGCGGGCACTCAGCTTCTTTGTTAGTAGCTCCAGTTTCTTCTATTTCTAATTCTCCTGCCCCACTGCCACCCACTGCTGGGACACAGGCTGCATCAGTGCCCAAGGAATTAACTCGAACGTGTTGTCCCTCCTATTTCAGAAACAACTATTTGATAACTTCCCTTTGGATAGTCACTCTGTGGGACTTTGCCTGGCTACCCATCTGCAGAACAAACAGCTCCCAAAGATGTGACTTTGGTCTAGCTTTGGAAATTGATTCAAAGCACTCTGATTTCAGAACATTTCTTACTGTCTCCAATGAGAGCAGAGTTCATGTAGGCTGTTCACACCTGACTTGATATGTAAAAGACACAAATTTACTTGCACTCTACATTTGTTATCTATTGGTGCACAACAGAGTCTAAAACCTAGCATCATAAAATAACAAACAGTTATTATCTGAGAGTTTTTTAAATCATTGTATTTATATTTGTTAAGAATTAAGATGTAGAAGGTGGAAGTATTGATGAGTGTTGGTACTAACAGTTATATGAAAATAAACTTCTATACACGTATAAACTTATTTGCCTTATAAACTATATCTACAATAGTCTACAAATAGAGGTATGCTCTAACATACATCCTGCAGCATTTAACATGTAGAAAGGAAGCATTGGTCCTTTTTGCTCACTCTGGGAGATGAAAATGCACTAAAGCCGTGAAAGTCACTCACTGCAATGCCAAGGTTGACCCTTCTTTTTATGTGGTACATAGGCCCAGAGATGAACCAGCCCCAGGCCAGAGGGTCTCACTTTAATTTGAGAATGCTTATTCTTCCTCACTGGGGCTTCCATCAAGACAAGACCTCTTGTTTTTCTCTGCGAGTGCGGGATGTAAAAGGAAACTTTTTTCTTTTTGTCTTTGTGTCCTAAGCAGGGTTTTTATGGTAATGGAAAAACAAAAAGTTTAGTTCTCTTATTAGAAGATAGACTCAGTTTTTGAGGGTCAGAAATCTTAGAGCAGCTTAGCTGGGTGGTTCTGGCTCAGGGTCTCTTGTAAGTTTATAAATAATCTATCAACCAGTGCTGTCATCATATGAAAGCACAACTGGCATATGAAAAAAAATTCTGTTTTTTCTTTCTTCCTTTCTTTCTTTTTCTTTTTCTTTTTTTTTTTTTTTTTGAGACAGGGTCTCACTTTGTTGCCCAGGCTGGAGTGTAGTGGTTGCAATCTCAACTCACTGCAACCTCTTCCTCCCAGGCTCAAGCAATCCTCCCACCTCAGCCTCCTGAGTAGCTGGGACACACCACCATGCCCAGCTAATGTTTTTGTATTGTTTGTAGGATAGGGTTTTGCAATGTTGCCCAGGCTGGTCTCAAACTCCTGGGCTCAAGTGATCCAACTGCCTTGGCCTCCCAAGTGCTGGGATTATAGGAGTGAGCCACTGTGCCTGGCCTGTAAAATTTATTTCTAAGCTAACTCATGTGGTTGTTGGCAGCCTCCAGTTCCTCACTAGCTATTGGCTGTAGACCTCAGTTCCTTGCCATGTGGACCTCTCCATGATGTGTCTTCATGCCATGGCAGTCAACTTCCCCCAGAGTGAGGGGAGAAAGAGAAAGAGAGAGAGCAACCAAGAGGAACTATAGTGTTTTTAATAACATAATCTCAGAAGTGCCATACCATCACCTCTACCTTATTCTGTTGATTACATAGACCAATCCTAGTACAATATAAGAAGGTAGTACAAAAGGGTTTGAATACCTAGTGGTAGGGATGGGCAAAGGTCATCTTGGAGGCTAGCTACCTTATACTTATCATCATAGACATCTGGTGGCTATTAGCTATTAGGCATGACTATCTAAAAGATGACTTAGCCATTCATCACTCAACCGTCACAGCAGTCATCTTTCAGATTGTCATGGCTAATAGCATGGTGATGCATACATGCAAATATCAATTTTATGCAGTGCTATTGAACTTCTCAGAAAGGTAATATAAAGTCAGATTCGGATGTTCTTCAAGAATGAATACCTGCAGGCTATAAATACAAATATGGTGACCACCTTCTCCACCTTCTCTCTCCTTGCTGTTCTGATTAACGATAGTCTGCAGACCTGCTGGAAATGAAATCTGGTGCTCCTGCGAGACAGGTTATGGGTGGCCTCGGGAAAGGTGTCTTCACAATCTCATTTGTCAAGAGCGTGACGTCTTCCTCCCAGGGCACCATTGCAGTTGCCTTAAAGAACTGCCTCCCAATGGACCTTTTTGCCTGCTTCAGGAAGGTAAGTAACTGCTCATTAAATGCTCGTTGAGTGGCTATTCAACATCAGTTTACGACTGGGCATGGTGGCTCATGCCTGTAATCCCAGCACTTTGATAGTCCGATGTGGATGGATCACCTGTGGTCAGGACTTTGACAGCAGCCTGGCCAACATGGTGAAACCCTGCCTCTACTAAAAATGCAAAAATTAGCTGGATGTGGTGGCACATGCCTGTAGTCCCAGCTACTCGGGAGGGTGAGGCAGGAGCATCACTTGAACCTGGGAAGCAGAGGTTGCAGTGAGCTGAGATCGTGCCGTTGCACTCCAGCCTGGGAGACAGAGGGAGACTCCATCTGAAACAAACAAACAAAAACAGCTTACAAATGTTTCTGGTTTGTATATACTCAGACATTAACATATTTTTAAATATTGCCCTGTGTTTTTCAACAGATGTTACCCTGAACATGAGAGTCAGACTAAATGTAGGCTTTCAAGAAGACCTCATGAACACTTCCTCCGCCCTCTATAGGTCCTACAAGACCGACTTGGAAACAGCGGTAGGTTTTGGCCCCAAGAACCTCTTAACTAACAAACTGTTTGGACTGAACTGAGTCTATTGCATTCACAATGAACATGGCTTGGATCTGTCAGAATTTACGGATGTGGATTTATTATTCTTTTACATCTGAGATGGTGAATTAATATGTGCTCAAATCAAATCATGTTTAGGGGACAGTGTGACTCACCTTGACCTATAAGCATAAATTTTTCTCAGGGTGGAACTGGTTCAGTTAAGATTTCGTGGCATCAATTCACTAAAACGTATTCAAAGCCCCAAGAACCTATAGCCTACAAGCATGAGTTGGTGCATTTCTATTATTCATATATCACATGAATGAAACCCCTAACAACTTTTGGGCAGACCAACCCGTGGCTGAGCACAGAGGGTCTCAAACCACTCTACACCAGAGGTTGCTAGGCATTCATACCTAAGACAGATATAAATTGATTCACATAAAAATAGAGAGTATTCCAACAGTGTTAACTGTTTGTCAGCCCTGTCTTGAGTGCTTCACATTGAATTGATCCATCTAAACCTAAACACTTTGCTAGAGTTAACATATTTGGAACAGAGCTTCCCAATGGATGTGGCACAGATTATTACAGGTGGGCTGAGATAATGACTTCCCTTCTCCTGGCAGCCGAGCCCTGTCTTAGGCTGTCAGCTGAGCCCTGCCTTAGGCTGTCAGCACCCTCCTGCTCATCTCAGCATGTAACCCAAATATTGTCATCTCCCATGAGTGCCTTGATGAAGTGCCGCTTCAGAAGAGCTCTTGGATGTTTGATTTACATTTCTGGCATGTAATATGTCTGCACAGCAGGAGAACCCTCCTCACACACACACTACACTAAATTATATGCTTTGAAAGAGAGAGTTACATAGCAACCACCTAGGTACCTGGCACACCAACCAATCCTGCAGTATGGCAGCCATGAGGGTGCCCCTCACAAACCTCCAACTACAGGTCATGTAATGGAGCAAGGGCTGCAGCTGCTGCTTCTGAAATCCACGACCATCACCGCTGCTCCCTACCAATGAAGGGGCACAACACATCTGTGTCTGGCAGACACTGGGACTCCTTGGAAGGCTTTATTGAACATTTCCAAGCTCAGGCTAGGATGATTTTAGCCAACCTTCCTTCCCTCTCTTTCATTTGGGAGTCTGATGGCTCTCTCTGTCTTCCCTGCTCCCTCCACGTTTTCTTTCCTAGACATTTCCCTGAGTAAATTTTTTGCACATTTCATCTAGTCTACTTCTCGGAGGACCCAGGCTGACATAGATAGGAATTACTTCTTCAGAAATCTAATGCCCACAGTTAACAAAATAGACAGAAGATAATTTTACCTAGTGTGATTAGGAATATGTGGTTTTTACTCTGCTTCAGATCTTTTGATACACCTATTTCTCGACTTTGATATATGACATTCATCTTGCTTTATTTTTCAGTTCCGGAAGGGTTACGGAATTTTACCAGGCTTCAAGGGCGTGACTGTGACAGGGTTCAAGTAAGAATACTTTAATTTGATCATTTCTAATTTATGGCTGGGATCCATATGGTAGTGAAGGAGGTAAACCCCCTAGAGAGGCATTATTCATGTGGAATCCTCAGCAGGAGCAGTTTGGTAGAGGTGAAAAAAGTACCTCACCCCTTACAGATGTACCTGTTTAAAAGAAAGAGAGAAAAAGACTTGTGTTCATTCTATATATGTGCAAAAAATTTTGCAAGCAAAGATAAGGGATAAGTTTGTAGTCCAAATAGTTCAGAAATATAAAAATGAAATAATGCCATGCAATGATGTCTTTCTTCCAGAAGATCCTGCTGGCCAGTCAGATCCATAGATTTGCATGCTGCATCAGGCAGTTTGTGCTATTTTGTTTCCTAAGCAAATAAGCCATAAATATCTAGACTCTTCCAGGTCAGTTATTGTTTTACTGAACTGAGTGGTCTCTGTCCAGGTCTGGAAGTGTGGTTGTGACATATGAAGTCAAGACTACACCACCATCACTTGAGTTAATACATAAAGCCAATGAACAAGTTGTACAGAGCCTCAATCAGACCTACAAAATGGACTACAACTCCTTTCAAGCAGTTACTATCAGTAAGTGAAATTGTTTAGATATGGTCATGTTATTTATGGTTATGCGTAAACCTAGGAAATTAGTTTATGCTACAATGTCCTCTGGGAAGCTAGACACTCCAGTTCCTGGCACAGGGGGTTCTGTACCACCTCCTCCTCTTATGCCAGTGCCTCCCAATCTGACTAATGCCACTGTACCTGGGGTGTGTGGAAAAGGGGCACAGGGATTTACAAGGGGGCCACAGAGCCATCTGGGTTTGTGTATAACAGATCCAAAACTAAGTAAAAAAAGTAAAACTAATATCACAGTGGAGGTTTAAATATTCACAAAATGCACCAATAAGAAATAGAGGGCCATTGTTTTAGAGCAGTAGGCCTCAGAGTGCAGCCCTCTGTCATCCCGGCTGGAGTGCAATAGTGTAATCATGGCTCTCTACAGCCTCTACTTTCCTTGCTCAAGCGATCCTCCTGCTTCAGCCTCTAGGGTAGCTGGGGCCACAGGTGCACACCTCCATACTCAGCTAACATTTTTTTTTTTATTATTTTTTGTAGAGATGGGACCTCACTATGTTGCCCAGGCTGGTCTCATACTCCTGGCCCCAAGCAAACCTCCCACCTTAGCCTCCCAAAGTGTTGGGATTACAGGCATGAGCCACCATGCCTGGCTGTGTTTTTATTTTTATTTGTGAAATGATAAGGCAGTGATCCCATGGATTTTTACTGCCAAAACAATAATAAGAGCTACAGTTTCTCCAAGTCACCTCCCAATGTAACTCTCTCTTGCTGCTCCTGTTTTCCAGACAGTGGAACTAAGGCTCGGCCAGACTAAGCAAGTTCCTCAGGGCCACACAGCTATGGGTGGGACAGAACCAGGATTCAAATCCAAACTTACTGTCTATAAAGCTCCCACTCTTAAAGAGGTCCATGAGTATTAGGAAATTCTTATTTCTCAAGCAGACTTTATTATAATTAATTAATTTGTTTTTACATTTCTAAATCCTTCAAGACTTAGGTCAGAGCTTTCAATAAGCTTGAGATATTGGTTACTGATAAGAAGCAGTTGATATTATTCCAGTGTGTAGCACAGAAACTTGGTATTTAAGTTTGTTTTTTTTTTATAAAAAAATGTGCAATTTTCTACCACACTTTTTGAAATATTGAAAATAGCTTTAAAATCTCCATTACTGCCGTTAAGGAGCCATAGGGCAAACACCCCAGTCGGGAAACCCTGTCCCTGGCATGTGGCAGGACATACCTCCTCAGGGCTCAGACACCAGCTGCATGGGAATGGAGTGAGGAGACACATTGCCTCAGCCAGTTCAGCACCACAGATGCTGTCAAGATCTCCAAGAGCCTTGTGGTGGTTGTGTGTGGTGAGTAGCATCAGTGACATTTATTTGCTTTGGGATCTTATTAACTTTTCTTTGGGTTTCCAGATGAAAGCAATTTCTTTGTCACACCAGAAATCATCTTTGAAGGGGACACAGTCAGTCTGGTGTGTGAAAAGGAAGTTTTGTCCTCCAATGTGTCTTGGCGCTATGAAGAACAGCAGTTGGAAATCCAGAACAGCAGCAGATTCTCGATTTACACCGCACTTTTCAACAACATGACTTCGGTGTCCAAGCTCACCATCCACAACATCACTCCAGGTGATGCAGGTAGGTCTCCATTCAGTAACTTGTGTGAGGAATGGAATGAAGAGCTTATAAAGAAGCAAATATGTAATAGTGTTTTACGTAGCTATGTAGATAGTGTTTTTCTCTTCCAAAATAAGTCTCCTGGTTCAACCTTTCAAAACTGAAAATTAATCCGATATGTATTAGTCCATTTTTACACTGCTGTAAAGAACTACCTGAGATTGGGTAATTTATGAAGAAAAAAGGTTTAATTGACTCACAGTTCTGCATGGTTGGGGAGGCCTCAGGAAACTTACAATCATGGCAGAAGGCAAAGGGGAAGCAAGGCATGTCTTGCATGGCAGCAGGAGAGGGAGAGAGGGTCTGGGGAATTGTCAAACATCTGGTTTTAAACCATCAGATCTCATGAGAACTCACTCCCTATCATGAGAACAGCATGGGGGAAACTGCCCCCATGAGAAAATCACCTACCACCAGGGCCCTGCCTGAACATGTGCAGATTATAATTCGACATGAGATTTGGGAGGGGACACAGAGCCAAATCATATCACCGTGGTATTAATTGTTAATTAATTTTAAAATTCATTATTTTCATTATTTGTTTTATTATAGTATATAATATAATTATTTTCATTATTTTGTTTTAGTATATAATATTACTTTATTATTAATTTAATTTTCAATTGATTTTTAAAAAAATTTAAAATAGCTTTGTTGAGGAAGGAATTGATATATAATAAACTGTACATATTTAAAAAGTCTTGACACACGTGCACCTGTGAAATCATTACTACAATCAAGAGAGTGAACGTATCCATCGTTCTCCCTGCCCTCACCAAATTTTCTGGTTCTCCACTGTTATCCCTCTCTTCGGCTTTCTCCTGTCCTCTTGCCCGCTCCAAGCAACTACAGAAGCAAGCATAAGGCTTAATTCTTCCCTAAGACTAGTGGTGAACCTGACATATTCTGGAATGTAATAGCCGCATTGTAACTCAGATGCCAATGGGGCCATCTTCTTTTCTCTGCATGATGAGGTGGGCTATAGACATATGGGTCCTATCACATAGTTGTTGATTTTGATTTACAACATGGTTAAATACTACGGCAATATTACCCATCTTTTTCTAATTCTCCAAGGCTTTTCGATTTTTCTTTTCTACTTCTTCTATTGTTATACTTTTTTTCTTATTAGAAAAGTCCCTAAAATTTCTACTATTTCCTTAGAACATCTCTGTACTCCACTTTGTGGCATGAGAAATATCTGCACTTCCTGAATTCCTGAATGGTTTTTTAGGCGTCTTTAGACCAAGTCTCAGATGCTTTTGAAAATGATACTTCATGAAGTACTGTCATGATCCATGAGCTGACGGTACATTCCTCTAAGAAAATACACATGTGTTATAATAATACATGATTTTGTGTATTTTATGCAGGTGAATATGTTTGCAAACTGATATTAGACATTTTTGAATATGAGTGCAAGAAGAAAATAGATGTTATGCCCATCCAAATTTTGGCAAATGAAGAAATGAAGGTGATGTGCGACAACAATCCTGTATCTTTGAACTGCTGCAGTCAGGGTAATGTTAATTGGAGCAAAGTAGAATGGAAGCAGGAAGGAAAAATAAATATTCCAGGTGAGAATGTTAGATAAGCCCTTTTGCAAATAGGTTTTTGCCTCTTGGCCAAGTAGAAATGGGAGATGTGGCGTATGGAAGGGGAAATGTCAGATGGCTGTTATTTTCTGGATTTCAGACTGTGAAAAGGCATTAGGTTTGATGCCAGCTCCAGCTTAGCCACTCTAGAACAAGACCCCAAAAATATATGCACACAAGTGTCGTGCTTTGGTTGTAGATGAGATCCCAGCAGCAGAAGACCCAAGAAATTAGGATCCCGATGACTTAGGTCGATGGCATTTTGGATCTAAAAAAAGACAAGAAAAGCTTGTGCTCACCTTCCTTTCATCTTCAGCAAAGAGCTAAGGATGAGGTCATTTGTCATTGAGGTCTGACTTGGAGCTTCTCCTTTCTGTGTCTCTTCTCCTGGTGTCTGGTCCTTCTCACTTCTCTGCCTTTGTATCTATGCATACCTCAATATTTTCTATCTCTGTGCCTCCAGCTTTATCCCTCTCTCTCTGCAGACCTGTTTGTCTCTCAGTCATTTCATATGATTTCTGATCCTGTTAGCTTTTGTTTTCAATCTGAAATCTTACCTAAAGTTCCCCACCCTCCAGTTTATATTGATGAATAATAATAATGGTAATAAATTAAAACAGCAATACTGACTCTGTTTTGTATAACAGTTTATGATTAACCCTTTAAAAAATATGTTACTGCTTTTAAATTGCTTGACCACAAATTTGAAGCATTTTACTTCCAATTTGCAAATAAGGAAATTGAGGTTCAGATTATATGACTTATCCAAGGTTGTCAAATATGAAAAAAAAGAAAGAAGAAAGAAAGAAAGAAAGAAAGAAAGAAAGAAAGAAAGAAAGAAAGAAAGAAAGAAAGAAAGAAGGAAGGAAGGAAGGAAAGAGAGAGAGAGAGAGAAAGAAAGAAAGAAAGAAAGAAAGAAAGAAAGAAAGAAAGAAAGAAAGAAAGAAAGAAAGAAAGAGAGGAAATAAATTAGGACTCACCAAAGGTCTTGTTTCACAAAACCAGTGTCTGTCTTGGCCAAACTATATTATGCATGCCTGGTGGGCCAGCACTGGAATGAGCTAGTCAGGCAGAGTTTGAACAGTGTTTTACCTAGAAACTGCATAGAGCAAGATCCAACTCTTCTCTTAAGAAACAACAGTATAATGCGCTTATCTGTAAAGAAAAAGTCTTTAAAGTAAAATGTGGCTTTACCCATGAAATACATTAGTGTGGTGAACCTTCATTTTACAAAGCCTTAGCTATGGAAATTGATTAAATTATTTTTAAAAAATTATCAGAACAGGGGCGGTGGCTCACGCCTGTAATCCCAGCACTTTCAGAGGCCGAGGCAGGTGGATCATCTGAGGTTGAGCATTGGAGACGAGCCTGGCCAACACGGTGAAACCCCATCTCTACTAAAAATACAAAAAATTAGCTAGGTGTGGTGGTGTGCACCTGTAGTTCCAGCTACTTGGGAGGCTGAGGCAGGAGAATCACTTGAACCCGAGAGGCCGAGGTTGCAGTGAGCAGAGATCATGCCACTGCACTACAGCCTGGGTGACAGAGTGAGACTCTGTCTCAAACAACAACAACAACAAAAACTATCAATTTACAGGCAAATTTTCCTAAGCACATGTAATTTCCAAAGGACAGTTCACCTGCAAGCATTTGTATTAGACATAAGTACTCAGAAGAAAGGCATGTGGTAACAGCTGAAAATGTTGACACATGATACATGGAGTCACTTCCCTGATTTCTAAGGAAGAGGAGGTGTAGGTATCCTGAAGGAACTGCCAGATGGAAGAAAGGCCTTGCACAATTCCTGTGGTACTGGCTTAGAAGCTTTCAACCCCGAAAGGTGAAAAACCTGGCCTTCTGGCAAAGGAATCAGGAAGTCTGTGGCGCAGATGCTTAGAGCGGGATGAATGACTGCAGAACAATGGATTTCCTGCCTCAGGGCTGGCAGCCTGGGGACCTGCACCGTGGTTTCTCTGATGGATTTAGCCTCTGCCTTGGCACCCTGCCCTTCTTTCTCCTGCCCTTGCTGCTTCCTCTCTGCAGCTCTCTTCTCCAAATTCCACAAGTTCTACTAACAACCATTTTTCCAAGTCTGTAGAACACAATCAAGCAAAAGAATTTACCCAAAGCATTTGGAACTGAATGAATGACCTGCTCTCATAAATGGTCGCATATTCAAAGCACTCTGGAAAAGGATGAGACGGAAAGGAAATAATCAACAATGGCAGAATTTCTAACTTTAAGAAACTAAAATTCAATGAAGATTTCCTCCCACATGGGAAAAAAGTGAAGGAGTATTCTTTAAGGGTATCAACGCAATCACAAAATAGTTATTGTGGTAGATTCAATGTATTCAACTCTGGTTTTTTTGTTTCATTTTGTTTTTTGTTTGTTTGTTTGTTTTTTGAGATAGAGTCTTGCTTTTGTCACCCAGGCTGGAGTGCAGTGGCGCAATCTCGACTCACTGCAACCTCCGCTCCTGGGGTTCAAGGGATTCTCCTGCCTCAGCCTCCCGAGTAGCTGGGATTATAGGTGCCTGCCACCACACCCTGCTAATTTTTCTATTTTTAGTAGAGATGGGGTTTCACCATGTTGGTCAGGCTGGTCTCGAACCCCTGACCTCCACCCACCTTGGCCTCCCAAAGTGCTGGGATTACAGGCATGAGCCACTACACCTGGCCTCAACTCTGTTTTCAATGTTTACATTTATCATCTTGGTTTTTCTCCACTCCCCACACAAAGTCTTGCAAAGCAGGTACCATCACCACCATTTTATAGAGGAAGGTCTGGGATGTCATCTAATTTTGAACAACAAAATTGTAATTGCATACCTTCTCTTCTCCAGAAAGCAAAGTACCAACTTATTAGCTGCATTCAGTACCTCCCATGCAGGGCTCCTGGTTGCACAGTCCCAGGGGTGTTGTAGGAAACACGATGTGAATGATGCCAATTTGGAAGTCCTGCTTGTGTTTTCTGAGTTTACCACCTCTTTGGAGCCTTTTCTCCACTCTTTCTCTGAATCTCAGCCTAACAAAAGTAGTTATTGTTCTCTGAACAAGACCTGCATGCTGCTGCTTCTGTGTTTTTGCTTATAGCAGTGGTTTTCTGGGTTAACAGTAGAATCCATTTTTCAAGCAGAATCTTGCATGGCTGTCTAATGCAAGTCTTCTCAACTCAGCACTATTGACATTTTGGGTCAGATAATTCTTTGCTGGGTGGAACTGTTCTGTGCATTGTAGGATATGTAGCAGCATCCCCAGCCTGTACCTACAAGATGCCAGTAACATCTCCAGTTACAACAACCAAAAATGTCTCCAAACCTTGCCAAATGTCCTCCAGGGAGGCAAAATTGCCCCTCATTGAGAGCACATCTAATGTGTAAAGCAGACCAAAGTGGAGCTGCTGTGGTTAGAAAAAGGGTGAAGGGATTGGAGCCCACACAGTTTATTATCCTTCCACCCCCCTCAACACAGCCCCAGCCCCTGAAGCAGCTTGATGGAATGCCAAGTTTTCCAAGGAGTATGGATTTACTCACACACAACCCACATACAACCACATACCAGAACTACAGCCGCCATTTCTATCTATTAAAATCCTGAATGTCTGTTAAGGCCTAGAGCAAATCTTCCCCTTCTCTGAAATCTTCCCTAATCTCTCAACTAAACATCCCTCCTTTAATCTACATAACATATTGACTTCTTTCTTATGGAACCTACCCACTGCACACTATCATTATTTCTGTACATCTGTTTATACACTCCTTCTTGCATAGATCATTGTCTTGTACATTAGTTTGGTGAGATAAATGGGTCTTTAAGGATCAGTAAGAATCAGCAGGAGGAAGAGGGAATGAGAATATTTCAGGTGTGAACAGAGGCATGGAGGTGCAAAGCTACAGGGCATGTTCAAGCCCCAGGAGATGATCTAATTTTTCAGAGAGAGCTATAGAAGATAAAGAGAAGAGAAGCAGATTGGAATCACACTGTGAATAATTGAATATACCAGGCTAAGAGGGATTTTACTGTATTCTGTAGGCAATGGTAAGGTTTTAAAGGTAAAAAGAGGGACATCAGATGGTGAGAGCTGAACTTAGGAAAAATAAGTTTTAAGGTCTGATAGCCAATAGATTGCAGGGGCAAATAACTGAAAATAGAGACTCAGCTACAATCATGTGTAATGGGCAGACCACAGATAATGGGGTCTGAGCAAGTTACCATGGGTAGGAGTGGATAAGACAATAGTGAGATATTTCAGAAGAGTAATCTAAAAGTTTCTTACAACTGAGTAGGGGTAAAAGGTGAGTGCATGCAAGTAATTTAGGATTTTTTGTTTGGGGAAATGCCAAGTGCAAAGAAAGGACACATTGGAAGATGTACAGGTTTTATCTGGGGAGAAAAAAGATGAGTTCTTAAATGGACCAATTGAGTTGAAGGTACCGAAGATGTCAGAGCAACACTTGGGAATTTGCTTCTAAAGTTTCCAACGAGAGTGTTGCTCTTAGAAATAGAGTGGGAGTCATCCAAATTTGAGCTATACTAGAAGCCATAGGTATAGATGAGATTGCCTGCAGAGAGAATAGAGAAAAAGATGAGGAAAGGGGCAATCTTTGAGAAGAGGATGAAGGAAAAGAGCCTGAAAGGGAGACCCAGAAGGAGGGATGAGGAGAAAAGAGGGGCGGGAGACATCTAGGACTCAAGCATGCCAAATCAGAGAGAAGGTGGTCAGGAGAATGGGATGCTGCAGTCAAAGTAGCATGAGGGGAGGCCACTGGATACGGGAAAGGGGAGGTCACTGTTGGCCTTAAAGGAACACTTTCGGTAGAGGAGAGGGTGAAGAAGGCCAATCGCAAAGACTTGATGAGAAACGGGAGTGAAAAATTGGAAGTGGCAAACACAGAAGCATGGTGGTATGAAGAGAGGAAGAAATGCAGTGGTGGCTAGGGAGCATTCAGACTGGGGAAAGACCATTTCAGGAAGGGAGACTTGAGTGTATCTGGGGGTTGAAGGGGAGGAAATCTGGGAGGAAAGATTAAAGACACAGGGTGAGGAAGGGCAAAGGATGAAGGGATGTCCTGGAAGAATTAGAAGAAGTGGATTTTCAAAAGATAAGTGGCGGGGTGAGCCTTAGAGATGGGCACAGACACTCATGTCTGTGAGCTAGGAGGTAATTTAGTCAAGATAGATAAAGAGGGAAATCAGTTTCGTGTTTCAAACAACCTTTCTGGGGTCTAGGGAGAAAAGCTAGTTACATGTTGATTGAAATATGTCAAATATCATTGATCAGCCACGGCTGAAAAAGACACATTTACGTTGGAACTAATCAAAAGGCTTATTCTTTTTCCTTCATTTTCGGAAGATTGATAGTGTTTGAAGATTCCCTTAGGAGTGCATGGCAGCAGGCAAGGTGGAAGGAGGGAGAGTAAAGGGACTAGAGTAGGAAAAATCAGCCACAGGGTGTTGTAGAACCCGAGGCAATAGGAAAGATGGCATGGAGGGCATGGTATTTCTGGGAAAGGAAAGAAAGGTATGGAAAGGGAGCTATTTTGAAGGGGAAGCTGCTGGTAACTGAGAATGCATGAAGTTGAAGTTTTCACTAAAACATAGAGATTTAAACAGGGAACATGCTGTGAAAAATGCTCAAATAAGATGAATATCAGGTGCCCCAGTATTGCTTCTTCCCCTTTTTAATAATCATAATAATCTAAATAATCTGACATCTGTTCTTCCAGTTAAATCATACCCAAACAGCTTGCTTCTCTTTTTTTATTGTTCACATTCAAAAAACCATCGCTCATGGTCTTTGTTGGGGAAGGCCCCAGTCAGGTACTTTTCTAAGAGTTTATGTATATTATCTCATTTAACATTACGGTGGTCCTGGGAAGTAACTGCAATTATTAATCCTCATTTTACATCTGGAGAACTGAAGCACAAGGTGGTTAAGTGACTGTCTCAACAATATCTTGCTAGTAAGTGATGGAGTTTGGGATCCGAAGCCAGGCAACCTGGATACAGAGTCTGCAGACCTAATCACCATAAACCCAACTTCTCCATTCAGAGAAGAAATCTATTTAAATAGTAACTCCTTTTATGAAAAAAAAATGATTTGACCTCTTTGCTACTAAATAAAAGAGTTAGCCAGCTGGGATGGCAACAATTTGCTTCTCATTATAGGAACCCCTGAGACAGACATAGATTCTAGCTGCAGCAGATACACCCTCAAGGCTGATGGAACCCAGTGCCCAAGCGGGTCGTCTGGAACAACAGTCATCTACACTTGTGAGTTCATCAGTGCCTATGGAGCCAGAGGCAGTGCAAACATAAAAGTGACATTCATCTCTGTGGGTAAGGACTCTCCCTAGCATTTTTAGCCATAAATAGGTTCCACCTTAAATAAGTGCTGCCAGTGATCTGTGAGCTATGGAAATATCTATGAGCAAAATAATGGACAGAGAGGGAGTGTGGTTAGGGCAAATCACACAATGGGAGATAGAAAAGGATTTCTCTCTCTGCCATTTAAATTCAGAGGGAGTCTTTTAACAATTGGGGATGGTTGTGGTAGGACACAGTGGTTCCCAGGAAGGAACCCCGGGGCATTCTCTGAGTAATGCAGGAGGTGGAGTGGGAAGTAGGGTTTCCCACTCAGGTTATCCCTATTATCATTGAAGGTGTAATGAGGATAATGTCCCTAATTTTCCCCTTTTCCCTCATTACTTCATTCTCCCATTCTTGAATTCCAACAGCCTGGCTCACTCCCCTACTACTCCTCAACACCCTTCCTCATTCCTCCTCTCCCATTTCACCTGTTCCAGAGACAATGCTGCAGAAAGCCTTAATAATCTGATTCTTTCTGGTTATTTTATGGTTGGAACGAGTGATTTGTTAGTCTCTCAATTACTTGTTTAGTTAGGCTTCTTAAAATTGTCATTTCTCCCTATATCATAAAGCATTATAATTTCACCCCACGTGTAAAAAGAGGACATTCAAACTTGTTTTTCCACCTGTCTTACAAAAATGAACAATTTAGATTAATCATTAGACCCTTTTGTGAACAAGTTTAGAGAAACGACTGATATAAGCAACACTTGTTAACTGTCGTTCATGTTTTCTGCTATTGTGACTTAGCATTTTTACAAAGATCAAGATTATGTTTATGTGGGCGTAATCTATCTATATATCTAATATATATCTATAATATATAATATATAGCTATATAATAATCATATATCTACAGGTAGAACAGTTTTGCATTCCTAGTTTTAACAAAGAGTTGTGTTATGTTCAAATAATCAAAACTGTTCTCACTACAGAAAACTGCAAATTGCTCAAAATACTCATGAGCTCTTCTAGCGAAATAATGCTTTCAGGTAAAACTAATCATTCTCCAAATTACTTAACATAACTTTACCTCTATCCACAAAACTGGGACCTGTCTTAGGGACATGTTAAGCCTTTGCTGAAAATCACTAGTCTGGTAGTTTGGAATCTCATCAGACAATCAAGAGGACCAAATTCATGGTTCCATGAGCCTTTTTCTTTTTACTCAAAGAAATAGCTAAGCCTTAGAGAGCCATCTCAAGATGCCTATGGATGGGGAGGGCAATGCAGGGACATATTACACCTTCTTTGAGTGGCTTTGGGCTGTCTGAACATTTGAATCCCAGCTTCTAAATGGTAACTGTAAAAAGCCCTGATGTCATTGGATTATGATTAAGAATAAGATTTTTAGGCCAGGCATGGTGGCTTATGCCTGTAATCCCAGCACTTTGGGAGGCCAAGGTGAGCAGATGGCTTAAGGCTAGGAGTTTCAGACTAGCCCCAGCAACATGGCAAAGCCCTGTCTCTACCAATAAAAAATAAAAATAAAATTAGCCAGGCATGGGGATGTGGGCCTGTAGTCCTAGCTTCTTGGGAGGCTGAAGCATGAGGATCAATTAAGCCCAGAAGATTGAGGCTGCAGTGAGCCGTGATTGTGCCAGCCTGGGTGACAGAATGAGACCCTGTCTCTAAAAAGAAAAAAATAATAATATTATTAATAATAAGATTTCACACTGACTGGGTAAGTAGGCCAGCATCAGTGGGCTCACAAAATGAAGCTGTTCACTTATAGAAGACTGAAGTGAATGGTGTTTTGAAATATCAACCATGTAAAGATATACTCAAAGAGAAGTGCACAGTTAGACAAAAATAGTGGGAAGCTCATATAAGCTTTTATATTTATATTTTATATTTGTAATAGTCTTATTAATATTTTTGATTAGTAATTTTTCATGAACCTGTGAGAAGCTTCTTAGAGGAGTATATATATAGTGAAACTAATTACATATAAATACTTATATTGCTGTAGTTATATAGTTATAATTAAGGTACCTGTACATCCCAGTTTACCTGACAGTGCAGGTGTAATTATTAGGTTAGTGCAAAAGTAATTGTGCTTTTAGCCATTACTTTTAAACCAACTCATATTTGGGCAATACAGGCTATGATTCTTGTACTTAAAATGTAGTTCCAGAATTCACTCTTTCACTTATTAAGCATTGACTGTGTACTAGACCCAGTGCTGAGTACTGGGGATGCAAAGACACAGAGGCTACAGGTCTGCCCTTGAGGGCTCACATTTTTATGGAGGGGAGATATTAAAAGAGAGAAAATAATACACAATGTGGTATTATTAAAAAGTATTTTAAAAGAGTAGAGATTGAGATTGTTAGAGGAACCCGGCCATTTGTTCTCCCTTAAGGTGTTACAGAGGAGGTTGGAGGGGAGCGTGGGATAAGGCGACACCCCTAAGTTTGCAACCTTTTACCCTGCTGATCATCAGGAGATAATTCCAGCCACAAAAGTGAAGTGCACGAGGTCCTAAGGCATGTGATGGAAATGAGTACAGTGCAGAGCACCACCAGGAACAGCCTAGAAACGAGTAAAGCCCAGGAGCAGCAAGGTACCAATTCTACCTTGACATGAGTAGAGTCAGGATGGTTCATTTTTTTTTTCTGTCCCTCTCTGAAGTTTCAGTCATATGTTAATGTCCCCAGAGATACTACACATTGAACTTGTCAGTTTTCTTTTGTCTGTTTTGTTTGCCTTTTTTTCAGCCAATCTAACAATAACCCCGGACCCAATTTCTGTTTCTGAGGGACAAAACTTTTCTATAAAATGCATCAGTGATGTGAGTAACTATGATGAGGTTTATTGGAACACTTCTGCTGGAATTAAAATATACCAAAGATTTTATACCACGAGGAGGTATCTTGATGGAGCAGAATCAGTACTGACAGTCAAGACCTCGACCAGGGAGTGGAATGGTGAGTGAAAGGCCGGACACCGTATTGTGCTGCCTGGGCTCTTGGAAACATGCAATAATAGTTACCATCTGTGTAGGGTCTTCTTTGAGACATGCCTATGCCAACCACTTTAAATTCAATATGTCTTCACACTTAACGCAACATTCCTTTGAGGGAAGATGCCATTATTTCCATATTTACAGATAAAGTAAATATGCTCAAACAACTTAAGTTCTAGAGCCAGGAATGGAACTAGTGTCTCTAATTCCAGACCCTGTACCCTTGCCATTAAGTTATGAGGATTGTTTTTAAAAGTACTTTCACTAGACACTAGGGAGTGTTTGACCCAACTGTGCTTTAGAACAGCTAGGTAAAGATTTTATAAGCTTGGTTCCAAAAAAAGGAACACATTTTAATTTCCTGTTTACCTCTATCCATTGTTTGTTTTGTGAGGAAATGCAAATCTTTGAAAGCAAAGAGAAATTGGTAGATAGAACTGCTACAATAATAGCTCATATTTATTGAGCCCTTAACTATGTGATAGGCACTATGCAAAGTATTTAAATGTATTAATTCATGTGAAACAATAAACCTAGAGGATACTGTTATTATTAGCCCCATTTTACAGATGAGGAAACTGAGACTCAGTAAAGTTAAGTAAATTACCCAAGGTTATACATCTGGCAAGTGGCAGAGCCAGGATGCAAACGCAGATTGACTGGCTCCAGTGGTCAACTCTTAGCCACCCCACTCTAAAGCCTTTCATTAACTATGAGATTAATCAGTCTAGATTCCGTGAGTCCCATGTCTTCTTTTTATTTTCATATAAGGCCTAGGCAACATTGTAGAAACAACTAGTTATTGTTTGGGCTGGACTTGGTAGTATACAGTCAGGAAATGGAAGTATTTTTCTTCCAGGCTGACCTCAATCCTGCTCTGTCCAATTACTCTTTCCTACTAAAAGCCAATAACCTAGGAAGAATTTTAGCTTTTGCAGTCACATTAATCTATTAAACAGTCCCATAATCAGTTATTGAAAAGTCATATTCTCATCTAAATCTACTACACTGTCATTTTATATTCAATTTAAATTCCCTCTTCCCCCCCGCAGCAGGAATTAAAAGGAGTTTCCTTTCTTTGCTCGTTCGCCCTCTGGTTAGCTGCTGCTTCTGACTTTTCCAGAGCTGGGGCAAAGGGAAGCAATGTAAAGAAAATTGAAGGGTCTTACTTAACTGTAGGTGCTGTTGTAATCTTGCTGTATGTCTCCATGGCAGCTGCCCAAATGATGACTTGTCCTCTGGGGCCATGATGAGCAAGGGCCTGCTCACTTAGAGATGGGAGATAGGGGTGTCATAACACCACAGTGTTCCATCAGGTTAACAATTATTGTCAAAAAACTCCCCACCTCTGCGCACGGCAAAACTCCCATTTATTCCTTGGGTTGGTAGAAAAGCCTTAGAGTAGAAATTGAAAACCTGGTTTGAAATCCAATTTTGCCGCTAACAGGCTGTTTGGCCTTGAATAAGCCACTTAATTTTATTTGAAAGTAAGTGCATATTTACGTGGTCATTGGTTAGTCCTTCAAGTGCATGGAGAACCCAGAAGAGGAATCAATCAAGCATTTTTTCCTCCAGTGTCCAGGAAGTTGTGGTATTCCTTTACTAAAGCTTGAGAGGGAAAATTAAGCCTCTTCTTAACCTTCCCAGCAGATGCTTTTGAAGGGCGATTATTTCCATTCCATCTCATTTTTGCCGTCTTCTACTCAGGAACCTATCACTGCATATTTAGATATAAGAATTCATACAGTATTGCAACCAAAGACGTCATTGTTCACCCGCTGCCTCTAAAGCTGAACATCATGGTTGATCCTTTGGAAGCTACTGTTTCATGCAGTGGTTCCCATCACATCAAGTGCTGCATAGAGGAGGATGGAGACTACAAAGTTACTTTCCATACGGGTTCCTCATCCCTTCCTGCTGGTAAGATGCTGATTGCTGAATTGTTAGGGTATATTATTTCACATATGTGGAGTCTAAAAATTTAGTCTTAAAATAGGGATCAAGAGACATAGGATTGTATCAGAGATAGAATTAACAGAGTAGAATCCCATGAATCTTTGTTACCTTCTATTTTGCTATGTGGCTAGTGGTTCATTGGTTTATGGTACAATCTTGGGAGTTTGCAATGGTGGAGCCTTTTTTTTTAATTGGGAGAAGTTGAAGAAAGTATTGAGATACCTTCTAATGAATATGGCAGACTAGATATTCTGACAATCTTTTCCTCCATGCTATAAAGTTGCATGCCACAAAACTGCCATGAAAATCCCTTTAAATGCATAATTGAGCATGTAAGAAAGTATGAGAAACAACCAAGTGCCAAAAAAGTAGAGGAAAATAAAATAGAAATGATGCTTTAACTAATGCTGGAGCTTTCCTATGGGCTTTTGCCAATATCAGAAACCCAGAACCTTGGGTTTTAAGGCTCCAGAGGGCATAAAAGTAAAGACTGTGCTCCCTAAACACACAATGGGTCACTCACACCCCATTGACACAATGTTAAGACCTTCAAAAAGTGGCACATTCAGTAAGAGACTAAGCTAGGAAAACAAAATTCATCTGCCAGAGTTGAGACCTTGGCCTCATCTCTGGGTGGACAAAAGGTTTCCCCCAAAAAATATAGTTGTCCTGCCATCACTCAGGTTTGGGCTTTGAATTTATATTTCCTTTGTGGTTCAGGAGTGCCAACCTAAGTTTAAAGTTGTCCATTGGTAGCACCCTATGTCAACCAGCAAAAAAAGAAAAAAAAATCAAAGTCTCTCTGGTAGATGGTGCCCTTAATCCAGATCCCTAGGGATTCCCAGAGATTAAGGTCAACCAGCATGATCTCACAACCCAAAAATCTCAAAACACAGACAACTTCATGAGGGATTTACAAGCTCATTCATTTTTTCAATAACTATTCTGGAGGGCTTACTCAACGCAAGACACCATAGTAGGCAATGAAAGGGAGAAAAAAGAAGTGGGGCACATATTTTAATATCTAGAAGGGCCCATGCCCTGAAAGGCAATGCATATAATATAAAATATCCAAATAGAATAATACAGACTAAAAAAACAGTAGAAGTTCAGAAAAGTGGGGACTCAATAAACACTGTAGTCTTTAAAGAAGGCTGCATGGCAGAGGGATATAATCAATCTGGATTTTGACATATGCAGCATTTCAACATTCTGTGTTTAATATGCATACATTCAGTGCTTTCTATGCACCAGATACTGAGCTGAGCACCAGGAGATGGAAAGATAAATAAGACAAGGTACTTTCTCTCCAGGAGCGTATGGTCTAGTAGAGAAGACAAACTCATGAATAGGTGACTATATACCAATATGGTAAAGGCAGAATAGGATAAATGCTCAGAGCATGATGAAATTTAGATAGGGAGAAGGATTTGTGGAATGCTGAAAAGGCATTCTGAATGTCAAAAATGTGTGACTTGGAGTCATGAATGGTAGAGGAGAAGTTTTGACTAGCACACATGCAAATGTGGGCTTACATACTTCAAAACCCAGAGGTAAAACCTGTTAAAAATGAATGTGGCACATTCCTCGGGAAAGCTTGGACAGGTTTATTCATATTAGGTTATCTTAACACAATTTGTGCATTAGAGACTCATGTTGTGACTTAATTCTTTCAATAATTCTGTCTTCAGCAAAAGAAGTTAACAAAAAACAAGTGTGCTACAAACACAATTTCAATGCAAGCTCAGTTTCCTGGTGTTCAAAAACTGTTGATGTGTGTTGTCACTTTACCAATGCTGCTAATAATTCAGTCTGGAGCCCATCTATGAAGCTGAATCTGGTTCCTGGTAAGAACGTTTTAAATTACTTTAAGATGTTATAGTCAGGGCAGGGACTTATTTATTTATTCACTCCCTCATTCATCCCCATTCAATAAACATATGTTAAATACCCTCACTGTGGTAGGCCCTGGGCTCACCATAGTGGTATTTAAAAGAAAAGAAATAAGCCATGTCCCCTGGCCTCAAGCCTAGGGAAGAAATCTATGTGATAAAAAAATGTTATTGGCCGGGTGCGGTGGCTCACGCCTATAATCCCAGCACTTTGGGAGGCCGAGGTGGGCAGATCACGAGGTCAGGAGATCAAGACCATCCTGGCTAACACGGTGAAACCTCGTCTCTACTAAAACTACAAAAAATTAGCCAGGCATGGGAGCATGCACCTGCGGTCCCAGCTGCTCGGGAGGCTGAGGCGGAAGAATCGCTTGAACCCAGGAGGCGGAGGTTGCAGTGAGCCAAGATCGTGCCACTGCACTCCAGGCTGGGCGACAGAGAGATTCCGTCTCAAAAAAAAAAAAAAAAAATTATTACATGTAATACAGTAAGAGCTAAATAGAAATGTTGTGGGTGGCTTAGCTCTGCTAAAGGAGTTTACCAGGTGATTAGAAGTGGACAGTATCAATGTGGTTGAGGTCCTTTGGGGTTTCAGCAAATGAAAGGTGTCCACACTGCACTGTTTTTCTGAG
Organism: Homo sapiens; assembly: GCF_000001405.40. Lineage (NCBI taxonomy): Eukaryota > Metazoa > Chordata > Mammalia > Primates > Hominidae > Homo > Homo sapiens. The sequence goes on along the minus strand of NC_000006.12, from coordinate 46,864,364 downwards.
ACAAGGCTACATGAAAACAATTAATCTCGAGAATAGGCAGCTGCCTTTCCCATCCTTTGCCACCACTGAGTCAATTTGCCATCACATAATATCTTTGAGGTGAAAGTTCATGTTTTACAGAGTCATTGCTATGCTAGCCCATGTTGGGGAGCTCCCCTCAGCAGCAGGGAAGGATAGATCATCCTAATACAAGGTCATCTTAAGGGAGAATCTTATGTTAAGACAAGGGGTAAATGATGACCCTGGGCTTCTACCATAAGCAACTCCTCATCCTCTTAAATCTTCCCAGCAACAGGACTTGTGATAGACAAAGGATCGTTATCACCAAGATTGTTTGAGTTTACTGAATAGTTTGTGGTCATTCTCACATGTTGGCAACTAGCCCCTGGGCACCAAAACAGGAAACAATTTAGAGTCACTTTCACCTGACCTTTCCACGCACAAGTACAACCCCTCCAGGGTGCAGCAAAGGTCACCTCTTCTTTTCCCCATCACTCATCTTAGCCAACACATTTTATTCACTTATCTTTGTTCTTCTCCTCTTTCTTTATACCAAATATGGTTTCGCTTCTTTTTCCTAGTAGAACATTACTTATTTAAGATTTATATACAGTGGTTAAGATCTTAATGTTAAAGAAAAGTGTTGGTGAGGGAGGGGTCTCATCAGAGTCAGGGTCCACTGGACATGAGAGATTCCACAGCAAGTGTCATTTCCCCATCCTTGCCTGGTCATGAGAAGAGGTGAAATAGAATCACCTCTAAGGGAAACCAGAAGGAACAAATGCTTAAACATATTGATTAGAATATTCAGGTCATGGGTACCTAGAGTTCCTACTAGCAATTATGTCTTTGGATTATGGCAGTGATTCTCAACCTTGACAGCACACTGGAATCACCAGGGAGGCTTAAAAACCTGCTGATGCCTAAATCCCGCTCTGACGATTCCGATTTACTTAGCCCAGACACTGGTGTTTTCAAAAGCTTCCCAGATGATTCTAATATGTCACAGTTGAGAATCTCCAGATGAAGGTATAAAATTCTGTTAGGAAAAGGAAGTTCCGATTACAGAAGTCAGGTTCATGTGGAAAGCAGAGAGGGGCTTTGGAAAATCAAGGGCAAAATTAAGAAATTGGGTAGTTCTGAAAAGGTGACGGAAAGTAAAGGTAAATGTGAATTCAAACATCAAAATTCTACCTTGGCCTGACCGTATTTCTACTATATTGTCTCTTCCTTGCAATTATCCCTTTATTTCAATGTTTCCAACACAGGGGAAAACATCACATGCCAGGATCCCGTAATAGGTGTCGGAGAGCCGGGGAAAGTCATCCAGAAGCTATGCCGGTTCTCAAACGTTCCCAGCAGCCCTGAGAGTCCCATTGGCGGGACCATCACTTACAAATGTGTAGGCTCCCAGTGGGAGGAGAAGAGAAATGACTGCATCTCTGCCCCAATAAACAGTCTGCTCCAGATGGCTAAGGTGATCCTTAAAGCTTCCACTCTGAGCTCTTGGTGGGGCGATCTATCTGGCTGATCATATTTCTCAGCACTTAGGAAAATGGGTTTGGTGCTGCTTTGTGTTGCTCCAAAACTACTTTTATTTGTGTATTTCCAAAGGAGATGCAACCCTAGAAATGCAAAAAAAAAAAAAAAAAAAAAAAAAAGCCTCAATTCAAATACTAAGACAACTAAGTATGTGTTCTGCTCTCAGACCGACTAGATACCTTAACCTTGACTTCTCAGTACCATGTGTTCCATACCTCCAGGGGGCAGCGGTATTATCCTCTCTCTTATTGCTCTCCTTTGAGTAATTTTGATACCAAGAAAATTGCTATAATCCTTTCAGAAAAAGGAGCAATATAAAAAAACAAGCTTCATCAATTTCTTTAAAAAAAATAGCTGGGCTTGATGCTCTTACAGGTATGAAATTTTCTGACTACTTGGAAGTAACTTGTGCTTTTGAAGAAGCAACTACCCTGCCTCTCTTACCTATAATAGAGGTTACCGCTATGTAACAGGGCAGAAGTTCCTTTCCTTCTGTCAATGTAAAAAAATGGGACCTCCACACTTGATTTGTTGTTAGACTCCTAAAATTCCATGAATTACATTAAAAAATTCTGGTGATGCAACTGGTGAGGTTATAGGTAATGATGACATCTTCAGACAACCAATTCCAAATCCTCTCACCACTGGGTAAATAATTGAAAAAAAGGGTAATACTTATATGTGTTTCATCTAATTAACTTCTATCTCTTCTCTTGTCTCACACCAAATTTATTAAAATCTCTACTATGTGCAAAGCATGATTATAGGTGCTGTCAAGGTAAATGGGCCAAATCAGATCTTTGTCTCTGGTAAAGAAAATAATCGAATTGGGTAGTTACATACACATTAATTTGGCTAAGATAAATTAAGAAGATCTGCTTGAAAAAAATAGGCATCTGAGCTGGACCTTGATGAATGAGGCATGAGAGATATAAATTATCCTAATGAAGAAAGATAGAAATTGTAATCTGAACTCGATGTGGGCCCAAGTCCCAATTCTAGATACCTACATACATTTTCAATGGAAAAGGATCATGCTGCTCTATCATGCTTCCTTTGATTTATCCATTCAGCATATACTTACTGGATACTTACTGTGTGCTGAGTTATATGACTTGTACTATGTTAGGAATTATAGGAATGAGAAGAATGTAAAGAAATGTAGCACATGGTCCATGTTGTTAAGGAGCTTATAATTTAATTGGAGCAATATCAAAATTAGAACACAAGATGACACTACTGGAGATGCCACAAATGAAAGTATGTTATATAAAACCAATACTTACGCATTCAGAGGAAGGAACTTTCCTGGGTTGGAACATCTATCAAATGCTTTTCGTAGAAGACAGAATTTGAGCTATTCTATACGATTAAGTAAGAGAGAGTTAGAAAGCAGAAGTGTAATCATACAGGTAGGGTGACCATATAATCTATCATCTAAGTCGGGACACATTTTGAGAATATAAGAGGGCACTCTTAATAAATACACAAGGAGAAAAGGTATAAACCAGAACAGTCCCTGGAAAATTGGAAGGGTCAGTCACTTTAATGATTGGCAGGGTAAGTGATATGAGGAAAACCAAAAAGTGGCAACTGTGCTTCCATACCGACTATCCAAGTGACCATTGCACCCAACTTTAACCTACTTCTCTAGCCATCACATCTAGCTTCCCTTTTTTGTTCCAATTAGCTATCAGGTTGACATACATTTGTTCCCCTTCTGTGTGTGGCCTTATGTCATATTCTGTTCTGAAGAGCATGCATGGAGTGCTTAAGGGATAAGCACATCATCTTATGGGACATATTTATGGAAATGGAGCAAAAAAGGAAACAACGGATGTGAGAGATTTTGCCAGGAATGGATCAGCTGGATTCGATAGCTGAATTGATTGGTAAATTTTTTTTTGTGTTGGCTTTTGTTTTACTAGGCTTTGATCAAGAGCCCCTCTCAGGATGAGATGCTCCCTACATACCTGAAGGATCTTTCTATTAGCATAGACAAAGCGGAACATGAAATCAGCTCTTCTCCTGGGAGTCTGGGAGCCATTATTAACATCCTTGATCTGCTCTCAACAGTTCCAACCCAAGTAAATTCAGAAATGATGACGGTGAGTTTGCTTAACCTTTGCAGGAGTTTTGGGTCTTACCTTTTCACCCCTCAGAATTTGTATTCAAGAAACGTAATTCCTCCCCATTGCAGCTTCTCTGTCTTTTCCAGAGCAGTGCTCAGGATAGTTCTGCCAGCTATGGCTTTTAGGATATTAGGAAATGTTTCCAGTATTCATTTTGAGACCTTAAGAATATTTATTAGTGAATCTCTGCTTTATTTTCTTCATTAAAATGGAATAAATTCATACTTGCTTTCCAGAAAAACTAGGAATTAAAGGTTTTCAGAATATACAAGATGATATTCTCAAAGGTCTAGCACTAAATGTGAACTTTAAAGGAATCGTGGGAGGATAGGTTCTGGAAGCATAGAGGTTCTGGGAGGATAAAGAATTCACCTACAAGAGTTCAAATGAAGAGACTTTAATGAAGGGATACCTACAGAGGTAAAGACAGGGTTAACAAACAAACAAATAAACCAGGGGTGATGAGGCACTCAGAGACCAGCAACATTTAGAAGCCATTATCACCCCCTAGGAAAAAGAGGAAACAGTGCAGAGCCCAGTGAGAGCTGAAGACTTAGAGGCGGGACCAGTCAGCAGGAGCTATAGTCTTGGAAGGCCAGAGCTATAACCAGACATGTGCTCAGGAGAAAGGGGACTGCAGCGGGGAGAGCAGTGGACAGCAGGAAAGATGTATCTCCACTTCCCAGGTCCAAGCAATTCTCCTGCTTCAGCCTCCCAAGTAGCTGGGATTACAGGCATTTTGGGAGGCCGAGGCGGATGGATCACCTGAGATCAGGAGTTCAAAACCAGCCTGGCCAACATGGTGAAACCCCATCTCTACTAAAAATATAGGCTTAAGATTTAAAATAAAATAAAATAAAATAAAATAAAATAGTAAATATCCCTGCCAGCCTGCTGAATTGGCCTTAGAGAGTAGGGTGTGTAGTGGGTGTGACTCTCACTGTCACCATTGCTAAATGCTTACTGGCATCTTTCAGTCTTGGGGACCCATCCTTTGCTAAACTCTGCCATAAGAAGGTCATACATCCCCACTGCCTGTGATGTCTCATTTTTGTTTTCTCATTTCCTCTTACCTTTATGCAATCAGTTTCTAGGAAGATGTTGTTTTTTTCTTTTTTATGATTGAAAGAATTTGGTTAGTTTGACCCCATACCATTTCACTTTCAGCACGTGCTCTCTACGGTTAATGTCATCCTTGGCAAGCCCGTCTTGAACACCTGGAAGGTTTTACAACAGCAATGGACCAATCAGAGTTCACAGCTACTACATTCAGTGGAAAGATTTTCCCAAGCATTACAGTCGGGAGATAGCCCTCCTTTGTCCTTCTCCCAAACTAATGTGCAGATGAGCAGCATGGTAATCAAGTCCAGCCACCCAGAAACCTATCAACAGAGGTTTGTTTTCCCATACTTTGACCTCTGGGGCAATGTGGTCATTGACAAGAGCTATCTAGAAAACTTGCAGTCGGATTCGTCTATTGTCACCATGGCTTTCCCAACTCTCCAAGCCATCCTTGCCCAGGATATCCAGGAAAATAACTTTGCAGAGAGCTTAGTGATGACAACCACTGTCAGCCACAATACAACTATGCCATTCAGGATTTCAATGACTTTTAAGAACAATAGCCCTTCAGGCGGCGAAACGAAGTGTGTCTTCTGGAACTTCAGGCTTGCCAACAACACAGGGGGGTGGGACAGCAGTGGGTGCTATGTAGAAGAAGGTGATGGGGACAATGTCACCTGTATCTGTGACCACCTAACATCATTCTCCATCCTCATGTCCCCTGACTCCCCAGATCCTAGTTCTCTCCTGGGAATACTCCTGGATATTATTTCTTATGTTGGGGTGGGCTTTTCCATCTTGAGCTTGGCAGCCTGTCTAGTTGTGGAAGCTGTGGTGTGGAAATCGGTGACCAAGAACCGGACTTCTTATATGCGCCACACCTGCATAGTGAATATCGCTGCCTCCCTTCTGGTCGCCAACACCTGGTTCATTGTGGTCGCTGCCATCCAGGACAATCGCTACATACTCTGCAAGACAGCCTGTGTGGCTGCCACCTTCTTCATCCACTTCTTCTACCTCAGCGTCTTCTTCTGGATGCTGACACTGGGCCTCATGCTGTTCTATCGCCTGGTTTTCATTCTGCATGAAACAAGCAGGTCCACTCAGAAAGCCATTGCCTTCTGTCTTGGCTATGGCTGCCCACTTGCCATCTCGGTCATCACGCTGGGAGCCACCCAGCCCCGGGAAGTCTATACGAGGAAGAATGTCTGTTGGCTCAACTGGGAGGACACCAAGGCCCTGCTGGCTTTCGCCATCCCAGCACTGATCATTGTGGTGGTGAACATAACCATCACTATTGTGGTCATCACCAAGATCCTGAGGCCTTCCATTGGAGACAAGCCATGCAAGCAGGAGAAGAGCAGCCTGTTTCAGATCAGCAAGAGCATTGGGGTCCTCACACCACTCTTGGGCCTCACTTGGGGTTTTGGTCTCACCACTGTGTTCCCAGGGACCAACCTTGTGTTCCATATCATATTTGCCATCCTCAATGTCTTCCAGGTGAGTTTTACAGTGCGGAGCTTTCAGGAAGATTTTATTCCTGTAGGACAAATTAATGATAGAAACACAAACAAGAGTAGGAATGGGGAAGGATTTCAGCCCAGAGGAAGCCTCAGCTCTAAAGAGCAGTAATAATGAGAACTCAATCAGATGGAAAGGACACATTCTTCTGATCCTATGGCACCTCATGCTTTTTATCACCTACATTATAATTTAGTGTCATTTGCCAGTCTCTGCTAAATACACTGATTACACTAGTAAAAGGAAAATCCCCATTTGTCTAAGATTATCTTGATGTAGTCTATTATCTCCTAAATGAAAATCCTGTCTTTGTGAGGACAGGGATTGCCCCTTTCTTGTTCATCACTATACCTCTATGCCTGATAGAGACCTTGGTACAGAGTAGGTTCTCAATAATCATTTGAATGAAATAAATCCTATGTACCACATAGCAGCTTCTCTGGAAACATCAAAAATCAGAGAATGAATGTCCTGTGAATGCCAGACAATCTGCTTGATTATACTACAATGAAAAAACATCTTCTTCGCTCTCCTGCAGCACATAACTAACTACAGTGCAGGCCAGTTTGTTAGAAGAACTATAACAGAGGTATAGATAGCAAGCCTTTAAAGTACAAGGAAGGAAGTGATTAATTCTGTTTCACCCAATGGAGAGGTGGTAAGGATAGAAAAAAACTTGCCCAAGGATTGAGGCCACTGTAAACTTGTGAAGAGGCAGAGGCTGGAGGCACACTCGAGATACTGCTTTCAGGATGCTTGTGCCAAGAACATATGAACCTTGATTTCTGCTACTGGGCCTGTGTCTCCAAGCTATGTAGTTCATATGTAATGACCTTCATGATATGCCTCATTTGGAAGGAACTAGTTATCCCACCCCATAGCCCAGATTCTTATCACAGCTATGTAAAGAATATTGTAGACACAAGAGGTGTATTAATAGCATAACCAACAGGACCTCCAGTTTTCAACTAAAGGAAAATTGGAAAATAGAAAATATCTTCCTAACATCATAACATTTAGAGTCCCTTGGTGTGGACCAAATGCCTGTCTTTGAACAGTATCATGTACTGGACTCATTCCATAAACTCAGAAGGAAAAAGAAGTAGTACAAATTTAACACCAGGTTAACAGTACTTCCTCCTTTGCTGGACAATAGACTATAATTAAAATGCACTTCTTTTCAATCTTTTTTTTCTCAGGGATTATTCATTTTACTCTTTGGATGCCTCTGGGATCTGAAGGTAAGAGCAATGACAGTTTCATGTTTCTAGAAAAGTCTGAAGTGCTTGTGGCATGTTGAAGTTACGATAGCTTCTTTTTAACAATGCAGGTACAGGAAGCTTTGCTGAATAAGTTTTCATTGTCGAGATGGTCTTCACAGCACTCAAAGGTAAACTTTTTCTCTGCAGAGACTTTTCATTTTATAACATCATGTATTCCACTAGCATTCTGAAGTACAGAGTACTAAATTTTTTCTTTGGGATTTTGATCAATTAGGCTAAATATATTGCATCCTCAAACCTGTCTCCCTCAACAGCTGTATTTGGCATAGATCATTCCATTGTTTTTGCTTCTCAAGTCATTCTGTCTATTAAATAGAGCCATAGAGCTGTCATTGAGATGCTACTCCACATATTTAAATAGGTTTTAAAATAATATATGATATAAACTTAAGGTTGAAATCAAACGTTCAATGAGAAGCAATCTTCTGGGGGGATTCAAGGCATTAGAGAAAACAAGTTGAAGAATAATAATGGATAGAATTTTCTGTAGTTCATTTTGGAACACAACTATTGCCCTTGGATATATCTGACTGCCTTTCACATGTCAGAAAATGCTAGAAGCCTAACAAACAATAAAACTTGTATTTGACAGTTATTTTTCTAATACAGATGATAAGATTCCAGTATTTTAATGTGACCTCTGGGAGTGGGACTAGAGATTCCGGCAGTGACCACTAGAGGGTGGAAAATCAATCCTTCTAGAGATGGAAACAGCTTTGGTCCCACAAATTTGCTTTGTGATTGTCCCTTTTTTTCTCTCTTCTAGTCAACATCCCTGGGTTCATCCACACCTGTGTTTTCTATGAGTTCTCCAATATCAAGGAGATTTAACAATTTGTTTGGTAAAACAGGTGAGTAGTGGCCTCCAGTTTCTCCCTGCTTGTCCAGAACACATTTGCTCAAATGGGGAGCCTCAACACCCCTACTCTTTCACCCCGCTCATGGCATTTACCTGAAATGTCCTCTTTTGGGGTAGAGGTTAAATAGAGGAACTTACATTTTCACAAATCACCAAAAAGTGGGTACAGAGGGCAGCTGCCTTTGCTAAGCAACTTATAATAACTCATAAAGAATAAGATTTGGAGAATCTAGACAATGATTTGGAGAGCTATCTGTCAAAATATCATCCATCAAAATGAGAACTGTAAATTGCTGGCCTTGTCAAACACAGAGTTCTTCTCAAATTATGTTAGATAAGAGTAGATAGGTCATGTTTCAGGGTTATGGGGCAGCAAAGAATACATTTAGAAAATCTTACTACAGGATCTCACTATGTAGGTTTGTTTTCCTTTTTTGTTCTTTTTATAAAGTGTGCTTGTGTTACACATTGAAGCGTATAGAACTGTGCATGCATTACGTAAGGGATCACCCAAGTTAGCTATTCTATTAGAAATATTACCTCTCTGAACTCACTTCCTCATTTATAAAATAGGGTAATAATTATGACTTCATAGAGTTGTAAGAATTAAATAAGCAAATATACATAAAGTGCTTAGTATGGTACATGGATTATAGTAATTACTCGGCATTCGTGATGACGCCGATAGTGGTAGTGGTGGTGGTGCTGCTGATACTTCAGTCAACCCTGCTATTATTGATTCAACTGGCAAAGGCCACAGTATCTCACTGAAAAAAAAATATTCACAGTTAAATTTCTACATTGGAGATATGAAATGAATGGAATTAATAACTTTGGGCAACAGACCTCAGCTATTCTAGCAAATTGAAACCCCTGTCCCCATGCCATCATCCCTTCCTCACAGGAAAATAAGCCCCAGGATTTCTTCTAGCTTTTTGGAACTGAACAGATCTCACAAATGCAGAGTTGAGAAATGCATCAATATTCCAGATGAAGGCTTTTCATATACAAGCAAATTTTGTGAATTCCTATAACTGTTAAAACTCCACAGGACTTGGGTTTTTTCTGCTTCAATTTGATGAATTACTTATGAAACTGGTGGACCTTCACTTCTGATTATGAAAGTCCCAATTGGGCATGTTTGGGGGCCCCATAAGCACCGTAACTTTGGTTTATGTTGTCAGCAGCCCCTAAGATCCCCCCAGGCCATGACGGAAACCTTGTTAGCGGTGGCAGTTCAGCAATCTGATGGTAGGGTGGGCACTTCAACCCTTTTCTTGCCCGACACACACTCTCTGCCCACTCCCTGTGCACAGTCCCCACCTCCCCGCAGACAAGCCTGTGCAGTTGCTCTGAGGCTGCCTTCCTTGCTGCGCTGATTCTCAGCAGTTCTGTTGACATTCCTGACTCCTGCTTCTTTTCTGGTCCTGCTTTTTCTCCCCCTATAATTTTCTCTTTCCTTTCCCTTTTCTCTCTTTACAAACCTCCACCTTCAGTAGAGCCTCTAGGTGCCTCCCAAGAGCTTCCCCAAGTCACCACAACCCAAGAGGACCAGGGAGATTCCCTCATGCAGATGTTCCCAGACCATGCATGTGATGGCATGTGCAGGGCTTTCCACCTTGAGATCTTCCTGTCCTCTGTAGAAACCTGGCTGCTGGTATGATGTGAAGTAGTGACTGCTTGTTGGCTGCCACGCATGCATGAGAACGACAGCTCTGTTAGTTTTCTGGCATTTCTGGGTCTTGGGAGGAGGGCAGGTATGGGTTGGTTTCCAGGCATGGCCGAGCTTACCTGGCACCTGGACCACTGCTCCCCTGGGTCCCTTAGGAGATGTTCACACCCCAGAGTTCATGATGGCTTGTCTTCAAGGCTGAGTTGCTGCTCTGTTTTTCAGGAACGTATAATGTTTCCACCCCAGAAGCAACCAGCTCATCCCTGGAAAACTCATCCAGTGCTTCTTCGTTGCTCAACTAAGAACAGGATAATCCAACCTACGTGACCTCCCGGGGACAGTGGCTGTGCTTTTAAAAAGAGATGCTTGCAAAGCAATGGGGAACGTGTTCTCGGGGCAGGTTTCCGGGAGCAGATGCCAAAAAGACTTTTTCATAGAGAAGAGGCTTTCTTTTGTAAAGACAGAATAAAAATAATTGTTATGTTTCTGTTTGTTCCCTCCCCCTCCCCCTTGTGTGATACCACATGTGTATAGTATTTAAGTGAAACTCAAGCCCTCAAGGCCCAACTTCTCTGTCTATATTGTAATATAGAATTTCGAAGAGACATTTTCACTTTTTACACATTGGGCACAAAGATAAGCTTTGATTAAAGTAGTAAGTAAAAGGCTACCTAGGAAATACTTCAGTGAATTCTAAGAAGGAAGGAAGGAAGAAAGGAAGGAAAGAAGGGAGGGAAACAGGGAGAAAGGGAAAAAGAAGAAAAAGAGAAAGATGAAAATAGGAACAAATAAAGACAAACAACATTAAGGGCCATATTGTAAGATTTCCATGTTAATGATCTAATATAATCACTCAGTGCAACATTGAGAATTTTTTTTTAATGGCTCAAAAATGGAAACTGAAAGCAAGTCATGGGGAATGAATACTTTGGGCAGTATCTTCCTGATGTCTTCTTAGCTAAGAGGAGGAAAAAAAGGCTGAAAAAATAGGGAGGAAATTCCTTCATCAGAACGACTTCAAGTGGATAACAATATTTATAAGAAATGAATGGAAGGAAATATGATCCTCCTGAGACTAACTTTGTATGTTAAGGTTTGAACTAAGTGAATGTATCTGCAGAGGAAGTATTACAAAGATATGTCATTAGATCCAAGTGCTGATTAAATTTTTATAGTTTATCAGAAAAGCCTTATATTTTAGTTTGTTCCACATTTTGAAAGCAAAAAATATATATTTGATATACCCTTCAATTGCCAAATTTGATATGTTGCACTGAAGACAGACCCTGTCATATATTTAATGGCTTCAAGCAGGTACTTCTCTGTGCATTATAGAATAGATTTTAATAATCTTATAGCATTGTATATTATTATTGCTGTTGTCACTGTTATTATTATTGTGGATACTGGCCCTTGGTGTGTTGCATAGCTCCCTATGTATTCTCTGTTTCCATCTTTAAGTTCCCAGACCAATATACATTAAGAGTTTTGCATGGTCTAAATTGTGTTTATTCCAACCACGTGGAAAGCTCCTGGAAAGAAATTTTACATTCGGTTGTTCTGTGCTCCTAATGACACTTGACCTTGTTGAACAAATGGCAGAGCCTTTCCCAAGGATTTGATTGTTTGTGAATTATCTGCATGTGTGCTTTTTTTTGGTGTGTATTTCATTAAAAAATATAAATATTTATGAAAATTGCACGCATATTAGAGTTAACCATGTACTATTGATACAGCAACGCTACATTGCAAATAAAAGTCCGATCCCAAAAGGAGAATGAGACAAAAATAGAGTTGTGGGGCTACTCAGGATGTGTGGGCCGTGTGGCAACATAAATGGGTCCAGTTGTTAGGAAGATGCGGCAAAAGAGGCTGAGATTCAACAGCCATTTCTTTATTGAGGTTCAAAGGAGTTTTCTTTTAATATTTTAACTCTTTAAAATATCTTCTTTTTATTTTTAGTTTTAAATTCTACTTAAATTCTACTTCTGCCTCTCTTTTCTTCATGGGGAAGGAGAGGTATGGGACAGAGGTGGGACAGTTAATGTAAATGAACTCTTTATTTCTACATATTCACAAATGACATAGACATCTACTCCCACATTTGCCTGAGAATTGTCACATCCCAGTCCCAAATGAATGGTGCATTACTGAACGTCCCTAAAGGAAATCATTGCTGTGCTATAAGTGCATGCCATGTTCTTCAGGAATGATCAACTTTGGGCAGAGCTTGGTACTAAGAAGATGGAGACAGAGGTTGGGTTGAGGGAAATCCCTTGAATTAGAATTAGAGAAAGAAGGCCGTTGACTGATTTGGTTCCTGGAGTTATATCAAGAAGAATCGAGCCAGGCTTGGAGCACAATGCTAGCAGGGCTATCTTGACATGATCAATCAAGGAAAGCACACAGTATCAGGAGCAGGATGTGGTTGTCATGTTCAAAAATTCAGTGGGACAAGAAACGCTGAACTTCCACCCACTTCAGCCAGGATCCCTTGGGGAATTACTGTGTTCAACCCTGTGAAGGGAACTTTCATTATAGCAGGAGCCTGTGGGAGTTACACAGGATGTGGATCTGGCCCACTGCTCCATTCGTTAACCGGGGCATGTTTCCTTATCCCCAACACACACAAATACACACATGCACACATGTGCACATACATGCATGCATGTGCTTCACCCTTTCAAGCCACAGCACTGGGTCCAAATTCCAGAAAAGCTATGAAAGCAAATAATTGGAGAAACACTTGTTGGTTTTCTGCGCACTGCAATACACATTAGCCCAGCCACTACCCTTTCCCAAGAAAATCCTAAAATCAACAGTAGAATTCAAAATTGTAGAAGAGCAGTTATGAAGCTGAGAATTTTATGAATGCAGGAGCCTCACTCGGCCCTGAGGTTGCCATCTCTCAATCAGCAATGATTACAAGGCTATTAGTAGCAGATTTCTGAGAATGAAGGCACATTAAGTTGTGCGATCTACTTTGTTCGTAAGGTGCCCAGTGCTTCCCTGTGTTCCTAACATCTCTCAGTGTATAAAGACCATTCCCTGGGCCTAAACTTTCTTGCATTAGGAGCTTTCCATTAAGTCCGTTTCTTGCAAAGGGCTTTGTCCTAATGCGTCAGAGTCTGTGAGGTTAGAACATTCACAAATGAGCAGTTAATACAGATTACAGGAATATTCTCTGGGAATATTCTAGGTCCAGACTAACACATCATCTCCTGAGTAAGCCAGATGTCTGCCATCCTCCTCCCCCATTTCTTATTGTTTGCATGGGGAAATGGTTAAATAAATGTCTGTGGGGTTTTCAGGATGTAGGTTGCTAAGGCCAGAAATTAAGAAAGACTGTGGGAAGTCACGGCCTTTTGTGGTTTGTACAGAAAATTTCAAAGAGACCCATGTTGGAATGCTTCAGAAAAAAAAAAAAAAGTTACATGGAGATGAGAAAGATTACAGCAATTAGCAAATATAGAAAGGAGGTGTGGGTGAGTTATTGAGGTGAATGAAGCAGGAAGTCACAATCATTTGAAGACAAAAAGAAATAGGTGGTCCTAGAAATGCCAGGTAGGCGGAATGCATTTATTTTGTGCCATGTGATGGTGAAGTCAAATAAGTCCTCATCCCAAAGAGAAAACCCAGTGACCCAGGCCAGTAAAAGCCTGATTCTTCAAGTGTTCAAAATGAAGGTGGAACTTACAGGGAACATACCTTTTGATTGTGTTTTTAAAAGGGCAACGGGAATGGTGTCTCATCATTTCAAGAGGACGGTAGTTTAGCTTTAATATTAGGTTCTGTTGGTTTCTAAAATTATGACTTGGGATTTAAAATCACATCATGTATGCCAGCACGCAGCTATGCTTCCTTTCCATTCCATAACAAGGAAATATCTAATGAGATCCCGTGAGCTGTCTTTGTAGTAATTGTCTGCCTTCTTGCAATGTGGTGCTGCTGCTGCTCAGGCTTCTGCATGTCACCCAGAATGCCCCTCCACTCTCCAAACAGCGAACGATCCTTTCTATCTTCCAGGCATGGGGGAGGCCGGCAGCTCGCCGCTGAACTCAACTGGCTGTCAGGGCTGATGGTTTCCCTCACCTCATCCACACTCCCAAGCCGTGTGCAAAGATCCAGCATGTTATAGAAGGTTTAAACAAGGGTCCTTGAAGTAAAGTTTTCAGAACCAAATGTCTAGCAAATAAACAGATGCCTGTTCCAACATTTGTGTGAGGATGACTCAAAATTTTCATTGACAGCTGAAAATAGAGCCCTCATGTCCTATAGATGAATATAAAGGATGTGAGGGCTCTATTTATCCTCTAGCACATTCTAGACGGAAACCAAGTTTCCCACTGTTAGTGAATGTGGAGTGGACAGAAGAAGAAAAGAGGGGAGATGGGCCAACTCCCGAAGCCCGCTCTGTGCCAGACCAGTTCTTATCTCCAAATATCATCTCTATGTGTTAGCGGTGGGCGTGGGGGCCTTGGTCGTGGTGTCCTACGATTCAGACACAGCCGTCCTGTCTATTCTTAAATGATTTTATACACACCCATTTTTCCCCTTTTACCTGTAAACTTTGAAATGAAGTTGAAAGGCCACCAGTGTCCATGACAGGTCCCTCTGCACACATGGGGCATGGTTAGGAGATACATGAGCCTGTTCCCACTGCAGGGTTTTTATTCTCTCATGCAGAGCCAAGTGAAGGATGCCGGTGACTATTGAAGCCCAAACACAACAAACCCAGAAGCCTGGGGGGAAAAAAATGGCTTTATTCTCAGCATGAAAGGCAAGAGGACCTGACTGGGCAAGTGGTGGGCAGATTGCTGTCACGGCCCACTTCCGATGACATTAAACCGCAAAACCTAGGAATGACTTTGGGCCCTGCCTTTTTCGGATTTTGATTTTTACCATCCTGGGTCTTCCATCCTGCCAGCCAGCCGGCACCCCAGCAGTTGTGGGAAGAGGAATTTGACTTTGATTAACCGAGAAAAACTGTGCACCCGTTTTCTGTTTTTTTCTGGAACTGTGAGGGTTTTCCCATGCCCCAGGGGCTCCCTCACAGTTGTCCTATGCCAAGCATTCCCGACAGGAATCTCCAGCTGGGTTGGAGTGACAGCTGGCCTCCAGCACCGCAGCTCCGCAACCACCGCTGGCGTCTCCTGAGGCTCGCGCGCCCCCTGCTGGGCCTGAGAGGAGGCGTCCCCGCTGCGGTCCGGCCTCAGGAAGCCGGCGGGAGGCAGTCAGTCCCGCGGATGACGCGCCCAACGGTCTAGGTTCAGGAAGTAATTTGATCATATGGACAGAGCGAAGGTCAAGGCATAGTGGATAACAGAAACCAGGAATGAAAAAAATCTCTTTCACTCCCGCCTCCTAACACTTTTATATTATGATCCTTGCAGGGGAAAGGGTAGTCAGAAAGCAACGTAGGACTGTGGAGGGAGGGAAATCCCAGTCATGTAGTTTCAGTGTGTGAAAGGCAAAGGAAATTTCAGGCCCCCAATTCACTATGCAAAAAGGAAAAAATTAAGATGGAAGCTAAGTCATGCAAGAAACAGCCTTTTCCTTCTGTTGCTAAGCGAATAGCTAACAGATGAAAGGCCAGATATCTCCACAGATAGCTACGCTAGGTTCACCTTTTATGTAAAGTGCCGATTTACTGAGATGAATACATCACTGACTATTCCCCTACCTGCTCCTTTTCTCCTGCAATGCATGGATTATGCATTGTGACCATACCCTCCCTCTTCGCCTCCACTTTTCCCCTTTAAATACTGAAGCCCTCAAAATATCTTTGCAGAAAAACGGACCACAGACTGTCTCTGTGATTCTGTGTTCCTTTCTTCCAGTCGTGTTCTTAACCTTGGCAAAATAAACTTCTAAGTTGATTGAGACCTGTCTCAGAGACTGTTCGGTTTACAAGTGTGCATTGCACATCCACAGGCAGGCATACATTTCTGAGGCATACTCGCTGGGATAGCTCCTTCCTTTCTCTGTCCCCCCTCACTGACTGAATCTCATTTATGGCACTAACAACAAAACTGAAAGCCCCAGAAATGATCTGGTTCACCCATTCCAGATAGGTTGCTGGAAGGTCGTTTGAGGAAGAAAAATGGGTGCCTTCCATGTTTCATGGGAACCTAATACTTTTTCTATCAAGGCAGCTGCAAAAGGATTAACATAGGTGGCCCTATTCCCTTTCCTAATTCATCCATTCAAAGCCACTGCTGGCCTGGATTTTCATTTTCAATCCATGATGAATCTGCAGATGAATCTGCAGCTATCCCAGGGCAATCTGACAGACCAGCCAGCAGCTGAGGCTGGATGACAAGTTCCTACCCTAGCCTCTGAGCACACATTGCTAACGTGTGATCCGAGAAGACCCAGGTCCTTGGAGTAGAGGGACAAGCTGAAATGGCCTTAAGTAATAAGGCAGACAGCTTCCCAGTTTGGGGGGATGTCACGCACCTTGGCCTGTTGCTCCTATCCCCTCGGAATAGCTCTCACACCTTCTCCCTCATGTTGGACATTCCTTTTACAAAAACAGAAATCTCAAGGACAGATAAGGTTAAGAAGGTTAATCTCAGGTTAATCTCAAGGAGAGAAAAGGTATGCAAATATACTTCTGGGTGAAACACAGTAACTTAAATTTACCCTCGAATGAAAATGGCTGGTAACTATATAACTATGTTAACCAACAGTTTTTGAGCCCTTGCTGTGTACCTGGTCCTGTTCTAAGATTTTTATGTGTATAATTTCATTTAAACTCTACAGCAAACCAAAAGTAACTAAATATTCTTTTTCTTTGCATTTTTAGACGAAAAAACTAAGCACAGAGAGGTAAATAACTTGTCCACAGTCACACAGCTGAGGACCAGTAGAACCAGGATCTAAGTGCAGTGTCTGACCTAGAACATGGGCATGTATCCACCTCCTTATGTTGCTTCTCTATGCAACCTGATGCCAGTTACTTGCTTAAAAGTAGGCTTCCATAGCAGGAAAAGTTTCAAATGCACAAAATGAGAGGGGAGAACAATGGTGACAGAGAGGGTGGAGGAGTTAAGGCATCTCCCAGCTTCATCTCACTTTATAATTCTACCTTGGGGCAGCCCAGGACATAAAGACCAATGTTCTGGGCAAACTTCAGAGTGTGCCTGCTTCCTTTTTAAGTCTCTGATGAAACATCAAAGAATTCCTGCTGTGCTGCTTTATTGAAAGTAGTTCTCAACTTAGCTATCTCAACCCCCCAGCTTGAGTCTTCATTCAAGTGAGCTTCTTGTAAGGTCTCAATCACCAGTGTTGTTGTTTTTATTTTCATCTCGGATCTATCAAGAATTCTCAGAGTGTTGGATGGCATTTAGACATGTAGGAAGAAAATATGGCTTCCCAGAAATGAAGAGTGATTCTGAGGCTATGTTTAAACATATCAAGTGGAGAATTGGGACATTTGTCCTAATACATTTAGCTAAGTCATGATTTTCCTTATGATATGCAGACTGAAACAGCAGCTGATTTGCTACTTGAATGCTTTGCACTCTTTGCTTCATTTTGCATGGACAGGTGTATTGGGCTGTTCTTCAGCATTGATTGACAGCCAGTTTGGTAAATGTGGTACGGTGGTTAAGAGCATTGGTTCTAGAGCCAAACTGTGTGCTTTTCAATTGGAGGTCCACCACTTATTAGTTTGACTTTTGGTAAAATAACTCTTTCTGCCTCAATTTACACTACTTGAAAGGAGATAATAATGGTACAGGCTCCATGGGTTGTTATAAAATTCTTATAAAGCCTACAAAATCATATCTGGCATGCAATTATTGCAGAATAAAGTTAGCCTTTATTATTTTGCATCATACTGTGTGTGCATAAAAATTATAGTAGATATGTATCATACACACATATATACATCACGCATCACGACTTAGCCAAATTAGGGCAAATGTTTCAATTCTCCACTTGATATATTTAAACACAGCCTCAGAATCACACTTCATTTCTGAGAAGTCATATTTTCTTCCTATGTGTCTAAATAATATCCAACACTCAGAATTCTTGATAGATCTTGGTAGAACTCAGATTTAGACACCAGTTCTATTCAGAATCAAACTACATATGCCTTTTACATTTTCACATTTAATTCATGGTTAAGAGCTTTTGAGAGTAACGTCAAAGGTATGTGACATCCTAAATCATAACTTTATCAAGGTTTGAGTTTAAATCATGCTTATTAGGAAGCCAGAATGGGTGAATAATTCACATAACAAGTTTGTGAGCCTGGTTAACTTCCCCATGTCTGCATTTCAAATCAGTTTTGGTAATCGTACATATTACATAATTTTATTTAATTTTCAAACTAATTTCATTATTTCTTTTCTTTACAGATAAGCCAATTATGCACTATAACAGTGGTGTTAATTAAGGCTTTCTCAGTTACAGGTAACAGAACCACATTCAAACTAGTTTAAGCAAAAGTGGGCACTTACCATATAATGGGAAAGATACTAGATTGGTACACCTTCAGGTACAGCTAGATTCAAGGGCCCAAACAGTGTTCTCAGAGTTCTGGCTCTTCCTTTTATGTTGTTGTCTCTCTTAGTGTATTTATTTCATTCCAAGGTAGATCTTCAAAGGAGAGAAATTTATGAGGTCCACAGACCCATAGATTGAGATTTAAAAAGAAGACCAACCCTTTTCTTCTCCAAATGTTCATGTGTATGTGGCAGTACAGGGTATCATGATTGGCTTAGTCTAAGCCATATGCTGGCCCTGTAGAAATAATTATATCCATTAGGATCATGTTTTCTGTGAGTACCAGACGTTCAAAATAACGGTGACTTAAAGTAGAAGTTTATTTCTCTAATACAGATAAGCAGCCCAAGACTGGTGTGGCAGCCTGGCTCAGTGCAGTTCTCAGAAATCCAGATACTTTCTATTTTTTAACCTGCTTTTCCCAAGGCCACCACGTGGCCCCATTTGGCAGCTCTCACTCTGGCCATTATGTCCCGTTATCAGTCATTAGGATAGAGGAAGGGACTGCAGGTGTGCACCAAGACTCCTTTAGGAAAGGTTCCCAGAAGATCACATGCAACATTCCTGCTTCCATTCCATTGGCCTGAATTTGATCACACTACGTCACTGTATCAGTCTGTTTTCACACTGCTATAAAGAACTACCTGAGACTGGGTAATTTATAAAGGAAAGAGGTTTAATTGACTAGCAGTTCTGCAAGGCTGGGGAAGCCTCAGGAAACTTACAATCACAGTGGAAGGCAAAGGGGAAGCAAGGCACGTCTTACATGGTAGCAAGACTTGAAGGTGAGAGAGCAAGGAGGTTTGCCACACTTTAAAAACATCAGCTCTCATGAGAACTCACTTACTATCACAAGAACAGCATGGGGGAAACCACCCCCATGATCCAATAACCTCTCACCAGTTCCCTCCCTCCACACATGAGGATTACAATTCAAGATGAGATTTGGGTGGGGACACAGAGACAAACCATATCACCCATCTACCTGCAAAGGAAGCAGGAGAATGTAAACTAGACTCTGAGTAGCCATTTGACCAGTTGGAGTTTGGGGATTCTATTACTGAGAAAAGAAGAATGGATGTTGGTGACCATTTTTGTTGGGGGCTGGTATCTGAACATCTCCTCTGCCTCCTGCTCTCTTCTCATGCCTTTCTTATGACCCCATTTTTCTATTCTCCTTTTATTCTCTTGACCAGATAGGATCTTTAAATGTTTTTAATGATTTTCATTGAGCTGGTGAGCCACACATGGGTCAATTTGTCCTACATTTGTCTAGGCCCTAAGGTATGCTGTGACCCAGATGAGGCCCATGTCTCAATCCATTCTGGGATTCCAGGACTAGTTCTTGGTAAAACTGTGGAAGGCAAAGAGAGATGGGTCTTGTCTTTACTCTGATATCACTGTTAGCTGCAACTCTTACACACATACACACACACACACATCTGTTGGGCTGCCCTACCCATATCAAATCTTTCCTATCATATTTTTTCACATCAGTACTCATTAGAGGTCACTGGCACCTGACTCCATTATCTCCCATCCCCCATTCATTAGAGTTATCAAGAGTTTGCTAAATGACACTCACAGCTACAGGATAACTATAAATCTTTTCAAACTTTTCTTTGCTTAGAGACTTTTGAAAAACATATTTATATTAAAACTGACATAAGAAAGATGTTTTAACCATATTTATAAGCATATAGAAATTTGAGTAGGTGACTAATTATCCATAAAACTGATATACCTAATAAAGAAAACCAAGTAAAAAAGAACTTTACATAGTGTTCCATATAGATTAGCCTACATTTTATAGCACCTTCCAAACCTCTAATCTTATTAAGGTTTTCTGTAGTCAAACAAGAATAATAGATTCTGCTATTAAGTGGCTCTGTGACCTGCCTAAGGCACTTAGCCTCTCCAGAATTGCCTCAGTTTACCCAAATACAAGAGGTGGACTTCAGAATCTCTAAAATTTAATCAAGCCATAAAACAGATGATATAATTCATGAGAAAGGCAGAGCTCAAGAAGGGAAGGTGTGAGATCCATCTGTAATTTGCTTGTGAATGCCTCCATATAGGAAATACACTGTATACAGCCTGCAGGGGGACTAAATCCACACCCTGGGGGAGGTTAAATAGTATGCAAAGTATTCTGAAAAGGAACACACACTCCAATAGCAGTTAGTTAGTATTTGAAAGATCCTATCAAAAGTCTCTACTGGAAAAATATCTGTTGCAAAACTTTAAATATTTCTATAGCAAGCTACACCAGAGGGTTTGTTATTAGTATAAAGGATGCTTAAAATAATTTTTGCATTGGTTAAATACAATTATCAAGACAGCTATAGGTACAATACTCTGGCAGGCCCAGTGAACTAACTTTTGGGGTAGAACCTTAGACTAGAACTCTGTTTGGTCCTAGTTTTCCCTCACTTAATACAAGGTTTCATTGGCTGATCCAACTAGAGCAGTGATTCCTGATAAGTAATGATTTTGCCCCTCAGGGGGACATTTGTCAATGTCCTAGAGATTTGGGGTTGTCACTACTGAAGAAGTGTGCTATGAGCATCCAGTAAGTAGAGGCCAGGGATGCCACTAAACATATCACAATGCAGAGAACAGCCCTCACAGAAAAGAATACCCACCTCAAAATATTACCAGGGCTGAGGTTCAGAAACCCTAAGGTAGAGTTGACAGATCTTGGCCTTCAGATTATTTGACTGTATGTGTCTAGAATGAACCTTTAATCCAAGAGGCTTGGAGGTGGAGCACTTAAAAGGACAGAGCAGAGACTTCCCTACACCTACAAAACAGGTTGGATGGCTATTTGTGGGCTTGATGGTTTATCAGGGGAACTAGACCCCAATATTTCAACGTAGGTTCTATTTTCCCTAAGTGTTGGCTGGTCTGAGAAATAAAGAGAAAGAGTACAAAGAGGAATTTTACAGCTGGGCCTCTGGGGGTAACATCACATATCAGTAGGTCCGTTATGTCCCCTAAGCTGCAAAACCAGCAAGTTTTTATTAGGGATTTTAAAAGGGGAGGGGGTATACAAACAAGGAGCAGGTCACAAAGATCACATGCTTCAAAGGGCAATAAAAATCACAAGGCAAAGGCAAAATTAGAATTACTGATGAGGGTCTATGTCCCACTGTGCACGTATTATCTTGATAAACATCTTAACAGAAAACAGGGTTTGAGAGCAGAGAACCAGTCTGACCAAAATTTATCAGGCTGGAATTTCCCAATCCTAGTAAGCCTGAGGGTACTGCAGGAGACCAGGGCATATTTCAGTCCTTATCTCAACTGCATAAGACAGACACTCCCAGAGCAGCCGTTTATAGACCTCCCCCCAGGAATGCATTCCTTCCCCCAAGGTATTCCTTGCTGGGAAAAGAATTCAGCGATATCTCTCCTATTTGCATGTCCATTTATACGCTCTCTGCAAGAATTAAAATATGGCTCTATTCTGCCCGACCCCACAGGCAGTCAGACCTTATGGTTACCTTCCTTTTTTCCCTGAAAATCGCTGTTATTCTGTTCTTTTTCAAGGTGCACTGATTTTCTTATTGTTCAAACACACATGTTTTACAATCTATTTGTACAATAATGGTCCTGAGGTGATGTACATTCTCAGCTGACAAAGATAATGGGATTAAGAAATTAAAGTAAAGACAGACATAAGAAATTATAAGAGTATTATTAGGGAAGTGATAAACATCCATGAAATCTTCACAATTTATGTTCAGAGATTGCAGTAAAGACGGGCATAAGAAATTATAATAGTATTAATTTTGGGAACTGATAAATGTCCATGAAATATTCACAATTTATGTTCTTCTGCTGCGGCTCCAGCTGGTCCCTCCATTCGAGGTCCCTGACTTCCCGCAACAATGGTTAACAAATATGAAGGTGTAGCAGAATTTAGTTTAAATCTTGATTCATTTCAACATCATCAGAGAGGGGGTTAGAGTTCCCATCCACTTCTAATTATCAGAGGCTCCAGATATTACTGAAAGAACCTGACATTTGTGAATGGCCAGATTGGCTCAGGTCAGTTCACAGAAGGAAAGGATGCAGATGGGGATGTATCGAGGATATGGTGGGGGAAGCATGAGACATTCTCAAATTTTCAAGCCACTATGACTTATTCCCACTATGTAAGATTAAAGAAGTCAGACACTCAGATTCAGGGAGGATTTCCCACATTTTTCATGTTGCTCATCTAAATCCTGAATTCCACACTGCCTAGAGATTATGAAATGCTTAATTTCTACCTACTCCCCACCCTACATGCCCTCTGCCATCACCATCCCAACATCTTAAAAGAATAAAGTATCTGCTAGTCCTCCTGGAATTATTGAGGGTTTGGGCTCAAAGAAAAGCTGAATAACATGTCAGATTTACAGTGAGCCAGACCATTAATCAATCAACAGAGGTTTCCATTAATCAATCAACAGAGGTTTCCATTAATCATCAAAAGTGATAAACATAGATAGTAGGCATGGTGCTGGTTGAGAATCTAGAGAGAAATAAATATCAAAATGCTTTACCCTCATTCTGGTACCTCCTTATCATTATTTTGACCTAGCAGTTTTAATTTGGAGTACTAGATGAAAATACTAGGTTATCTTTGAAATTTTAGCTTCTGCTTCCTCCAGAGAGAAACTCATGTATTTAAGAAATGTTGTCATTGGTTTGGGCTTGGGGCCTTTCCATGTGTGACAGACCACAGCATGCTCCTTTTAATAAAACAAAAGGACAATAACAGCAGCAGCAGCAACAAAGCCTAGAGTTCACTTCTGAGGTCAGATATTGAGCAGAGTGTTAAGGGCATGGCTTTCTTTAGGCCTAACTCTGAGGTTAGTGGAGGGTTTGCAGGACTGTGAAGCACAGCGAGAAACAAAGCTGAAATCCATTTCCAATCTGGTCTTTGGAGATAATACAACTGGGCTGGTGACAGGATAGCTTCCTATCTAGTCTGAACATTGAATAGTAATATTTTCATACATATTAAACTCTAAGATAGGTTCATATTCATTATCCCATTGTATTACTCTGCTACTCTGTAAGTGGTAAAGTCATGTGGAAGGAGATAGTCAGCTATTATTTCCATTTGACAAGTTAGTAAACTAAGATCAAGAGCTTAAATGATTTCTTACTAAAATTTACCCAGCTAGCTGGATGGGCAATCCAAGCCTGCAGCCAGGATGCTTGGCTTCCAGACCTGTTTTCTATCCACTAGAGCAGTGGTTCTCAAGGTGTCTGTGAGGTGGAGGTTGTGGGGGAGTCAGTAGCAGTAGCAGCATGGCCTGGAAACCTACTAGATTCTGGCACATTCTTATATCTTGTTAGATTCTGGCACATTTAAGAATGCACATTCTTAGATCCCACCCTAGATCTACTGACCCAGAAACTCTGGGTGTAGGGCCTTGTAATCTGTTTTAATCAGTCCTCCCTGGGATACAGATGCACCTGAAGTTTGAGAGTTATTGCCCTCAGGGGTGCTGTTTTCACTCGCTACAAATTGTTCCCATAACTTTGCATTAAAGAAACTCTTGTTAATCTCTCATTTTGTTTCCAGTGCATTTTAACTCTACAAAATTGTCATAAAGTCTCTACTTAGGAAACCTTATGACTTAAAGGACCACTCAGAATCCTTAAAATCTTTTCATTTATTAAACTTCCTGAGCTGACTTATTGCTGATTGGGTATAGAAACTTTAGCTTTTTTTTTTTTTTCACTTGCTCTATCTTGGAACTTCCTTGCCCCAGCTAGAGTTTATCTCCTTAGGAACTATGGAAAGAAAGCATATCTAAAAATACTTCTTTAAAGTTCTCTGATACCTTCAGTTTGTTAATATGATAATGTTGTACATAAATAGCTATAAAATATGCTATTAAACTTAAAAGATCTGGGAAAGAGCTTTTGAACACCCCTACCCTTCAACACACACATGCACACCCACACTTATATACAATACCAGATACAAAGAAGGTGCTAACTCAATATTTATTAAATTTATTAAAGGCCTTCTCTTAGAATCTCAGAGGAAAGCAAATGCTGTGCAGCCTGGCTGCCCAGAAGTACCTTTATTTGAAATCTTTAACAAGATCTTAAAAGAGTGATGACACTACTGTATCTAATGAAAAATGAGTATTTGATTCTAACATATTCAACATAAGAATTTCATCATATATATTCAATCTGCAATATAAATGAGAGTTTCTATATCTTAGTTATTCATTCATTTATTGTTTTATTCATTCAACCATTGTTGAGTGCCAACAATGTGCCAGCCATGCATCTAGGCACTGGGGCCAGCACGGTCAATGAGAACAACATGTGCCTGCCCTCATGGAGCTTACAGTCTATAGGAAAGACAGTCAATAAAACAAGTGATTTACAATGAAGTGTGATGAGTGTTGTCACAGGACACACTAGATACATTAGGAGCACATAGCAAAGTAACAGAATTATGTGGGGCAGAGAGATGACAAGGGTCACACATGGGGCTGGAGGCCTTAGTCCTTGGAGGTCCTATCCAAAGCAAGGCTGATAAAAACTGCATTGACCATGGGAAAGTTAAGGCCTGCATGGAGGAGGTGCTGCTGTGGTCTGGCCAATGCCAGCAGGCAGGTCACTTCCTTGGCCTTTGGGAAAGGATGGCGATGATGGAGAAGGTCAAGAAGATCACGCCAGCCGTGCCTCCGATCACCATGCCCAGGACACTGCCGTGCACCTGCACGGCCTGACAGCGCTCCCCCGTGTAGAAGAAAGCATGTCCAGAGATGCACCTGAGGGAAAAGGACATGAAGGGAGTGTGGGAACTACCCAGGCCTCAGGTGCCTCCTAGCAACACTCATCTCCACAGCAATAAAAATGGCAAACGCTCACTGAGCAGGTCCACGTGGTGCCTGGTCCCATTTCAAGAGCTGTATATGGACCAACTAATTTAACCCTGCAACAACCCTTTGAGGTGGAGGCTATTACTTGGCCATTCTCATCATCTTCATCTTACAGGAAGGTTAAATAATTTGCTCAAGGTCACATTGTTAGTAAGTGTTTCACACTTGAAATCTAATCTCAAGAGGTATGCCTCCAGATCCAGGACTCTCAGCCACCAAGGACTCAGGAGGAAGGCCTGAGACACTTAAAGGAATACATTGCCTGACACTGGCTGAGAATATAAGCTACAAAGGAAATTCCCCAGATATAGACCGACTTAGAGCATCAGTGGTAACTTAAAAACTTCTAAATAATATCAAATAAAATGTTACTATAAGGTTAGTGTACTGTCACTATCTCACGAGGTTGCCCTGAAGTTCACATGAGATAATGAGGACACTGTACTTATCAAGGTATTTAACACAGAGTAAGCACATAATGGCCAGCCCTTAGTTTTGTTTCTTAATGTTATCTGGTATAAAGATCAACTAATCTCATAACCAAGGCATATAACTTGTAGTGTCTCATCCATACCTTTGTAACAATTCCAGCCTTTGTTTCAAACATTCCTACTAGAAGGTCTACTCAGCAGAATTCTACAGAGCAGAGTGAAACAATTAGAAGTCAGCATTTTCTGGTTGGGCATGGTGGCATACGCCTGTAATACCAGCACTTTGGGAGGCCGGGTGGATCACCTGAGGTCAGGAGTTTGAGATCAGCCTGGCCAAGATGGTCTCATCTCTACTAAAAATACCAAAAAAAAAAAAAAAATAGCCAGACATGGTGGTGGGCACCTGTAATCCCAGCTACTCGGGAGGCTGAGGCAGTAGAATTGCTTGAACCCGGGGGGTGGAAGTTGCAGTGAGCTGAAATCGTGCCATTGCACTCCAGCCTGGGTGACAAGAGCAAAAACTGTCTCAAAAAAAAAAAAAATAAGAAGTCAGCATTTTCTTTTACTAATCCTGAATGATTTTACCTTCCAAGGCCTCATCTCTATCCTGAGAATTGACTTCTTAGAAATCAGTGAGTAATAGCAAGTTTATTTCATTTTTTTCTGACCCAGTCCTCTCCAAACACAACTTAGTGATATCCCCTAGTGTTACCTTAGAAAAACTTATTCTGCCAACTCTCAGCTGCAGGTTTCTAGGAGAGCAATAGTTTGGCTGAGTGGAGGCTGACATACAAGTGGCAGCCCTGGCCTCCCTTAGCCTGGGAAGGATGAAGCCTGTTGGGGACACATAATGGAATCTGGCATCTAAGGGCCTGTCAGGCAAAGATATGCAGACCTATGGCTTTGGAGCCCAGAAACAGATGGGCCTTCCCCAGTAAAAGGAACCAGAGGGCTTCTTGGAAGAGTGATTGATTCTATGGGTGGGGCAGGAAAAATTAAAGATGAGCCTAGAGCATGTTATGGTGCCAGAAAGTAACATTGTGTTCATAAAATCTGATGTTGAAAGAGCACAGGAGCCAACCTGGAAGAGCTCCCAAAGGCCAAAGCTGGGACAATAGAAGCAACAAAATAAATCATGAAATTATTGCAACAGAGCCCACTGAATAAAATTAATGTTTATGATTCCTTCGTGATGTGAATAAACAATCACATAAACAAATTAACGGGGTGAAGGTGCCATTCTTCTTTACAGGAGATTATAATTAATGAATGTGAAGGATATAGGAAATCAACATTAGAAGATCTCAGTGGTGAGTATTGCAGCAGGATGTGTCAACAGATGCTGAAATTAGTGTGTGAGGATTTGAGGAAAAGCAGAATGTCTCCATGGTCTTGGAATATCTCTCCCAATATACGTATTAATTACAGAGGGAGAAATGGTAACTCTTCAGTGGAGAGGCCTGGTGGACATGCTGTTGGCCAGATAATGAAGGTTGACATCACCAGTAATGACATGTATAGGCATCATGTACCTGTTCACACGCTGCAGCGAGAAGGCATAGCACATCTTTACTAATCTTGCCACAAATGTGAAACTTCAATCTAATCATGTAAGAACAAGATGAACCAAAAAAAAAAAAAAAATCCCTGACCAGTAATCTTCGAAAGTGTCAAGGTAATGAAGGACAAGAAAGAACTGAGGAATTGTCCCAAATTGGAGGGGATTAGGAGACAGGAGACATAAAAGCTAAATGTAATGTGAGATCCAGAATTGGATCCTGAAATAGAAAAAGAACATTAGTGGGAAAACTGGGAAGAGCTGAATAAGGCCTGTAATTTATTTACTAGCATTGTACCAATGTTCATTTCTTGGCTATGCTAATTGTACTATGGTTTGTGTAATATGCTAACATTAGGGAAAGCTGGGTGAATGGTATAGAGAAAACCTCTGTAGTATTTTTGCATTGTATCTGTAAGTCTAAAATTATTTCAAAATAAAAGCTACAAAAAGAGAAAAAAAAGGAGACTAAAAAGAACTCAGAAGAAATGTAAATTTTTGAGGCAGGCAGAATAGCTTCTACATCTGCTACTGTTCAAATGGAACTGTTGCTTCTGTCATCACATACCTCCTTTTGTGAAACAGTTTTTAGGGTTTTATGCAAGCAAACATTATAAAAAGAACTATAAAATATAGCAAACTGTGCTGCCAGACAGACCTAGATGCAAGTCCCAGCTTCAGCATTTTCCATCTGGGTACATTTTAGATAAATTACTTAATCTTTCTAAGCTTCAACTTCTTGACACACTAAACGGGGATAAGGAGAGCCCTTATGTCACAGGTGGCAGTGAGAATGAATTTAGATCATGCGTGTAAGATGCTCAGGAGACTACATGATGCATAACAAGGGGTCAGAAATATCAGGTGTTCTTACTACTATTATTGAAAATATAACTGTAATAATAGTACAGTGTAAATGACAGACTATAGAACTAATAATAATTAGGAACTAATAACATCTGTAGTCAGCAAAGATTTAAGCTTGGTCTTGAGACCCACCCTCATGGAGTAGAAAGTCCCTAGGCTAGAAGCCATCTTGGGTGTTGTTAGAGTTAGAAATTCCAACAACATCCAAGATGCTGTTGACAATACCCCAGAAGAGGGGAAAAGGGGTGAAAGTCAAGAGACAAGGTGACCTGGGAAGCCTCTGTCCTGGCAGCATAAGCCCATGAATCCAGGGCACACCTTTGTAGAGTCAAAGAAAACCGCATTCAGTTGACCATCTGAGGTAGTCTTCGCCCTACTCTGCAAACAGCAGCCTTTACCAGGAGCAAGCATGCACACGGCCCAGGTCTGCTGGCCTGCCTGTCTCCCCAGCCACAGAGCCTACCTGCAGCTCGCCATCCCCTTCACGTTCACACAGATGCCGTCATTTTGGCAAGGGTTTGGGTCACATGGGTCTCTGAAGTACTGTGGCCAGTTATGGTCCTCCAGGGGGCCTGTGTTCTCCACCGACCGCTTCTGTCGGCTGGGCTGCCCCTGGCTCAGGCTGACAGGTAGGGCTTCCTCTAACATGGCCTTTCCCGAACCTTCTTCGGAGACCTGCTGCTCCTGGCCTTGGAGAATGAGGCCTTGGGGGCTCAGTCTTTTGCCTTTAGTGGGAACTTCAGTCTGGCTGAGGTGGGTGATATCTTCAGGAAATAGAGAGTCATGAGGAAGATCCAGGATTAGTAACTGACTACAATTAACTCCCACTTCTGGTGAAAGTTCCCCAGCCTGCTTCTATCTCCCATCACCCCTAGTGACATGGAAAAGTGGCTTTGAATCCAGCTGATTCCCACAGTATTAGCTACTTTTATTTTAAAGTAATCCAGTCACATTTTTATTTATTGAATTTGCAAAATGAAGCATAAAATTAGCATGGATAGGCTGATGGAAACTAAATTGAAATCAGTGAACGGTTACCTCTGATAAAATTATCAAAAAGATGACACTAAAATTTCAGTTTCTTTCAAGGACAATTAAAATAAAGATGTGAGTCCTTGACCAATTGAATAAAATGTGATTCTCCTACAACACATTGTTTTAACCTCATCCCCACCCTCCGTGTGTGCTTTAAAAATCAGGATAAAATCAGTAGAGTGCCAAGAGCATAGGATTATTTACTCAGGAAGACCAACAAAAGTACCTTCAAAGTCCACAAATATGATGAGGTCATCATTTTTCAGGAAACTCCTCCTTTTCAGCATTTGGTGGGAAATGAAACCACTCCAGCCCAAGTCGATGCTTCTAAAACAATTACAGTCCGTATGATAGGTTCCCACCCTGGACGGCCTGTCCCAGATGACAGTGTCATTTATCGCTGCAAAGTTGTAGGTAACATAAAATCACATTACCTCTTTAGACTTCACTTTCCAGTTTGTCTTTAATGAGGATACAGGGCTTTGTGAATCAGAAATAAATAAATAAATAAATAAATAAATAAATAAATAAATAAATAAATATAAAAATAAAAAAAGTGTTGGAAAAAAATTAGGCTATTTACTATTTCCAGGAGAATTGCAATTCAGAATTGAAAGATGGGAGAGGCAGAGAATCACAGCTCTGAGTGATCAGTTGTCTGCTACTGAGCGACTTTCTTAATGAAAAGAGAGGGACAGCTACGGCTTCTTTCTTCTAAGGCTTAAGTCTTCTCTTTTGAAAAAAAAAAAAATTAGTGCCAGGCGTGGTGGCTCACGCCTGTAATCCTAGCACTTTGGGAGGCCAAAGCGGGTGGATTGCCTGAGCTCAGGAGTTCAAGACCAGCCTGGGCAACACGGTGAAACCCCATCTCTACTCGGGAGTCTGAGACAGAAGAATTGTTTGAACCTGGGAGGTGGAGGTTGCAGTGAGCCGAGAATGCGCCATTACATTGCAGCCTGGGCGACAGAGGGAGACTCCATCTCAAAAAAAAAAAAAAAATAGTTTGCCCATTTCTTTACTGATGTAAGTTTACTTCATGAACATAGTAACATTGAGTACTATTTTAGGAGTAAGTACATTAGCTCTGCACAGAGCCCAGCAAGTTCCAAGTATTTGATAAATGATTAGCAGTATCTATTTCCTCAATCACAACGAGCTCAGTGAGGCAGGGATCACCTGATTCACTTGTATTCTAAGTACCTAGCACCGACTTTGGCACATGGTAAGCCCTCAATAGATGTTTGATGAGTGAATTTAGGAAAGGGAAGGAGGATGTGATGGCATTGAAAATCTTGACTTGAAACTCCAACAAGACTATGTTATTGGTATTCCCAAACAGACAATGTGAGGAGAACGTTACTCTTTCTTGCACCACAGAATCACATCTGTGGGCCTCTCTGGTTCAAGGGGCAGTTCTTATTTGCGCTGACACCACCCACCTGGAGATGTGTGCGACTTCGAGGTAGTGAACACCATGCTTGAGGACATCCTGTTCCGGACATCAGGCTCCTGGTCAAGGATGGTAATTATCACCTGTCTGTTTTCTACCGGCCACTCCAGGATAGCATCGTTCTCCCCACTGCACACATGAAAAGCAAGTCTCAAGTAACCAGAGCTTTCTCTGCTATTTGGGTATAAAGTTACCCCAAAACCATATCCCTCCGAATTGTAGAATCGAGGGCTCTGAAGCTTGTCCCCTTTGCTGGTGTTCTCAAGGACTTGGGAGAAATTCCGGACTGTCCAGACCCCTGTGGGGCAGGGGGTTTCTGTCAGAGTGATGTCATCTAGGTAAATTCCCCCAGTTGAGTTCTGAGGGTCGCCTTTTGTGCCCTGGAAAAGGTAGCGAAACTTCTGTTCCTCTTTGAGCACCACATGGGCAATTTTCCAATTGTGGTCATCATCTCCTGAGGACAGAGAACAAGGCTGGTGAGAACTGTGACCAACACTTAATGAGTACTTATTATGAGTTTGGCACAGTGCCATGTGCTTTCCATAAATTATCTCATTAAATCCTCACAACAGCCCTATAAAATAGGTACTGTTATAAACTGGTTAAGTAACTTTTCCAAAGTTACATACCTAATAAGGAAAAATTGTTTTTTAAAATACTATGATTTATTTTAAAATTCACATTCAAATCTTAACCGTGAATTTGTTTTCCACTATAAGAATCCAGGTTCTGGATTTCCTCCTGAGTTGGCTGGTTCAACTGTAACCCCTAAGGTTAGCAAAGAAAACCCAAGTGTTAGGCTGAATCATATAAAATAGCCATTTTCTAAGCCAAAAGTAAAAAAAATAGTAACTCCATATGGTCCGACCTGTCACTTGTTGCCAGAGAGCTATAAGGAATGCTGAAGAGCAGATAATAACCTGTAGGACTGACTGGATCTTCCCTACCTAAAACTGACTCCCTCTCCAACATCTAGACTTTTTTCTCTTCCTTATATTATCTGAAAGTCCACCATGTAGGGGAGCAAAGTAAGCCAAATAGAGTACTATTGTCTGGAAATGCACGTTCTAATAAAGATTAGGTCTACTTGCTTTTTCTCTGAGCATGAACTAGAAGTGGGACTTTCGAATTAAGAGCTGAGGAAAGATGGTGAGAAGGCCGTTCTAGAACATAGGATCCTGGGTTGAACAGTATAAGAAGCCAGACAGGAG
The DNA here is from genome assembly GCF_000001405.40 of Homo sapiens. NCBI lineage: Eukaryota > Metazoa > Chordata > Mammalia > Primates > Hominidae > Homo > Homo sapiens. Next base: position 46,832,316 of record NC_000006.12, on the reverse strand, counting down.
CTTGGGGGTACTGGAGAGAGGAAACTGCGAAAGCAAAGCAACTCAATTCCGCAAAGAGATGTGCCTACACTGATATTTTTGCACAGGGTATTCCCTAGAGTTGGGCTTGAAGAGGAGAGGAAAAATGCTTCCAAGTGGAAGTCATGTTGGCTAAACTGAGTTCCTACAGATGAGTGTCTTTTTTCCTTCTTCTGTGTCTTTTAACCAGATATCTACTTATAGAACTATACTTTCCCTGAAAAGGAAAAGACCTTTAATCTCCCTTGTGTTTTCAGGCCATTCTCTCTAAGTACAACTTCAAGGGACAGGTCTAACAATGTTCTGTTTCTTAGGGTGGAGCTGATTATGGCCTGTGTGGTTAGGTTACATGGGAACACAGGAGAGAGGTAGGTTACATGGGAACACAGGAGAGAGGTAGAGAAGGCACACGACCACCTCTGTAACATACAAATCTAGGCAGCTGCCCTCTCCTGCGGAGAGCATGGCAGCCTAGTGGAAGACACATGGACTTGAAGGGTAATAGGTGCCAGAAAGTCTAGGAATAGGAACAGAGATATAGGATTTGAACTATTTATCCAGCAGGTTATAGATCATGGGAATTCTGTCAAGAGAATAGGATTCTGTTCTTGCTGATTAGTACCTGCTTTGTTTTTTCTTAATATAGGATGTCAAAATGAGGTTGAGATGGGGGAATCTGGCACTGGGAAGGAGACCCAAGAGGCTATACCACATAGGCAGAAATTCATCTATGAAATTATTAAGATGGTTTCGTTTACATGCTTCCACAGGGCTGCCCTAAATCAGTCAGGCAATAATGCTACTACGATTGTTTGAGACAAATTTAATCCCTGTTAGTTCAGAATTGTCTTCTATAAGGAAGTCCTGGCCTCAGTAAAAACGTGTGTGTGTGCATGTGTGTGTACATACACATAGTTGTATGCCAACATTTTTCATGTAAGTTTGTATATAAGCATTATGTATGTAACATATATTATATACAGATATGCATATGGAGACATTTTGTGTGTAAGTGTTTTGGTCAAAATATACATTTTGCAAAACTTAAAAGCTATTCAAATTGGTTGCGACTGTCTTAAGTTGAATATCACATAAACAACACTAAGTGATATTCAACTAACCTTTTTGAAAAGTTTCATTGACAAACCAGTATCAGAACAGACTACTTAAAAAAACCTTTCATACAGTGTTCCCAGGGAACGTACACAGGCATACTCTGAATTCAATGAAACACAAAGCACAGCAGTGTAAGAAACTAAATTAAGCATAGGATGTTTGCTTGATTGATTTTATGCTTAGAAGTAACGCTTTTAGCTTTAGATGAAAGTGAGTGATAATAGGTCCCATCAATATTATTGAAACTCTAACTCATTTTCTCATTAAATATTTACAATCCTTGGTAACATAACACATCCTCAACTCTTAAAGAGTATCTAGCTGTCATCCTTTTATCATATAAACTATAATAAATTTCAACCAGAAAAGTGAACCCCTCAAAACTGTGATTTGTAGAGTTCCCAGGCAGCCCACAGAGTGGCTTGGATATAGGCGATTTGGGCACCTGTTCTTACAAGTGACCTCTAAGGAAGGTTTCTTCTTCAAGAGCAGCAGATATATAAAAAATAATTCCTTTCCCTGGACTCATTTCAATTGATAAATTAAATGCTAAGGTAGGCAGTTGGATGCTAGGATAATCTGGCCATAAATCAAGATCCAGGGTTATAAACAAAGTATTTGCTTTCTTTTGTTATGGTGGTGGTTCATTCATAACTAGGAAAAGGGAGACAGGCTTTCTTACTTTTCAACAAAAATTTCTCCATCTATAATCATTTACATGCTGACCTTCTTATATAAATATACAAAGTGACACTTAGGAACATGTTAGTGATTATAGGAAGTTAACATATACCAATGACTTATTTGCCACCAACTTCACAAGTAGGCTTCAAGTTACTTCAGCATATTAAATAATGGTATCATTTGTTTTTCTGAAACAGATGCAAAACACTTTGGTCAATTTTTTTTTTTTTTTTTTTTTTTTTTTTTTTTTTAGATGGAGTCTTGCTCTGTCACCAGCCTGGAGTGCAGTGGTGCAATCTTGGCTCACTGCAACCTCCGCCTCCCGGGTTCCAGCAATTCTCCTGCCTCAACCTCTCAAGTAGCTGGGACTACATGCGCGCGCGCCACCATGCCCAGCTAATTTTTGCATTTTTAGTAGAGACGGGGTTTCACCATGCTGGCCAGGATGATCTCAATCTCCTGACCTTGTGATCCACAAGGCCGCCTCGGCCTCCCAAAGTGCTGGGATTCCAGGCGTGAGCTGGTCAACTATTTAACTACTCTCTCTCCCGCAGCATCAATTCGCACAGGTCTTTTACCTTCTTATCTCCACTCCTGAACCATCCATTTTCTCAGTCTTGGCCTTTGCTTTCTCTAAATTTCCAGTGAAAACTGGATTTGTATATTCTGATTGGCTTCTTACAAAAGTATATTTCATCCCTACCTAAGCCCAAGATACTGCTTCTAATTTCTCAGTGGTTAAAACATTCATAGAGTAATTAAAACATGCCATATATTATGATAGGCTCTGAGAAGAGAAGAAAGTGGGTGGAGGAAAAGGAGGAGGAGAGAGAAGAAGGAGGAGTAGGAGGAAAGAGGGAAGGAGGAGAAGAAGCAGGATCCCGGATTTTAACCCAATCCATTCCTCGTGTGAATGCCTCTAAGTACCTTGAAAAGTCTGCACCTTCACCAACTTGCGAACATTGCCTGTGCTGTCATCCCTCCTGACCCAGACAACGAGTCTGTCTGAAGGACTTCCCGTCATTTTATAGAAAAATTGCAGGCACTGCTGCTTCCTCTTTGGGTAAAGAATCCGAGACTCCAGTAGGGCTGCCTCTTCCGCGGACCCCGAGCTGGTGCTGAACTGCATGAAGTAGCCGGCACCTATGGAAAGAGCAGCCAAACATCACACGTCTGGCTTCCCACACCCCAGGGTTCTGTCCACCCAAACAAAGTGAAATAGTGAACCACAGCCATTGTCCAGGCAACAAAAACTAGAACTCTTCGGAGGAAAATAAAAAGAAGGACATTTGTCAGTAAATATTCTCTGTCTCAATGGACTTAGTCACTGGCTAAAGCTTGCTCTCCACTGTTGTGTTTGATTGCCTTTGTTCCAAGATTGTGAAATATATACCTTTGACTTAAAGAAACACAGGCTTCAAGCAATGTTTGATGGAATTTTGTGTCTGTGAGATGAATTCTATTTTTCTCATTGACTTCATTCTTTAAATTAGAGATTCATTCCAAGGAAAAGAGTTGGGTTGGTCTGGTTGTTGTATAAGACACTGGAATTCAAAGATTTAGGATTTGGTTTTAAACATTGACAATAAGGGTTCAATTTCCCCTGTTGCTAGCCTAATAACTGGGTGTATTATCAGTGGCAAAAAAGTAATCTTTACTATATTATAAGAAGGGCTATTCAGGACACATTAGAGACTAAATGGAAATTTCCCCTGAATGTAAAGGAAGGAATTGGAAGGACACTGAAGAGGGTGAAAAGTGTCTACATTAGTGCCAGAGATAGGGTTTACCTGACTCAGATATCTCAAAACTCTTTCCCCTAAAAACAGTCAAGCAGCCAAACAAATGTACCGTTTGGTAAACCACACACTTGTCAAAGTCAAGCACAATGAAAAATTCTTGCATATGAAGAGGTTCTTTATACTGTGTTCCAACACTCAACTCCATATCAAAATGCTTCCATCAAAACATTTCACAAGATAAAAATAAAGTGAGTGTACAGTATAGTGCTGGATACTCCAGCGTTGCTCCGTGATGCTCCCAGCTTCATCCTGCCTCACACTGAGGCACGTGCCTTTCATATCAGCAGCAAGCAATGATGGTTTAAATAAGCTTCCCACCAAGCTTAAAATATCAAACGACTTTAATATTAAATCAGGGCAAATTATATTCCCTTGTATCTTCTTCTCAATATTTGAACTTGCCTGAGACCTCTGAATTATAATTATATATTGAATGCCTGGGTTAGAAAAAAAAAAAAAACAGCGCACAAGGCTATAAAGGTTTCTAGGTAATTCTTACTCAGGAATTCTTGCCCAGGTGTATTATGAAGCATGAATTGAGAGTCAAATAATTCAAGCCCAGAACTCAGGAGGCCTGAATTATCCCCAGCTCTCCCTAGGTGTTTATTTCCGTGGGTTTTGAATGGGAGGGATCCTCCCAATGGATCCTTCAAGCTCTTTGTGTCTACGCATCCACCTGTAACTATGCAAGAGCTCTCTAGCAGAGGGACATGTTCCATTAAATACCTCTTGTGAAAGAAGCATAATAGCTGCTCAAGTTAACCTGATACAGCTTTTCCAGATCTTTCTTCTGGGCTGTGGTCCTTTTCTCTTACTAGAACATTTTTTCAGCAGATTCCGCTCACAATAAAGATCACCTTTGTGTTTAGCTGGCAATTGTACATTAGCCTAACAGCAAGCCCACAGACTAGGTTGGATTAGAGGCTACAACAGAAATTTAGAGAGCACTTCAGGCTTGGATCAACCTTTGGACACTTGGGATGATATGTTTGATAATCTGATCTGTGACAGAAGCTTTTACCCTCTTCCAAAGATGGAGGAAAAGTGTCAGTGGCTTATCACCTCTGACATTCCCTGTGGTGGCCTGGTATCTGGGTGACAGGCTGTGTTCCTTCTGGGAAGGGAATCTCACCAACTCTCAGACAGTTACGGACTAAGTGACTTTGCAATAGTCTAGTCTTTGAAAAGCTATAATAATCTGTAACCTCACCTGTTTCCAAATAGGGTTAAGATGATTTCAATGGCAGGCACAGAATACTAGAAGGCTAAAATAGAAAAACAAAATAAACGGAACCTCTGGAGAGAAAGGGAAGATGGAAAAATGGGGAGTGAAGCTGCTGGTCTGCAGGTGGGGGCTTTGTATGCATTATCTTCTTCCATTGTCATTGTGAAGTAGACATCAATATCTTGATGTTTACAGAGGCTTGCAAAAGCCAAGACTTTTAGAAAAAGCACACACATGACAACAACTTCCTGTGGTCACAATTAGTAAGTGGTGAAGCTATATTTCAAACCAGGTCTGTCTTTTTCACTACACCATATATAGGAAGTATCTGAAGCTATGCTATCCAATACAGTGGCTACCAAACCTATGTGGCTATTGAGTGCTTGAATTGTGGCCAGTGCAAACTGAGATGTACTGTAGGAGTAAAATATGTGTCAAGTTTAAAATACTTAGCCTGAAAAATGTGAAGCATCTCATAATAACTTTTATTTTGATTACATGTTGAAATGCTACTATTTGGATATATTGAGTTAAAAAATACATTATTACAATTAATTTCACGGTTTTCTTTTACTTTTTCATGAGGTATTAAAAGTCCCATGTGTTATCCATTGTGCCACAGAGCCAGATTCATGTGGACACTAGAAAATTCTACATTACATATGTGACTCACATTATATTTCTGTAGGAGGGTGTGGTTCTAGAGACATTGCCTTTATTTATGAGGTTTTATCTTATCAATCATATACTAATATCAGTTTTGCTTAAATGCATCTTTCTTTTGTGTGCCCAGAGACTGGATGCTTTTTACTGAGTTAATAATGAAGATATAAGAAATGTTTTTTGTCCTTGTTCAGATTTTCAAGTTTGATAACTAACATTCTGACTGAGGCAAAACATGGTGGCTGGCATAACCTAATTGAACCTGGTGAACCACATCAATGTGTTTGCTTTCCACTTTCACTGACCTGTGCATTGTCCCAACAAGGTGTGATCCACTTCTCCAGCCTGAGCACTGTCCTGATGGGCCCAGTCAGTGTCATCTCTGGTGCCCTGAATCATTCCACAGATGTTTGCCTTCTCAAAAGTACAGTGGTCCAAAAGAGTGTGAGTTGTGGCTGCAAATTATATTTTTATCATCTGGTTAAAAATGAAAGATAGTCATTCCAAATAGCTAATGTCTTAAGCCACTAAAACCTCATTGTTCAGATATGACAGGATCACAAGCTTGTTATCTTGACTTTTTCTCAAATGCAAATCTTACTGTCATCAGATCTTAGTACTTGCTAATATATAGACACAGCCCTACCTACCTCACAGAGTCAAGATAAAAAAAACTATAATCATTCTCTGCCATGTAAATACCAACCATAAACTCCTTTAGATCAAGAACAAGATACCTATAATATTTGGCTTTGTACTTAGTAGGTCTTTTGTACATACTTATTGAACAGAATCAAACATTTTATCTCTAAAGGCTAGGGGGATCATCTTTAGAAAACACCCTGCCCCAGAGGATTAGATTACTCTAGGAATAACTAACGTAAGTAAAGAATTTTACAGGATACAAAATGCTTTCAAGTCCATCACCTATTTTGACCTTTACGTAATAATGCACCCTCCAAAAGAAGCAAAAGAAGCTAGACAATAACATCTCCTTACGTTTGTCCAGTACTTTGACTTTATAAAACATAACTACATAATTGGTTTTTATAACCATCCTGTAAGGTTGCTGTTATAGTTTTGTTTGTTTTTTGTTTTTAACTACTCAACTCTGCCATTGAAGCGCAAAAACAGCCATAGACAATACTTAAACAAATGGGTCTAGAGGTAGACCAACAAAAGTTACGCAGTTTGTTCTTATTCTTTTAGCTAGTACATTAAAGAAGAGTAAAGGAAAATGTAAAGGAAATCTCTAAGGCTGATGGAATCTCTGCTGAGGCTAGTTTACCAAGTTCTCAGAAACTGAGATACTCACTGCAATTGTACATTCGGTTCAGCCTCTCTAAATCAATGGCACTGAAATCCAGGCGCTGTCCGATAATGGAGTTAAACTCAGGGATCTTGGCTGTGATGGTGGGAACACTTGCATTCTTGTTAAATGAGAAAGGCTGGTAGTGCATCAAAGACTCATAATCATAGGGTGTATTGAGGTCTGTGATTAAGCTATCATCATAGGTGTCAAAGTTGTGCTGGTAACCTGTTAGGGAGAGAATCCACAGGTCCTTCTCAGTCATGTTATTTTCCCCATGCTACTCTTTGACTAGATACCCAGAGACCCTCCAAAAAAGGGAAATAGTTCTATTTAAATATATATATTAAATAGATTTATTTAAATACATAATTTATAAATATTTAAATAGATTTATTTAAATACATAATTTATAAATATTTAAATAGATTTATTTAAATACATAATTTATAAATATTTAAATAGATCTATTTAAATATATAATTTATATATACTTAAATAGATCTATTTAAATATATAATTTATATATATTTAAATAGATCTATTTAAATATATAATTTATATATATTTAAATAGATCTATTTAAATATATAATTTATATATATAATTTATATATATTTAAATAGATCTATTTAAATATATAATTTATATATATAATTTATATATATTTAAATACATCTAATTAAATACATCATTTATATATATTTAAATACATCTATTTAAATACATAATTTATATATATTTAAATACATCTATTTAAATACATAATTTATATATATTTAAATACATCTATTTAAATACATAATTTATATATATTTAAATACATCTATTTAAATACATTATATAAATTTAAATACATTTATTTAAATATATAATTTATATATATTTAAATACATCTATTTAATATATATAATTTATATATTTAAATACATCTATTTAATATATAATTTATATATTAAATAGATGATAATTTATATATATTTAAATAGATTTATTTAAATAGATTTATTTAAATATAAATTATATTTTATAAGCAATATAATGTAAAATTACTATGAATCATTATTAATATTAGTTAATATATTAATATACAATAACATATATAATATTGTAATAACTATAAAATACATATTGTAAATTTAAATAAATATTAGAAATGACTAAATACATGTACATGTTTACACCAAAGATACATTATAAATATATATAAATACGTGTGTATCTGGGTGTGTGTGTACGTGTGTGTAAGACTTTCAGAAAGAGAAGGTAAAATAGCAAAGCTGAGGAAGGTATTCCAAATGACAGGAAAAATAATTTTTGAATTCAGGAAAATGTTCACAATCAATTATGTTCAAGACACATCGTTCTAACAGCCAAGTACCTCATACACTGAGTCTGCCCAGAGCTGTACCTGGCCTACTCTTCATGGGTTAGGAGAAGGAAATCTGAGGGGCAGAGGGAAAGGTAAGCAGCTGAAAGCAAGACAGGGGATCCTGCCAATCAAGGCTCACATCCTTCTGTTTCAGAAATAGCCTCATGGAGAACAAAAATAAAATAGGAAGAAGAAAACTTATTTTCCTATCAAAAGAGGAAAGGTAAATATTTTTCTGAGATTAGTGAAAGTGAGATAAGATGTGCTGCAATGTAAAAAGCTGAACAAAATAACTGATCAGAGGGTCTTTGAATTGACTAATAACCATCGGGAATTTACTGTTTGGGCTGCATTAATGGAAAGGTTTGCAGATTTTTTTGATTTTCTTCTTGTGGAGTGATAGGAAAACTGAATGCAAATGCAGCTAACTCTTCCAGTCATAACTTCCCATCCTCGTATTCTCCTTCTCTAGCTCCTTGTCCAGTCACTTTTTGTTTGTTTACTTGTTTAGTTTTGAGACGGAGTTTTTGCTCTGTTGCCCAGGCTGGTGTGCAATGGCAAGATCTCAGCTCACTGCAACCTCTGCCTCCTGGGTTCAAACAATTCTCCTGCCTCAGCCTCCTGAGTAGCTGGGATTACAGGCACGTGGCACCACGCCTGGCTAATTGTTTAATTTTTAGTAGAGATGAGGTTTCACCACATTGGCCAGGCTGGTCTCAAACCCCTGACCTCAGGTGATCTGCCTGCATCGGCCTCTCAAAGTGCTGGGATTATAGGCATGAGCCACCGTGCCTGGCCTCATCCAGTTACTTTGAACAATTAGAGAGAAGAAAATGTAACTGCCTCATACAGAGCTATATGCAGGACTGCAGAAGTGTGGTGTGGCCAGGCGATGCTCCAGCAGGTGCCTGAGGGAGTCTCTGAATGCTTTTGGAAAAGCTAAGGAGCAAGACCATGTTTGAGCAATATCTTGCTTTAACTGTAAAATCTGAATACTGATGTTTCATTCTCCCAAATCATGGGGATTATATTGGGGATTACTTGAGAGGGATCAAAGCATTTTTGAAGGTGGGACAAGTCTAAAAGAAACAATGGCTCTAACAGGGAAGGGGAAAGTTAATCCCTCCAGAGTACTTGGTCCTAGGATGTCATTTGAGGTAATGGAATTTTAAAGAGCATAAGAGTCTACAATCTCTTGGTAACTCTCAGTGGCACCTGAAGCAAAGCACTTTCAACTCACTGGATGTGCTTTACTTAATTTTCCATAAAACCATCTGATTAGAGGCTGGGCACGGTGGTTCACACCTGTAATCCCAGCACTTTGGGAGGCTGAGGCAGGTGAATCACTTGAGGCCAGGAGTTCGAGACCAGCCTGGTCCACATGGTGAAACCCCATCTCTACTAAAAAATACAAAAATTAGCTGGGCATGGTGGTGGACGCCAGTCATCCCAGCTATTCAGGAGGCTGAGGCATGAGAATCGCTTGAACCCAGGAGGTGGAGGTTGTAGTGAGCTGAGATTGCACCGTTGCACTCCAGCCTGGAAGACAGAGCAAGGCTCTGTCTCAAAACAAAAACAAAAATCCCATCAGGTTAGAATAGATTATTTTAATCTGTGTTACTCATGGATTCTTATGAGAATACTTAACAAACATATATTTTGAATAATATTTGAAAATGTATTCAACATGTTTTTGTTGGGCCTAGTGTCTACTAAGAGCTGTGCTAGGTTGGTAGTGCCCCCAACAGTGAATAGGATAGGGACTCACAGCTGAGACTTGAAAAGGGGCTGTAATCCAGGGCATGCGATCCTGTAAACCAGGGATCAGTCAGCAAACCTGTTCTAGAGTAGATAGAAAATATGTTCTCTGTTGTAACTACTCAACTCTGCCATTGTAGCACGAAAACAGCCATATACAATACTTAAACAAATGGTTATGATTGTGTTTCCATAAAGCTTTATTTACAAAAGCAAGTAGATATGGCCCATGGACTATAGTTTGTCAACCCCTGCTAGACCTCAAAAGTTGAGTTTTTTCCCTAGCATAAGGAAAGAAATTTCAAAAACACAATTCTGATTCAAGAAATGGAGATGGACATTGGGAGAGAATTACATTGCCAGTACAGTGTCTTCTTAAGTTAAACAGAAAGCTTGTTATTGACCAAAGTTAAATCAATAAAACTCACAAATTACCCTGATAAAAAATACTGCCTATGTTGATAATCTTATTGGATTTGATGTCTCTTTTGAGAACAGTTCTCCCGTGGTTGCAGGCAATTTAGATATACGGAATTGTACCTGATGAAAACACAGATAGGAGATGAGCAAATATGTGTTGAGCAACCCGTGCTCAAACCAGAGCTGAGCAAGTCTGCACTTGACCCTGGCAAATGTCCCTCACTCCGATAAAGGGAACCTCATTTGGCCTAAAACCATTTTAAAAGCATTAAGTATTGTATTCTATAAGACTTGGAAATAGAAATGTTTTCTGCTTCCTTACAACATTTTCATCAAAGCCCAGTATATGTACAGGAAGGTAAGAAATTGAGGCTTACAGGCAAATATAGACAAAGTCTAATAGTCCCCTGAGTAGTGCAATCAGAGATTCAGTCCTTTGACCTATTACTCCATTTCCTTCTTCCTTCTACACACACACACAGTTATAACACAATTACTACTGAGAGATAGGTACATGAAGTCTGAGTTATTATTTCATCTCTGGGTGAATATGCTCCAAAACTTTTCTGGATTGGACTGGGAGGCAAAGAAGAGTGCTATCTGGCCTCTGGTTCAGTGGGTGGTGGTAAGATGGTCGGAGTATGTGGTTAGGCTCAAAGCTGGTGACCTATTAGACTATTATAAGTTACAGTTTTCTTCCTTACTACACCAATCCACATTCATAGAATTACCAGAATATAAGAGACTGAGAAGGCACAGGATGAGAAACCTCACAGGTGATTTTGATTAGCCCTCTCTACCCTCATCTCATGTGAAAATCATTGACCATCTTACTCCAAAATGAACTACTACAGTCCTGGCAGAAAACTTTTGAGGATTCATATTTAATTATAAAGCTTGGTCAGTTCTTCCAAGCCCCCAAAAGTAAAATTATTATAGATGCACTGCAATATATGAATCCGCATATAAAATTGGGATCTAAATAAAACAGATACCTACACAAGGCTATTATTTGTTTTATAAAAGCCATGCCGGAAACAGTTAAGGCATTTTAAATATATTAAAGTTTCATTAATCTCTTACTGCCAAAAACAATGTTTTTGCATTCTCTTCACTAATTCCTTCTTAAAAACTAGGTATCTTCAGAAACACAGCATTGACTTTTTTTTTTTCTACCACATCAGGAAGCTGCTCAATAAATGTTTTAGTGTACTCAAAAGCACTCTACTTCATTGTCTCAAACAATTAAGGAAAGTAAGGGCCGGACACGGTGGTGGCTCATGCCTGTAATCCCAGCACTTTGGGAGGCCAAGGCAGGCCGATCACCTGAGGTCAGGAGTTCAAGACCAGCCTAACCAACATGATGAAATCCCATCTCTACTTAAAAAATACAGAATTAGCCAGGCATGGTGACACACACCTATAATCCCATCTGCCTCCCTGAGGCAGGAGAATCGCTTGAACTCAGGAGGCAGAGGTTGCAGTGAGCTGAGATCGCACCATTGCACTCCAGCCTGGGCCACAAGAGCAAAACTCTGTCTCAAAACAAAACAAAACAACCTAAAGAACAATGAAATAGTTAAAATAATACAACGGAATAATACGTAAGACAAAACTGTTGTATTTTGCATTGTATGAGGTGGAGGCAGAAGAAGCAAGGTGCTTAGAAACAAGGAAGAAAAAAACATTCACCTTTGATTAATCAGAACCCAGATAACTAGCTAGAATTAACATAATTGGGGTGTTATTTCAGATAAAAGCATTTATTTTTGTTTTTGTTTTTAAACATTTTTTATTGATTTGGTAAAGCAACTGGAAAAAATACTTCTTGAGTATGCCCTATAGTCATGGAATAATCAACTAAACCTCAAACAGCCTTCTAGAGGCACAGGAGATTTCACATCCAGAGAAATGACTTTAAAATCTGGATTCACTTTCCTCAGTAAGACAGGAAAGTAGAGTTTTAGATAGAGTTTTAATGAAAACACTGATATAAAGCAAAGCTTCTGGTTAACTTTCAGTTGACCCCCACAGTGAGTTAACACCATTCCTTGAGGCCCTTATCTGCGATGAATTCCGGTCAGACCAGCACAGCCCACATAAAGGGCCAACAAATCATAACCTCTTCAGAGTCTTTCTTCCCACTAGAGAGGCTGAAGCTCCTGTCCACACAGATTTGGCTTGGTCATCTCAGGATTGGTCTCAGCCAGTGATAAATGTGATAGCAATCTCCGCCCAATCACACCTGAAAGAATTTGGTCCCACCAGATGTTCACATAATCATCCCGGTCCGTCCTTGACTGCTCGTGGTAAAATCCCAAAGCATGCAGGATCTCGTGTTCTATGATGGCCTTATAGGCACATCCTTGGCCAATGGAAATGTTCTGTCCCACATGTTGGTCACCAACCTCAGACCAGCACCTTTAAAGAGGAGAAGAGGAAAAATTTCTTCTAGAGAATTTTTAAGTGGCTGTCATTCACAGTACTCCAAAACACAAATTAGGAGGAAATTAGGCTTGATTTTAGAAAGAAATTACCAACAGCATTCTCATATGCTAATGGTCCAAAGATGGGGACTGCTTAAAGAAGGAGCATTCCCTAGAGGGAATACTGTGCAGGCTTTAAAAGTGAAGATATAATACATTATAAAAGTGGCACATACTCAGAAGCAAATCAATCCTATTATAACAATTCGTCAAGGTAGAAAGCAATAAACATTGGCATTCCTTCTCACCTCCACAAACCCACAGGGCACTCCAAAGAATAACACTGTTGCCTTTATCTAAAAAATTGTTGTCTGAGGGAAAGCTGTGGTTGATTTAATTTTTTTGAGATTGGGGGTCTCACTTTATCACTCAGGTTGCTGTGCAGTGCCACAATCACAGCTCACAGCAGCCTCAGCCTCCTCTACTCAGGTGATCTTCCCACCTCAGCCTCCTGAGAGGCTGGGACTTGGAACCACAGGCAGATAATGTTTTTATTTTTTTGTAGAGACAGGGTTTTGCCATGTTGCCCAGCCTGGTCTCAAACTCCTGGGCTCAAACGATTTGCCCTCCTTGACCTCCCAAAATGCTAGGATTACAGGTGTGAGCCATCGCACCTAGCCCTTTTATACTTTAATAAATTTTCAAAGTTCCTATAATGAACAAGCATATATTTTATGATCATAAAAAGATCCTCATTAAAAAGCAAATTAATAAAATCCATGTCTTCGGAAATAGCAGATCTACAGTGTTATGACAGCACAGAGAAGGCTGCCTAACTTATTTCTGAAGGGTATCAGGCAAGGAGGACCTGTAGCGTCCCTCTGAAATCAGTGGGCTCGGGAACCTCTGTCAGATTCCCTGAATTCCTTACGGTAGAATGTCTTCCTCTTTCATTCTCCCCCCAATTATTTTTTCTCTTCTCATAAACCCAATTTTTCACCTCTATTAGCAAACCCAAAGCTTTCCACAAATTGTCTCCTATTGGCTTTAAATTGTCAAATGAAGATCTATATTTTACCCAATGCTGAGCAGAAAAGAAAGATTTCCTGATAGTCATAAATGCAACCAATGGATTGCAAGTTTCATGGTGACAGTCACAGTGTCTTACCTGCCAATGTTCTCCCCAAGACTACTGACACAGTATACCTTCAAAGGCTAACAGATTTGATTTTTACTCAAAGATGAATCTTAGTTATTTATTTTCTAATAACTTTATTAAGGTATAATTTATATACTATAAAATTCTTTAATTTTAAGTATACAATTCAATGACTTTTAGTAAATTTACAGTGTTATGCAAATGTAACCATGATCAACTTGCCTCTCTGATAGTGGCATTTTATTACCAAATCAGAGTTTACTCTGCAAAATATTCACAACTCAGAGAAAGCATTTATTATTCATCTTTCTTTTTAAATTCCTCCCCCAACAGAAAGACATAAGTTGCAAAAATACCATACATTCCACCTCACTGAGAACTTTTGACCTTGTCTTTCTGAAAGAGTCCCAGTTAGCCTCCAACTTCAGGAGACCAGTGCCCTGAAGGGCTTAGGGGCACTTTGGGCCAGTCCCTTCCCAAAATATCTTCCTCTCTTTTTCCCTCTCTTAAATTATCTGTAACAGAGACATCTCCTGGCCATAGGTGATTAGGTTTCCCAGATTCAGTGCTTTTACAAAGAATGTCTCTCAAAGCTGACCTACCCCTTAATCAAGTAGTTGGGACTCACTTGAAAACAAAAAAAGAAGTTGGGAGAACTTCACTGTGAAAGTGAGAATTTTGGAAAGTAATTATGTGGATTTTGTTTTATTTTTAAGGAGTTTCTTTGTGAAAAAAGAATGATGCAAAAGTGGTAGCTGAAGAATGGAAATAAATTTGTTAATAAAGTTAATTGTTTCTCTGACGTTTTCAATGAAAAATTAAGGGTTTTAGCACTTCCTTGAAGGTCAGAGATTGCCAAGGGACAAAATGCAGTAGTCAAAAGCAGAGAGGCCCTAAAATGTGTGGTCTTTGCAAGGCCTGAGATATACTTTAAATGTTTCCCCTTTACAGAAAAATAAACTATCTAACTACTATTGGTTATCTCCATTTATATGACCTGCAAAAACCTCAAGCAATAAAACACATGCAGTAAGATGAGTTTACTCTCCTACCTCATCCCCAAAGTTATTCTTTCAGCAATATTCCCAGCCTCAGCAAATGAAGTTACCACTTGCCAGTCATCCAAATCTGAAATCTCAGATACTTTTGACTCCTCTCCTTTCCTAACCCCTCCTCCCACTAACCAATTTGATAAGGTTAGGTTCTGATAAATACACTTTTTCACAGATTTCTGAAATCCATTCCCTCTTCTTTATATCACCTGCCTCTTCCTTGGTGTAGGTACCTTCCATTTTTCCCCTAGAAAACTGGAGCATCTGTTAATTGATCTCTTGCCACCAGTCTTGCTCTATTTCAATTCTTTATCCACTGTTGATCAAGTCATCTTTCTACAGTGGAAAACTGAGCATAGAATGAACCTTGCACCAAACAATAGGTTCCCTCACACATGGCTCTCCATCACCAGGCTCCTGCTCACCTTCCTGGCTCTTGCTCATTATGGGATTATGGCTGCCCCTGCTGAGTCATACAGGTTGCCAAGGAAGTGGGGAAAAGCCTACAGTCACAGGCCTCAACCTGTTCCCATGCAGCCCGCAGTCCTAAAGGCTGGGCTTATTCCCACTGTGCCCCTTCAACAGCACTGAGTCCATGAAAAGCTCCTGACATGAAAAGCTCCAGGCACTGAACTTAGGGGGTTCTCCAAGTAACCAGGTTCAGGTTCATGTTTGCTCTCTCCTCACCCTCTCCCTCTCCCTCTTCTTCCCTTTGATCCCCTCCTCCCCTTCTTCTTCCTCCTTCTCCTCCTCACCCTTTCCCTCTCTCCCTCTTCCTGCCTCTGATTTGTCCTCCCTTCTTCTCTCTAACACTCATCTCAACTCTCCCTGATGCTTCATCCCACACTTTCTCAGTGGCCCCACTCTTGCCCTGCTGCAACCCAGGACACTCATTGTCATGTATTAAGACAATATACTCATTTCTCCACCACCCCCACCTGGTAACTGTAAGCCTGCTGAGGGCTAAGACCGTATTGCATATTTTGTTGCACCTACAGTCTAGCACACTTCCTGGAATGTAGTAGGTGTGCAATTTTTTTAAAAATAGAAGAATGAGGCCGGGCGCGGTGGCTCATGCCTGTAATGGTGGCTCACGCCTGTAATCCCAGCACTTTCGGAGGTTGAGGTGGGCCGATTACCTGAGGTCAGGAGTTCAAGACCAGCCTGGCCAACATGGTGAAACCCCCATCTCTACTAAAAATACAAAAATTAGCCAAGCATGGTGGCACACGCCTGTGATCCCAGCTACTCAAGAGGCTGAGGCAGGAGAATTGCTTGAGCCCGGGAGATGGAGGTTCCAGTGAGCCGAGATCATGCCACTGTACTCCAGCCTGGCTGACAGAGAGAGACTCTGTCTCAAAAAAATAATAAATAAATAAATAAATGAATAAGCTCCAAAAGTAACTACTCAGGTAAGTTAGGTATTTAATTTGTATCTAAGTAGTTGTCAGTATTTTTCTTTTATTTAACTGCTATTTTTTGCATTTTTTTTCCTAAGAGGCTAAATCATGTGCTAACTACCATTTTCATCATA
This sequence comes from Homo sapiens, assembly GCF_000001405.40. Taxonomy (NCBI): domain Eukaryota; kingdom Metazoa; phylum Chordata; class Mammalia; order Primates; family Hominidae; genus Homo; species Homo sapiens. Next base: position 46,815,778 of record NC_000006.12, on the reverse strand, counting down.
CTATCCATCCATCATTATCAAAACCCCACGGTCAGGACTCAGGATTAAGATGGGGGATGAGAGGCAGGATTAGCTTGCAGCTGCCTGGACAGAGCAGTGTAGGGAGACTCACATCATGAATTTTTGCTCCGAGAACTACTGCAGGAACATACCAGGAAAGCCAAGACAATCCATAGACCCTTTGAAGGAACTGGATCACAACTGCAGGTTGCCTGAGATGCTGAAAACCTGTGAGTCTGCTTGCTTTCTCAACAAGGAGGCTCGTGGTCCGGGACAAGTTCTCAACCTTGGTCACCAGACGACTGGAAATGGACTCAGTGCTGTTGAAGGGGCAAGGTGGGAATAAGCCCAGCCTTTAGGACTGCGGGCTGCATGGGAGCAGGGTGAGGCCTGTGGCTGCAGGCTTTTCCCCACTTCCTTGGCAACCTGTATGACTCAGCAGAGGCAGCCATAATCCCTCCTGGAGTATAACTCCACTGGACTGGAAACCACACCCCCATTCCCCACAACAGCCACAGCAAGCCCTGCCCAAGGAGAGGCTGAGCTCAGACATGCCTATCCCTGCTCCAACCTGGTGATCTTTCTCTACCTGCCCTGGTAGCCAAAGACAAAGGTCAGAATCTCTTGAGAGCTCTATGGCCTTGCCCACCAGCTGAGAAACCTGAATACTTAACCAGGTGTCCCTAGGGCAGGTTTGCATCCTCCCTATAGGACCGTAGCTGATGCACTCTTGAAAGTGCCACCTCCTGGCTGGAGGATTGCCAACACAAAACCAGCACACTAAACAAAAACACAACCAAGGACCTTCACAGAGTCCACTTCATTCCCATGCTACCTCCACTGGAGCAGGTGCTGGTGTCCATAGCTGCAAGACCTGAAGACAAATCACATCACCAGACTCTTTGTACTCCTCAGTACCAGCCCAGAGCCCAGTAGCTCTGCTGGGTGGCTAGATCCAGAAGAGCAAAAACAATCACTACAGTTCAGCTCTCAAGAAGCCCCATTCCTAGGGGAAGGGGGAGAACACCACATCAAGGGAGCACCCTGTGGGACAAAAAAATCTGAAAAACAGCCCTTGAATTCCAGATCTTCCCTCTGACACAGTCTACCCAAATGAGAAGGGACCAGAAAAACAATTCTGGTGATATGTCAAAACAAGATTCTTTAACACTGCCAAAAGATCATGTCAGTGCACCGCAATGGAGCCAAATGAAGACAAAATCTCTGAATTGCCAGAAAAAGAATTTTGAAGGTCAGTTATTAAGCCAATCAAGGAGGCACCAGAGAAAGGTAAAGTCCAACTTAAAGAAATCAAAAACATGATGAGAATATGAAAGGAAAAATCTTCAGTGAAATAGATAGCATAAATAAAAAACAATCACAACTTCTGGAAATCAAGGACATACTTAGAGAAATGCAAAATGCACTGGAAAGTCTCAGCAATAGAATCGAACAAGCAGAAGAAAGAATCTTAGTGCTCAAAGGCAAGGCTTTTGAATTAACCCCATCCATCAAAAACAAACAAAAAAATTTTTTAAATGAACAAAGCTTCGAAGAAGTTTGGACTATGTTAAACATCCAAACCTAAGAATAATTGGTGTACCAGAAGAAGGAGAAATCCAAATATTTGGAAAACGTATTTGAGGGAATAATTGAGGAAAACTTCCCCAGCCTTGCTAGAGATCTAGACATCCAAATATAAGAATCTCAAAGAACACCTGGGAAATGCATCTCAAAAAGATCATCGCCTAGGCACACAGTCATCAGGTTATCTCAAATCAAGACAAAGGAAAGAATCTTAAGAGCTGTGAAGCAAAAGCATCAGGTAACTCATAAAGGAAAACCTATCAGATTAACAGCAGATTTCTCAGCAGAAACCCTACAAGCTAGAAGGCATTGGGGTCCTATTTTTAACCTCCTTAAACAAAACAATTATTAGTCAAGAATTTAGTATCTGGTGAAACTAAGCTTAATAAACGAAGGAAAGATACAGTCTTTTTCAAACAAATAAATGCTGAGAGAATTTGCCACTACCAAGCCAGTACTACAAGAACTGCTAAAAGGAGCTCTAAATCTTGAAACAAATCCTCAAAATATACCAAAATAGAACTCCTTAAAGCATAAATCTTACAGAACCTATATAACAATAACACAGTGAAAAAAAACCAAGATATTCAAGCAACAAATTGCACAATGTATAGAATAGTACCTCACACCCCAATAATAACAGTGAATGTAAATGCCCTAAATTCTCCACTTAAAAAGATACAGAATAGCAGAATGAATAAGAATTCACCAACCAAGTTTCTGCTGTCTTCAGAATTGTCTATTTGTACTCTTTCAGACTTTTGATGTAGGCATTTAATGCTGTGGAACTTTCCTCTTAGCACCACTTTTGCTTTTTGCTGTATCCCAGAGGTTTTGATAGGTTGTGTCACTATTATCATTCAGTTCAAATAATTTTTATATTTCCGTCTTGATTTCATGGTTGACCCAATGATTACTCAGCAGCAGGTTATTTAATTTCCACGTATTTGCATGGTTTTGAGGCCTCACATAACACATAAGGACTCACATAAACTTAAGGTAAAGGAGTGGAAAGATATTCTAAAAATATATTTACCTAATTCTGGAGACCCTCAATTTATAAAACTGTTACTACTAGACCTAAGAAATGAGGTGGATGGCAACACAATAACAGTGGGGGACTTTAATACTCACTGACGGCACTAGACAGGTCATCAAGACAGAAAGTCAACAAAGAAACAATGGACTTTAACTATACCCTAAAACAAATGGACTTAACAGATATTTACAGAACATTCTACCCAACAATTGCAGAATATACATTATAGTTACCAGCACATGGAACATTCTCCAAGTTAGGCCATATGATAGACCACAAAACAAGTCTCAGTAAATATAAGAAAATCAAAATTATATCAAGTACACTCTCAGACCACAGTCAAACAGAATTGGAAATCACTCCAAAAAGAACCCTCAAAACCATGCAAATGCATGGAAATTAAATAACCTGCCCCTGAATGATCACTGGGTCAACAATGAAATCAAGATGGAAATTAAAAAAAAATTTTGGACTGAATGATAATAGTGACACAACCTATCAAAACCTCTGGGATATAGCAAAAGCAGTGCTAAGAGGAAAGTTCATAGAATTAAATGACACCAAAAAGTCTGAAAGAGCACAAATAGACAATCTAAGGTTACACCACACAGAATTGGAGAAACAAGAACAATCCAAATCCAAACCCAGCATAAGAAAAGAAACAACAAATATCAGAGCACAACTAAATGAAACGGAATAAAAAAATACAAAAGACAAATGAAACAAAAATCTGGTTCTTTGAAAAAATAAATAAAATTGATAGATTATTAGTGAGATTAACCAAGAAAAGAAGACAGAAGATCCCAATAAGCTCAATTAGAAACAAAATGGGAGCTATTACAACTGATACCACAGAAATATGAAAGATTATTCAAGGCTACTTTGAACACCTTTATGTGCATAAATTAGAAAACCTAGAAGAGATGGATAAATTCCTGGAAATATACAACCCTCCTAGATTAAACCAGGAATATATAGAATCTCTTAACAGACAAATAACAAGTAGTGAGATTGAAATGGCAATTCAAAAATTGCCAACAAAAAAAAGTCCAGGACCAGATGGATTCAGAGATGAATTATACAAGACATTCAAAGAAGAATTGGTACCAATCCTAGTGACACTATTCCAAAAGATAGAGAAAGAGGGAATCCTCCCTAAATCATTCTATGAAGCCAGTATCTCCTTAATACCCAAACCAGGGAAGGACATAACAAACAAAGAAAACTACAGACCAATATCCCTGATGAACACACAGGCAAAAATCCTCAATAATGTACTGATGAACTGAATCCAACAGCATATCAAAAAGATAATTCAACATGATCAAGTGGGTTTCATACCAGGGATGCAGGGATGGTTTCACATACAAAATCAATAAATGTGATACACCACATAAAGAGAATTAAAAACAAAATTCACATAATCATCTTAATAGATGGAGAAAAAGCATTTGGCAAAGTCCACCATCCCTGTATGATTAAAAACCTCAGCAAAATTGGCACAGAAAGGACATACCTTAAGGTAATAAAAGCCATCTACAACAAATCCACAGTCAACTTTATAGTGAATGATAAAAAGTTGAAAGCATTTCCCCTGAGAACTGGTACAAGACAAAGATGCCCTCTGTTACTACTTCTATTCAACATACTACTGGAAGTCCTAGCCAAAGCAATCAGACAAGAGAGAGAAATAAAGGGCATCCAAATCAGTAAACAGGAAGTCAAATTATCACTGTTTGCTGATGATATGATTGTATACCTAAAAAAACCCTAAAGACTCATCCAAAAAGCTCCTAGAACTGGTAAATAAAATCAACAAAATTTCAGGATACAAAATTAATTTACACAAATCAGTAGCTCTGCTAAACACCAACAGTGTCCAAGCTAAGAATCAAATCAAGAACTCAACCCATTTCACAATAGCTGCAAAATATAAAATAAAATACTTAGGAATATACCTAACCAAAGACTGAAAGACCACTGCAAGGAAAACTACAAAACACTGCTGAAAGAAATCATAGATGACACAAACAAATGGAAAGCTATCCCTTGCTCATGGATGAGTAGAATCCATACTGTGAAAGTGAACACAATTGCCAAAAGCAATCTACAAATTCTATACAATTCCCATCAAAATACCACCATCATTCTTCACAGACCTGGAAAAACCATCCTAAAATTCACATGGAACCAAAAAAGAACCCACATAGCCAACACAAGACTAAGTAAAAAGAACAAATCTGGAGTCATCACGTTACCCAACTTCAAACTATACTGTAAGGCCATAGTCACCAAAAACAGGAAAGTACTGGTATAAAAATAGATACATAGACCAATGGAACAGAATAGAGAACCCAGAAATAAACTCAAATACTTACAGCCAACTGATCTTCAACAAAACAAACAAAAACATAAAGTGGGGAAATGACATCCTATTCAATAAACGGTGCTGGGATAATTGGCAAGCCACATGTAGAAGAATGAAACTAGAGCCTCTTCTCTCACCCTATACAGAAATCAACTCAAGATGGATCAAAGACTTAAATCTAAGACCTGAACCCATAAAGATTCTAGAAGGTAAAATCAGAAAAACCCTTCTAGACATTGGCGTAGGCAAAGACTTCATGACAAGAAGCTAAAAGCAAATGCAACAAAAACAAAGATAAATCAGTGGGACTTAATTAAACTCAAAAGCTTCTGCATGGCAAAAGAAATAATCAGCAGAGTTAACAGACAACCCACAGAGTGGGAGAAAATTTTCACAATGTATACATCCAACAAAGGACGAATATCTGGAATCTACAAATAACCCAAACAAATTAGCAAGAAAAAAACAAACAATCCCATCAAAAATTGGGCTAAGAATGTGAATAGACAATTCTCAAAAGAAGATACAGAAATGGCCAACAGGCATATGAAAACATGTTCAACATTACTAATTATCAGGGAAACACAAATCAAAACTATAATGTGATACGACCTTACTCTTGCAGAAATGGCCATAATTAAAAAATTTTTAAAAATTATATATATTGGTGTGGATGCAGTGAAAAGGGAACACTTTTACACTGTGGGTGGGAATGTAAACTAGTACAGTGACTATGGAAAACAGTGTGGAGGTTCCTTAAAGAACTAAAAGTAGAACTACCATTTGATCCAGCAATCCCACTACTAGGTATCTACCCACAGGAAAAGAAGTCATTATACGAAAAAGATACTTGCACATGGATGTTTATAGCAGCACAATTTGCAACTGAAAAAATATGGAACCAGCCCAAATGCCCATCAATCAACAAGGTGATAAAGAAAAAAAAATATATGTAAAATATATATATATATACACACACACACACCATGTATTACTACTCAGCCATAAAAAGGAACAAAATAATGGCATTCACAGCAACCTGGATGGAGTTGGAGACCATTATTCTAAGTGAAGTAACTCAGGAATGGAAAAAACAAACATTGTATGTTCTCACTCATATGTGGGAGCTAAGTTATGAGGACGCAAAGACAAAAGAATGATACATTGGACTTTGGGGACTCGGGGAAAGAATACTTCTTACGAACCAAAGTATGCATGATTTTCACTCCGTAAAATTTCATACCAACCCATCAAACTGTTGAAATATGATATATGAGCTCTCTCCTTCATAGGGCTTGAAATCCACACAGGACTTGAGACGGAACATCTCAAAGGCATACAGAATGGCTCCTTTAGCATTCAGCCCTGCAGAAATCAGTAAAAATATCAATGAGCATTATTTGGACCTTAGATAATATCTATAACTTATAGTTTAGAGAAAACCATGCTGCCACATTAAATCCACAGAGGTGCATGATAGGGTTTTTGGTAATAAATAGATTTCCTGGTAACTAAAACTGCAAAATTGGTTGTGGACATCTGCAAAATTAGTTGTGGGCATAAACATTAAGTGCATACCTTAAATGCACAATGCAAATATGTCTACAAAATAAGAATATACACATGTGTATATGGCTAAATAAAATAATAAAATAACTTCCACACTTTCTCCCTTTGCCTTTCCCCCACTGAAGCAGAGATTTAGAGTGCATTGCCTCAGGAGAGTCACATGGCAGAACAGAAAACAGAAGTGGCTTGTGAGTAGCTCTGGCTTTAGTTGACATAGATAAAGTACCTTAGAGTGAGGCAGTGAGAATAGTGTTCCTTACCCCAATCTAAAAAGACATTCTCTCTTTCTGGAGGAGGAAAGCAGAACTTAGAGAGGTTTGTGGGTTCTGAAAGCATAAGAAGCACATACGGTATTTTACCCTGCTTCCCAGCCAGATGCCTGGGAGATGGCAAGACTAGACAGCTAGTACTGCACAGAGCCTTAGAAGAGATTTCTGTATCCCGAGCTCAGCACCCAAGCAGCAGAAGCCTAATGGACTTGAAGGGGCAGGAAAAATAGATACTGACTAGTAACCTGTGGGGACCAATGACCAAAGATCAAATGCCTTTCCTTTCACCTAGCATGCATGCACTTTGGCATTGTAAGACAAAGATGGGGTAGAAAAGAAAGATACTCCAGAGAAACTGAGATTATGTTTTACTTTGTGTGCATTTTACCCTCCCATCAACTCATTGAAGGTTAGAATCTAAGTTAAAAATTAAGCCAAGTTATATAAAATAAAATTACATTTCTTGCACATTTGATTTAGTGCTTTCTCTCAAAGAGTTTATATCTATTGGCCAGGAAATTACATCACATTTTCTGGCCTTTATTTCATTTAATAAACTATCAAGTTGGAGACTCCACAGCCTAAATGTCATATAATGTCATATCAAGATCATTAAAGAAATAGTCATGGGAATAGTCAATAAACTAATTGTGGAAACTACACAGATAACAATAACAAGAGCATTCATTACATCTGCTGGGAGATTTTCATGTACTTTTACCTATTCTTACTTAGTTACATCTGTAATATGAAGAGATGTACCCAAGGTAGCTGTGGTGTCACAAAAATGTGAGAAAAAAAAAGTGATTATACTGAAAGCAAGCTTCCTAGAAGGCTATTTCGCTTTTGTTATTCTCAATCCAAATGGTGGGATTTCTGAGAGTGATTAATTTTAAAATTATACCTTTTCTTCCTTCTCCATACCTAAATAAGCTGTAAAGAGGGAACTAAGCAACTCTGTAATAATTTTGTAAAAACTACCTCAACATTATTGGGATAAATGGAAACAGAGCCCATTTGAAGTCTTTCTCTTCTCCATGAAGGCAACCCTGAGTGCTCCTCCTCTGAATGCAGGAGCCACATTTGACTGATTTATTTCCTTTCTTCCTTTCTTTCTTTCTTTCTTTCTTTCTTTCTTTCTTTCTTTCTTTCTTTCTTTCTTTCTTTCTTTCTTTCCTTTCTCCCTTCCTTCCTTCCTTTCCTTCCCTCCTTCTTCTGTTTTCCTCTTCTTCTTCTTGTTTTTTCCTTCTCCTCCTCCTCCTCCTTCTCCTCCTCCTCCTTCTTCTCTTCCTCCTCCTCTCCTTTCTCCCTTTCCTTCCTTCTTTCCTTCCTTCCTTCCTTCCTTCCTTCCTTCCTTCCTTCCTTCCTTCCTTCCTTCCTTTCTTTCTTTCTTTCTTTCTTTCTTTCTTTCTTTCTTTCTTTCTTTCTTTCTTTATTTCAGATGGGGGTCTCACTTTGTTGCTCAGGCTCGACTTGAACTCCTAGGCTCAAGTGATCTTCCTGCCTCGGCTTCCCAAAGTGCTGAGATTATAGGTGGCCAAGGCTTGAGTTGTCTTTATGTAGGTGGTTTGCTACACTTAAGATACTGTTAGCTCCTTGAGAGAAAGGGATATACTTTTTGTCTCATTGTAACTCTTGTTCCTAGCCAACTGCCCTGACATAGTAAGTTGTACATAGTTCTGTGTCAAACAAGTTAGTTTTGAAAACCACTAGCATTCCTTTAACCTTGGATCAAATAATATAAGAAGAGTTAACTTTATTTGTTCTTTTTTTTTCTTTTGAGAAGAGTTAATTTTAGATACCAATGGCTGTACGTATTAGAAGATAAGCATAAGAAGGCTACCTAGATTCAGTTTAGGAATTCCTTTGAGAGAATTTCTGGTGCTCAAAATTGTCAAGGAGCTTGAATCTAATTAATCCTCCCACAGATAACAGTTGTAAACTTGAAAAAATAAGAAAATAAACTCTTTAAATATGCTGGAAAATGGCTAAAACAGGCAGAAACTGGAGGACTTTTTCTTAAAAGAAGGAAAATTTCATTGGGTAAGATTCACATTTATACAGCTTTTTGCATGAGGGCACGCTCTAATTTCTTCAATGCAAGAAAGAGAACTCAAGTATAAATCTACAGTTGCATTTTCTTAACATACCACAAGGACAAGTTTGGGGCTGAGTTTTAACCCGAGTGGCTGAAAATCAAGGGAGAAAGTCCTAGAAAGGAAAGTCATGGTAGATGAAGAGGAGATTCATCCCAAAGTCTGTATATAAGTGCCCCTTCAATCCTTGTCTGACTCATGAACTTTGCATAAATGGGAGAAGGCTCCAAGCCCCTCAGTAGGTAGTAGCCATTGGAAGGCTGAGCAACCTGAACAGATACATCAGTTGCTGCCCACTGCAGTGGAGGAAGAATTTGGAGTTTGAGTCATGCAAATTTACAGGGGTTGGGGAAACTCGGGCATTCCATTGAAATCCCAGAAGGACCATGACTTAACAGTAAAGACTATATTCCAGAACTAAGAGATTTGCCTTGAACTAAGGGCAAGACCACAAAATCCTCCACAAATTCCAGATGATCATGCAGTAATTTAACTGCTCTAACAAAAATTAACACAATTCAGAGGAGAATGAAAACACGCATAATCACTACAATGTAACACAATGTCTAATATATAATCAAAAATTATGAGACCTGTGAAGGAACAGGAAATTGTTATTGATAGATATTAGTAAAAGCAATAACTAGAAAGAGAAACAGACCCCAAGGTGACTAAAATGTTAGACTTAACAGACAAACACTTTAAATCTCTATTGTATACTTGTTACATAATTTAATGGAATAAAGATGAACATACAAATAATCTCAGCAGACAAATGGGAATTATATAAAAGAACCCAATGAAAATTCTATCAGTATTATATCAAAAATAAAAAATTCACTGGATAATTTTAAAAGCTGACTGGCGATGGTAAAAGAGACAGAGAGAAAAATGTTCAGAAAAATGAATAGCGCTTTAGTGACCAATGGGAAAAAAATCACCCAGTCTAAGATATGTGCAGTTAGAGTCTCTGATGGACAGGAGAAACACAGAAAAATATTTGAGCAAATAATGGCCTAACGTTTTTCAGATTTGGTTATTTAAAAATCACCTTAAAGACAGAAGAAACTTGGTGAGCCCAAACAGGATAGATAAAAAGAAAATCAGCATAAGCATACCATAATCAAGCTGTTATAAAAACAAAAATAAAAAGAACGTATTGAAAACAACTAGAGAAAAAAGACATTACATACAGGAGAACAATAATATGAAAGTTTGAAAGATGGATGATTTATTATCAGACACTGGAGACAAGAAACAGTGTATCTGGAGCAAAATATTTGCAAAATATATATCTGATAAAAGACATATCCAAAATATATAAAGAACACTTAGAACTCAATACTAAATAACAACTCAATTTTTAAAATGGGTTAACAGAGCAGATATTTTATAAGGGAAGATATACAAATGACCAATGAGTAACTTTAAAGGAGGTCAACATTACTAGTCATAATGGAAATATAAATCAATAAATTAATAAAATAGCACTAGATGCCCAACAGAATGGCTAAAACTTTAAAAATTGACAACACCAAATGTTAGCAAAGGCATGGAGTAAACGAAACTCACGTACATTGTTTGTGGTTGTATAAAATGGTACCAGCACATTGAAAGAGGTCTAACACTAAACCTACACCTATACTATAACCCAGCAATTTTATTCTTATTTACACCAGAGATATGAGAATATATTTCATAAAAGAATATGTGCAAGGCTACTCATAGTAGCTTTATTCATAACAGCCAAAACATAGCATCAATCGAAGAGAATGATTAAACAAGCTGTGATATACTAAATTCAATGAAATGACAGTAACAAAAAAAGAACAAATTGCTTATAAACGCAGCAACATTGATGCATCCCAAGAACATTTTACTGAGTAAAACAAAGCCTTACTCAAAAGAGTATATAACATATGATTCCATTTATATGAAATTCTAGAAGAGGTTAAATTCACCTATGAAGAAAAAAGAAAAAATAGAATAGCACCTTCTTTTTCTGGAAAAGTGAGAATAACTTGGAAGGGCCATAACAGAACTCTCTGGAAGGATAACAGTGTTCCATCTCTTCATAGGAAGTTAGGTTTCAGAGGTACATACATTATAAACATGTTCCATCTCTTGATAGGAATTTGGATTACATAGGTGCATAGATCTTTAAGAACTCATTGAATTGTACATCTGAGACTCATGCATTTTACCCTATATATATTTTATGTAAAAGGGAACTATATACAAATATTGACCTGTAGTTAATTACATGCATACTTAGGTGACTGGGGTAAAGTGTACTAGTGCCCGAAAGCGACTTTGAAATGCATCAAAAATACAATGGATTGATAGATTCATAGAGGGATATTGGGATGGATAGACGAAATAAAGCAAATAAAACTGTTAATTGTAATTTAGGTTATGAGTATGTGAATGTTCGCTGCATAATGCTTTTAACTTTTTGATTATTTAAAAGTTTTTATAATCAAATGTTGGAAAACAAAAAGACAATGTATTACAACTTAAAAATGTTAAAATAATAATTTTTAACACTACTATAAACCGAAATTCTATTTCCAGTTAAAATATCCTCAAAATTTAGGCAAAATAAAGATCATTTTCAGGTAAAAGAAAAACCAGAATTTGTCATCAACAAATCTGCTTTATAAGAAGTGCTAAAGGAAGTTCTTCAGACTGAAGAGAAATGATACTAGAGAAGAACTCAGATTTACAGGAGGAATGAGGAGCACCAGAAATTTCAAGTGTAAAAGTAAATACGAAGACTCTTGTTTTTCATCAATTACTTTAAAAGATAACTGTTTAAATAAAAAATTCTAACACTATAGTGCGAGACTTATGAAGCATGTAGATGGAAAATATAAACCAATAAAGTACAAAGGGCAGGGGTATAAATGGAATTATACTATTGTAAAATGCTTGCATAATATTAACGCTAAGGACAATATTTTTAAAAATGTAAACATACTTTTATCCCATCCATGGATGAAAATATTCACAAGATAAATTATGAAGTATCTATTAATAAACTAAATTTTAATAAGCATACACCATATCAAAATTTGAAGAAGGCAGTAAAGCAGTGCTTCAGATAAAATTTATAGCTTTAGTAGCCATGTTGTAGAATATATTACATTAGAAAAAATGAAGGTTTAAAATAAGTGATATGAATTTTCATCTTAAGAATGTCAAAAAAGAAGAGTAAACTAAACCTGAAATAAGTAGGAGAAAGGAAATAATAAAGGTAACAGAAAGCAACTAAATATAAAGCAGAGAAGCAAGAGAAAATTAACAAATCAAAAGTCAATTCTGTAAAAATATTAATAAAATCAATAAGTCCCTGGCAGGACATGTCAAGAAAAAAAGAGGGAAAACACAAATTGCCAATATCAAAAGTGAAATAGGACTATCACTAAAGATTCTACAGACATTATAAAGATAATGAGATATTATGCCACTATTTTGACAACTTAGTTGAAATAGTTGTTGAATTTTGTCAAATGCTTTTTCTGCATCTATTAAGATAATCTTAATTTTTTATTACTGAAAAATACAATTTAATAAAAGCAGCATAATAGAAAATAAGAATAATTCTATAATTATTAAATGAATCGAATTCATTATAAAAATACTATCCCACAAAGAAAATTCCATTACTTGGTTATTTTATTTTATCGGTGAATTTTACCAACAAACAAATTTATTATTTATTTTATTGGTGATTTTTACCAACATTTAAGAAAGAAAAAATTTTGATCATACACAAACTTATTCAAAAGATAAAAGAAGAGGAAAAATTTTCAAGATGGTTTTGAGAGCTACATAACTTTATTACTAAAGCCTAATAAAGATATTACAAAAAGGTAAATTAGAAACTTATACTATTTATGAATATAAACACAAAAATGTATAACAAAATATTAGGAATCCAGCAAAATATGAAAAGGATAATACATCATAACCAAGTAGGGCTCATCTGAGAAATGCAAAGTTGATTTAGCATTCAAATTTGATGTTATTACCATATTACACAATAAGGAATAAAAATTATACTTAATTGTTGCAGGAAAAGCATTTGATACACTGTAACAACTATTCATGATGAAAACATACCATCTGACAAAGGGCATCTGTGGAAAACCTACAGTGTCCCACATGAATGAAGTATTGAATACTACCACTAAACAAGCCAATGAGGCAAAGATGTCCACTCTTACCACTTCTATTCAACATGGTAATGAAGGTCCTAGCCAGAACAATAAGACAAGAAAAAGCAATATATGGTGTAAAAATTGGAAAGGAACCAGTAACACTGTCTATATTAAAAGGCAAGAAGAATTTTTACTAAAAGTCCTAAAAAAATCTACAAATCAACAATTAAAATTAATGAGTAAATTTAGCAAGGTAACAGAATACAAAATCAATATATAAAAATCCATTGTATTTTTATATATTAGCAGAAAACATTATGTAGTAAAATTTTTTAAATTTCATTTTAATAGCATCAAAAATATAAAATGCTTAGAAATGAATTTACCAAAGACACACAAGGTCTCTACACTGAAATTTATAAAACACGGATTAGATAAATTAAAGAAGACTGAAATAAATGGACTGATGTACCATGTTTATGGATTATAGGACTCAATATTTTTAAGAAATTAGTTTTCTACAAATTTATGTACAGAATCAACACATTCCTATCAAAATCCCAGCAGGCTTTTTAGAGAAATTGATTGTAAAATATACATGAAAATGCAAAAGGTCTGGAGTAGGCTAAACAGTCTTGAAATTGGAGAGCAAAGCTGGAACACTCAATTCAAGGTTAACTGTGAAGCTAGAGTAATCAACATAGTGATTTTTGACATGATGATAAACAAGTAGAATAAGATAGGAAAACAGAGATACCAGATCAAGAAATGAGGAGTCTTGGCAAACTTGGCAAACGAGACTCTTGCGAAGAGTACTTAATGAGGAAAGCAAAATTTTATAGCAAATGTTGCTGGAACAACTGGGCTAATAAATACCAACCAATCAGTCTCAATCTCTTCATCCTGTTGTACACAAAATTAGTTTGCAATCAATTATAGACAAAAATTGAAACCATACAACTTCAAAAAATATTGGAATATATCTTTGTGACTTGGTTTAAGCACATATTTCTTAGAATATAAAAACACAAACCATAAGTTAAAAAATTGATAAATCACACTTTATCAGCATTTAAAGCTTTTGCATTTCAAAATTCACTGCTTGAAAAACAAAAACAAATAGGTAAGTAACAGACTAACAGAAAATATTTATAATACATATATCTGAAAAAGGGCTTTAGCCATAATATATAAAATCCTACAAATAATAAAAAGACAAACAATATAATTTTTAAAACTCATGAAGGAGTTGGACAGACCCTCGTAAAAGAAGATACAAAAATAGCCAGTAGCATACTAAAATGTGCTAAATATCACTAATCATTAGGGAAATGCAAATTAAAATCGTAGGGAGATACCATTTTACAACTACTAAAATGGCTATAACTACAAAGATTAATGCTATCAATATTAGCGAGGATGTGGAGCAAATGAAACACTCATATATTTTCAGGAGGAGTGTACAATGGCACAGCCACTTTGGAAAACTGTTTGGCGTTTTCTTACATAGTTATCCATATGACCAAGCAATTATATTCCTAGGCATTTACCAAAGATAAATAAAAAATGTATTCACATAAACTTGTATAAGAATTATCATAACAGTTTTCTTCATACTAGCCCCAACAGAAAAATGGACAGTAATTTACAGTATAGTATTACAAAGAAATATTACTGAGTAGTTTAAAAAAAGAATTTACTGTTGATCTACAACAATATGGAAGAACTTAAAAAACATAAGTCAAAGAAGCCAGACACATAGTATTTATAAAACAAATACTATGGTATATGAGTTCATTTATCTGTAAATCAGTTGTAAATCAGGCAAAACTAATACATAGGGGAAAATCAGAATGGTGGTTGTCTCTTAAGGAGTGGGGATGGGAACTGCCTAGAAAGGAACTTTATGGAATGATGGAAGTGTGCATTATATAGGTATATGTGTTTGTCAAAAGCCTTATATACTGATTTGTGTATTTCACTCTATGTAAATTTAACTTGAATAAAACAATTCTATACAAATATTCAACTCTAGTTAGAAAGTTTGCTTTCACAGTGGTCTGGGTCTGGGCATCTGAACTTTAACACTAAAGGTGACCTTCACGTGGTATTGCTTGAGAAATACTGCTGTATCCTTAATACCTTTATCTTATGTCAGTTCACTTGTCTCAAATCACTCTCAAATATAATTTCTTACCTATCTTGCAACTAGAGAGACCTTACTACTTAAGCTGTGGTCTGCGTGGGGACCAATAGCATCAGCATCACTAGAGGACCGTTGGACATGCAACATCTCACACACCAACGCTGACCTACTCTGTAGGTTAACAGGATCCTCATCTGAGTCCTATGCACATTAAAGTCTGAGAAGCACTACCTTACACCTTACAGAGGCATGGTAAAGGTTACATAAAATATCAGATGAAGGCACAGAGCCTGGCACATAATAGGGTGGTGCAGATGTGACAACCAGGATAAAACAAATTGTAATGGGAAAGAACCCCTTTTAAAGTTGGTGTTTCTTAAATCATGTTCCATTAAGTATTGATGTTCCGTGAATTTGCAAGGCAAACACTGGAGAAAACAACTCAATTTTCCAACTAATAGCTGTGAACAATAACATTTGTTTATATCTAGCTGTTCTCCATAAACAGGGATTCGAGGCAGCACTGATAAAGAGGATGGAAAATACTGAAACATAATCTACATCTCCTGAGAGTAGGAGCAGCCTAGCAGCCCAACAAGACTAAGCAACCCTGTCCTGGCTTCCCTTCTTCACTCTAATCTTGTTCATCTGTCTAAGCAGGAGGGGCCTTGCAGACATTGAGTCATCATGGCTGCTCAGCTGTCAGTCAACTGCTTGAGGGTCAGCCAGTGCCTACATGTGGCTTCTAATATTTACTTATTTCTACCAGTTGCTAGTTCTATATGCAACCTTAGCTAAAAGGCAGGGAAGTCATTCTACTAGTCATTATTTCTAACAATGAGTAAAATGTAACATATTCAGATCTTTTTCTTAAGAGAGAGAAAAGAGTAGACATTAATAACACCAAGAAAAAAGGATTGTGAACATGTGAAATATGGACTTTCCTATTTCTCAAAGTGTGGCATGTTTCTCTTGTAAGAAAAAGAGAAGAAATCAATATGCTGAAAATAGTATCCTCACACTACATTTAGATTCACCTAAACAAAGTGCAAACTTTTCCTTGTTCTGATGCAAATTATATTTCATTAGGTTTTGCTCTTTTATGTTCTCCTGGTTATACTAATACTTTAATGTGTGTTGCATTTTAAAAGTTATTCTTGGATTCTGTGTATCTCAGACTGGTTAAGCAGCAATGCTTTTGATGTAATGTTATGTCTTTCTCCCCATTAGATAAAGATGCATCAGGACTTGAAAACTCTCTTAGATCGTGGTGGTTACTCCCAATGTGAAGCCCATGGACAGGCTGAGAGGAGAGAGAGAGTTAAACTGAAACTTCCTAATTAAGAACAATTAATATTACCCAAATTATCAGCCAAGATGTAAGGAATGGGGAACGTCCACCTGGTGTTTGGGTCTCTCAGGCCATTTCTGGATTTCTGTGAAAACAAAGGTAAAGGTGAGTGGGAAGCCTAGTCCTCAAGGTCACCTTGACCTCCTCCTTCACTAAACTCTCACAGAGCAAACAGTCTATCACACAACTCAAACAGTTTAGTGGCAATTTGTCTTTTGATTATGAAAGCAATAGAAGTCCTTGAGAGATAATTTGGAAAAATCAGAGAAATTATTAAGAACAAAATAAAGGGGGCCTGCAATCCCAAGAAAACTGGATAGATAAGCCATTTAATCATTTTAGACCCTTTTGTGCTGTTTACTTATTTTCCCTCTGTTTTTGTCCTTAGGAACTACAGTGGAACTCCTCACTGGAACAGATTATAGATGAGATTTCTCTCATCTCCTTCACAGTGCCCATCCCAGGGCTGGCCGCAGAGCAGAGACTCACACCCAGTGGTACTGCCTGTCCTGAGAAACTTATTGCATCATTGACAGGTACTCACCTGCAAGAGGATGTCCCCTTGAAAGAGGTCCAAGCCTGCAGCTGGAAGTGGAATTTTTTTTAAAAAAAGAATATTTGAGTGAACATTATTAAAAGGCATCTTTCGTAATAAAATTAGTATTTGCCATTATAAATCTTTGAATATTAATCTTTATGTGGCAAAACTTTTTGAAACAATGCAAAAATTCCAGTTAAGCAAATGTGAATGGCCGATGAGTATCACATATTGTCATAGCCTCTGTTTTCAATTTTGGGACAAGAAATCTTGTCTAAGAATCTTAGAAGTAAGACATAAGTTAGAAGGGATTTTACTGATCACTGATTATAAAAAAGGGATTCGATGCAGCACTGATAAGGAGGATGAAAACTATTTAGAAAATGGCTGGGCGTTGTGGCTCATGCCTGTAATCCCAGCACTTTGGGAGGCCAAGGTGGATGAATCACCTGGGGTCAGGAGTTCAAGACCAGCCTGGCCAACATGGTAAAACCCTGTCTCTACTAAAAGTACAAAAATTAGCTGGGCATGGTGGCGTGCACCTGTAGTCCCAGGTACTCGGGAGGCTGAGGCAGGAGAATTGCTTGAACCCAGGACGCAGAGGTTACAGTGAGCCAAGATCATGCCACTGCACTCCAGCCTGGGTGACAGAGCCAGACTCTGTCTCACAAAAAAAGAAAGAGGAAGAAAAAAGGAAGGAAGGAAGGAAGGAAGGAAGGAAAGAAGGAAGGAAGGAAGGAAGGAAGGAAGGAAGGAAGGAAGGAAGGAAGGAAGGAAGGAAAGGTAGAAAGTAAGAAAGAAAGAAAGAGAGAGAGAAAGAAAGAAAGAAAGAAAGAAAGAAAGAAAGAAAGAAAGAAAGAGAAAGAAAGAAAGAAAGAAAAAGAAAGAAAGACTATTGAGAGAAATGGAGAAAGAAATAGAGTCCAGAGACATGAAGTGATGTACTATGTAATCAAGTGGCCAAGTGAGCATCAAAACTCCTGCCTTTCCATCCAGGGCTCTTTCTACCAGTGTACCATTCTGCCTCTTGTCCCAAAGTAAATGAGTGTGTTTTGCTCTTTCCCATGAAAAAACGATGATACCCTCCAAAACCAAGCTCAAGGTGCTGCCCACATCATGAGGAAGACCAGGGGAATATGGATAGATCCATTCTAAACCGTATCTCCAAACATCTGTTCTCAGGTGCTTAGCAGAATATACTCTCCTACTGCTGTTATTGCTTAATCCTTGCCTCATCCTGTTTCAGTAAGCAAGACTCTTAAAAGGGAAGATCTTTGTAGGAAAATTTCTCAAGCATTAAAAGAGCATCACTTATCATAACTCTCATGTGACATGAAACATTTTCTGTAAAATGCAACAACTTCAGACAGAATCACTGGATTGTACTTCATTCTGAGGACAGCCCTGATTTACAGGCTGGGAAGCCAAGGCAGAGATTAATTACCACAGTCTCACGAGCCAACAGAGACCTCATTTGGCAAAGCCTGTGGCTCATTCAGGAACCAGCTCCGTTTATGCATAGGACACCAAGGAGGTGTTAGGTATTAGCAGGCATCATGATTTCACTTGCCAGTGACTAACTAGGGCTATCCCTGTATCATTCCCTTCCTCATGCACACATTTCCTAGATTGCTTAACCTCTTTAACCCTGACCTATTCTTATGGTAGCAGTACGATTAACCACAAACAGTAATGACATCACTGTCCCACTGTCAGTAGGACCCAGATTTGAATCATCTTTTAAACAGAGGGACTTTGTTCTGGTCCATCTATTCTTACATTGAGGTTTGTCCTGAGCAAAAATCTGTATTTCCTGACACCTGGCCTGGATTATAATGGGATTGAGGGAGCTCTTTCAGAGTGAAGTGAACAAGCCCACTCAGACTTTGGCCCCAGTGGTCAGTCAGAATGGATGGAGTCATGGGGGGCAGGGAGAACCTCCCAAAGAAGTGTACATCCAGTGAGAGCAAGCCTCAATCTATTCATTACCCAATTTGTTCATGTAGTATACACTTATTAAATGCCTAATGTGTCTTAAGCATTTTTCTAGATGCTGGGATACAGTAGAGAATAAAACAAGTCCTTAAGGAGATGACTCTCTTGATTGGGGGAAGAAGGAGACATACAAATAAACAAATAACTGTAAAGTGTGACAAATGGTGAAAAGTACAATAAAAAAGAAACAAATGAAAGGTAAAGTGGGAAAGAGTGCTGAGGTGAGATAGGTTTGCTATTTTATTAAAGAGTGGTCAGGCAGGGCCTCCCACAGGAGGTGGCATTTTAGCAGAAATATGATAGAGTGAGGGAATGAAGGAAGAGTAGGGGAGGTAGAGGCAACACCAGATAGAAAGGTCCTGTGACAGGAAAGCCTTGATGTCTTAGGGCAGTGGTCCTAAACTTGAGCATCAGAGTCCCTTGGAAGGCTTGGTCAACACCCGTTGATGAGCCCCCACCGTTGGATTTCTGGTCCATTAAGTCTGGGGTGAGGCCTGAGAATGTTCATTCCTAACAAGTTTCCTGGTGATGCCGATGCTGCTGGCTTGGGGACAACACATCGAAAATCACTTCCTTAGAGGAGTAGCTGTGCAGTCAGGGTGGCTGGAAAGCTCAAGTAGGAAGGGGAAGAGTAGTCAGGGGCAGATTGACTCACACTCTGATGTGCATAGAAACCACTTGGGTCTGTCAAAATGAAGATGCTAATTCTGTAGGTCTGGGGTGGATCCTCAAATGCTGCATTTCTAAGAGAAAGCTCTTGAGTGACACAGATCACTTTGGCCTGTGGACCACACTTTGGGAATCAAGGCTCTAGGGCCTTTACTTTATGTTGAAGGAGAAGTCATTAGATGGTTGGAGCAGAGAAATGACATGATCTGAAGGATATTAAAAGGAGAGCTCTATGTTGTGCAGAATAGTCTTTAGGGAGCAAAGGCAGAAAGGGAAGCACAGTTATGAGGCCTGTCAAAGGACCAGCCCAGACATGAGGTGGCTGACCAAGGTAGGGGCAGTAAAAGTGCTGAAAAGTCTCAACTGTAGTATGATTTGAAAGTAGATCTAGGCCAGGCGTGGTGGCTCATGCCTGTAATCTCAGCACTTTGGGAGGCTAAGGTGGGCGGATCACAAGGTCTTGAGTTCAAGACCAGCCTAGCCAACATAGAGAAACCCCATCTCTACTAAAAATAGAAAAACTAGCCTGGCATGGTGGTGGGCACCTATAATCCCAGCTACTCGGGAGGCTGAGGCAGGAGACTCGCTTGAACCCAGGAGGCGGAGGTTGCAGTGAGCCGAGATGGCACCACTGCACTCGAGCCTGGGTGACATAGCAACACTCCATCTCAGGAGAAAAGAAAAGAAAAGAGAAAAAAGAAAAGTAGATCGAGTAGATCGAATAACATTTGCTGACAGATTGTGTGTCAGGTGTGAGAGAAAAGCAAGAGTTAGGGGCAACTCTAACATTCTGAGCCGAAAATCTAGAAGGAGTGAGTCACATTTACTGAAATGAAAAGGACTGAGAGGAGCAGGTCTTGGGATGGAGGATAAGAAACGTTTACTCAGCCTTGTGAGGCAAAAAGAAGATGGTAAAAAGGTGGCAATTTTCTCTATATGATTTTCCCAATTTATGGTGTTAGAATCTGGCCATATGGCTAACCCAATCAATCCTGGTGGTTTGGTTGAAATGGCCTAAAAAGAAGATTTACATGGTAATGAGATTTCTCCACTGGGGTCAAGGATCAGAGGTGGTGGTGGGCCTAAAGAGTACAAAATGGCAAAGAGGTAAATAATTAATTTTTATTAGATAAATAATGATGAGATTAGAAAAACTCTAATTCTAATCCCATTTCTGTTGTAAAATACAGCAGATTCTCTGAACTGTTTACACAATGGCTAACTCTAAAGAGAGATATTTTAGTGCCTGGCTCTGAAGTCTTGGGACCCATTTATGCATTCACCCATTTACCTTCCTAAACTATTTCTGCTCTGCCTATGCAGCCATTCTCCAGCTATTCCAATTAAATATCAACTAACTGGCTTCTCTGTGAGTGAGACAAAGCCAGAAAAATTGACCCTTAGTTATTGGTATGTTAGTTTTGTAGCCTTCAGATAGCACTGAGCTATTAAGGTATGGGCTACAAGATCTGGAAGTAAGCCCCATCACTGCTACCTATGATCTTGAGCAAGTCACTCTACCCATGAGAAGCCACCTGTCGCTTCCCAAAAAAATGAAAACAGCACTTACTCCACGACAAGACTGGACAAATAAATATGCAATTGCATATAAAAGCTTTTGTAAACTGAAGGTACTTATTATCATGAATAGCTCTGCTTCCACAAATCCTGACCTAAGACACTGGGAATGCAGAGGCTTCTCTCTCATTTCAGAAGCAGGACAACAGAGAGAAAACAGAGATGATGACTCAGCTTCTCTCTCCTCTCAGTAATGGATGAGACTGATGAATTTCTTCAAGAAATATATTTGTAAATGAGATGTCTAAGTGGAGATTGCTTTACACTCACCCCTAAGTCTCAACCGAGGAGTTGTTAGTGAATATGATGGGCCAGTGGAGGGGTTGGGTTTTGTTTCCCCACTAAATATAACCAGAGGCTTATTCTTATATTTTTCTTTAACAATCGGAATAATTATCTATTTGCTTTCCTTTTCCTCCAAATACAAATTGGAAAAATAAAATTTTTATAAAGAGAAACTTGTTACATATTTCTAGATCCATTGAGGACTTCCTAGCTCTCCTAGAAAGTCTGGTCTAACTATCTTCTCTTTCCGCATTTTTATCTTTCAGAAAATGCAATTTCTCACAAAGCACCAAAAAATATTTCTCCCCCAGAGAATCACAATACAGTATTAGGAAGGAAAGTGTTCAGTAATCCCACCACTGGGTTTCAAGTAATTTCAAGACTTTAATAACACAAAAATTGAACTCACCTAAATTGATTTCTGAAATATCCTTCTGTTCACCAAAATCTGCATCATGTACTGTTAAAAGTGAGAAAAAAAATTATTATTAGTCTTGCCGAAGGAAAAAAGTTCAAAAACACTCTCTGTGCATTTGAACTAATTCTTACCATTTTCTTCAGGAAGATACTTAATCTGAAAAAAATAAATATACAGAAAATGGATAATGTATACTAGAATTAATATTTCTAAATATCCAAAAAGCAGGACTCGACTTACCGGTACAGCTGCTATGTGGGCAAAAAGCAAGGTAAAAAAGAGAATGCAAGTGGATCTAATCCAAGCCATTGCTGCAAGTGAGCTGATTTTAGCACACACCTTGTCATAAATACCGTTTAGACTTTACCCTGACGGTCGTATTAGAAACTTTGACCCTTCCATATGTACCGTAGTGCCAATAAAGGTTGTCAAAGATAACATCATTGACTCTTTCGAGGACAAACACTAAGTTTACCTTAAATGCTTAAGCTCCAAAGACTGGGGAAAAGTTTGAAAAATTAATACGGAAATGAGCATATAAGAACTAATAACATTCCTATAGGGCAGCCATAGCCATTCATATCATAAAACAGGATAGACGATCCCCTTAACAATAAAAATAAAAATAATTTATAAAATTATTATTATTTAATTCTAATAAAATATAAATTCAAATTTTATGGAAATGTTATAAAGCAATTATTGAAGGACATAAAAATACCTGACTCTCTCTCTATATGTACATATGTATGAAATATTAATAGATTGTTTTAATATTAATCTATAAATTCATTGTCATTCTAGTAAAAAATCTAACAGGGTTTTCAGTGGAACTTGCCAAGCTGACAAATGGTTCAATTCGCATGAAAGAGTAAACATTGAAGAATAGATAAGAAAATTCTGAAAAGGCTGAATAAAGAGAAAAGAATTGCCTCAAAAGAATATCAGGAGCTTTGGTAAAGTTACAGTAATTAGAGTGTAATAGTTCCAAAAATAAAGATAAAATGAATCTATAGACTGGAATAGGTAATATCCAAATAGATGCAAGCATATGCAGGGCTTTTATGTATAAGAGGAACCAAAAAGGCAAGAGGGAAACTTGGGTCTCTTTCATAATAATGTGGGAATAATTGCATTTCCATATGAGGAAATACATTAAATGTACACCTGATACCATTGACAAAAATAAATTCTAGATAGATTAAAAATTTAAATATGAAAATATAAACTTCAAAAAAGAAAATATAGGAACATATTTTTAACCTTTAGGTCAAGAAAGATTGCTTAAACATGAAAAAAACATAGAAATTACAGAGGAAAAGAATAATACATTTGACTGTATCAAAATTTAAACTTCTTTATGACAAAAACATAACATGATTAAAAGACAAGCCACAGGTGAGAGATGATATGTATACTGCATATAATTGAATAAGAATAAGTATTCAGGATATGTAAAGAATTTCTACAAATCAATAAAAAGAACAGGAGATTATCTAAGGAAAAAATGAACAAAAAATATGAGTAGCAAATTCACAAAAGACCCAGATGGCCAATAAATATGTAAAAAGATTTTTAGCCTCGTAAGTAATCAGAAAAATTATAGGTTCAAATAGCAGTAAAATACCACCTCAAGCTAAGATTGGCATAAATTAAGAAGACTGACAATATCAAGTGTCAACAAGAAGGTAAGAAAATAGGAAATCTAGTAGGACATCAATTTGATGCTATCTAATGAAGTTGAAATGTGCACAGTTCATAAGATAGAAACTTCACTTCTAGGTCTATATGCTAAAGGAACTCACACATATGTGCACAAAATTCCACATAGCATATTCATTGAAGTTTTTTTGTTATGGTAAAGAATGGGGAAAATGTGTTTATACTAAAAGAAAAGATAAATTATGGAATATATTCAGCCATGCACAGGTAAATGTTTAATAATCGGCTCTTTTAAAAAAAGTAAAAACAAACAAGCAAACAAACAAAACCAAGCCTTTATTTGTAGTGTTTGTTGATTGCCATGGTCAATTTCAAGCTACCAACACCATGTCACTGAATGCAGTGTTGGGAAGAGATGTACACAGTGGGCTCCATCTGCGCCAGCACAATACTAAATATATGCACACACCCACCTATTCTTGCCTGCACCAGATATAAGAATCTTTGGCATTAGAGCAATCTTCAAGGTCTAGAGCCTGCATCTCTCTACCTCAGACTTACTACTGGGCAGGTGGGCTAGTCCTGCTGTCAAAAAAGCATTTCCTGTCACAAAAGACTTTTAGAAGGTGAACAGTAGAGCTTCTTGAGCTGTAAAATAGGAGGCATGTCAACTGGGGGCCTGCTTCTGATGGGCAGAAGCGTTCTATGGCTGATTTTTGTTTTACCTAAGCCACTGATGGTGAGGTGATAAAAGGCCATCTTCCACCGTCTCTAACCATTACAAACCACTAATATTATTTTTTAAACGAAACAAAACAAAACAAAAAGCCAAATTTGCCCAACAGCCGCAATGACTTAAGTGAGCAACTACAATCTAGACCATTTAAAAATTGGGCAATAATCAAATTTTAAAACTGGCCAACATCGTAAGAATAATTGGCTTTAAGTATCAGTGTGGAAAACATATGAGACTTTTATTTCTTAAATGTGTTGTTTAATTTTTCTCAAATTCTGAAGCAATTATGGTAAAACTGAATATTTGGTAAAACTGAATATTTGTTAATCTTGGAAACCAGGAAGTAGGAGTTTGTTATTTTATTTTCTAAAGAAAAAGGCAGTGCTGTTGCTTTGGTACACCTCTCTACTAAATCTCAGGTATCAGGATTTCAAACAGGGAATAGTGAGGCTGTTTAATTCTCTCCACCTTCTCTTGCTTCCAGCCAGATGTGTTTTTATCTTTCCCTGCCTTCTTAAACTTATCTGAATGATATACTACAACAATGGCTTTGGAATCAGATAAGCAGGAACTCCACCTCTACCATTGACTAGCTACAGTAATTTTAGTACCTGCTTTTTATGTGTAGAATGGATAGTGGTGCCTACTTCATGGGGCCAATGTAAAGATTCAATGAGATAACATATGTAAACCACAGCTACTAGAAACATAGGAAGCACTCAATAAACTGCTCCTTCTACCTGCTAGTTAGCAACTGCCTCCTAGCAAAACATGGGCACTAAAAACACAGCTCAGCCCACTCCTTGCTCAGTAGAATCTCCAGTGATGAGAACATAGGTCTTCAGCAGACACAACTTGCCCCCAATTATTTTATTGTCACAATCTTAATGGCAGATGTTAATTAGTTACCAGCTATTTGCAATCCTAGTCACTTCTTCATTGTGTCAGGGTATCAAATGAGTAAGGCTGGGGCCTTAAGTCCTTCATTTGAAGGGTTTATGGCTTTTCAGTTTAAAGAAGATTATGCACTCTGTGGTCAAGGTCCATGCTTTATTTCCTGTATTTGCCCCAGTGTTTGGAAACATAGTAGGTAATTAGTTCTCATTTTAACTGAAAAAAGTAAATAGAAATTTCTCTGAAGGTATCGGATGGGGTGACTTGCTTTGATCTCAGGAAGGGCATTTCATAAACTGACCAGTTGAGAAAGTGGTCTGAAGCTTAGAGGAAGAAAGCCATTGACAGGTAGAAAATGGAAAAACCCGCCCCCAGCTATTTCCACACACTCTCCAGCTTCATAAAAGCTCAGGCAAGGAGTTGGGCTAAGAGACTTGCAAAGTCCTCTCACCCCAAACCCTTCTCAAGGATGTTCTCTGCCCTCTTTCTACTCTATTGCAAGATGCTGATTCCTTCTGCTTCACTCACAGAGTTCTGCCTTCAACCAGCTGTCAGCTAACCTGAAACACAACAGTCCTTGTTCCTCCCAGGGCAATCAACATATTAACAGGGGCCCAAAGGTGTATAGAGCAAGAGTCGGCAAACTGTCTGTAAAGGGCAAAGAGATATATGTCAAGCATTGTGGGCCATATGAGCCCTGTTGTAGCTATGTAACTCTCCTGTTGTATGTAGCATAAAGTAGCTGTAGACAATAATGTAAAGGTGTGAACATGGCTGTGTTCCAATAAAACTTTATTCACAAAAACAAAGCAAAGGGTCATAGTTTGCTGACCCCTGGGTTTTAGAGAATAACCCTCAAGGTGGTGGAAATTGAGACGGTGATAATAATTATAACAGAAGCAGTAGCAGCAACCAACATGTACATAGTACTTACTGTGGGCCAGGCAGTATTCCAAGTATCTAAGGGTAATTATCCATTCAATCCTCACAACAATCCTACGAAGAAGCAACTATTATTATCTCCATTTTATATATTAAGAAACTGAGATGAAGAAAAATTAAGGAACCTTCTCAAGGTCATGCAGATCCTGAACAATGCTCCTAAATTCCACCTGAGAGGCAGTTCTTTACACCTATGTCTGGCCTTTGACAGCCCAGGAGTGAGGCCTCCACCATTATGCTGTAGCATGCAGACCCCTGGTTTCACAGGGTTCCATCTCTAACAGTTTACTAAGAAGAATTAACCCTGAGGGAAACAGTTCCCAAGCTATAGATTCCTTCAAAATCCTCTGGATGGTTTGTTGAGGTACAAATTTCTTGGCTTGGAATTTGGAAATCCTGACTCACGTCAAATGGTGAGTTCCAGAGATCTGCATTTTTAATAAGCACCCTTGTGACTCTGATGCAGGTAGTCTGTGGAACACACTTTGATGAACAGGACACTGTGGAATTTGCATCAGTCAGATGCTTCCACTCTCACTGTGGTTATCGAATAGCTTTCCTCTGATTCCCTTTGTATAAGAAAATCAAAAGATCATAGAACCTTCAGTTTCCTAATAGGGAATACATCAGATGTTAAGAATTCGAGAGATCATCAACACAGAAGTCCATTTCAGAAGGCCTCCAGGAAACAGCCCCTCTGCAGTGTGGTTTGAGGACCTGCATTTTTAACAAGCTTGGGGGTTATTTCTATATGGAAAATGTGAGACCTGCTGACCTGGGCAGGCAACTGTGTTTTGGAGTGTGTACAGACACCAATCCCAATTGGTGAGGCAAGGGGTACTTCTTACTCAGCTGGGCACTGAGGACCCTAATAAGCCACTCTTTAGGGCCAGGTGGGCATTCAATGGATTTGGTTCCAGCCTTTTCTCTTTTATAGAACCCAAAGAACACATTGTTATCTTTCTCTTATGACACAAGGAAGAATCAGACAAGCAGCTTACTTTATGTTTTCCCAATTCTCTTTCTACTTATCGAACCCTCATAAAGTATTTAAACTGAAGCCAACTCAGCTATGAGCTACAAGATTGTCCCCTGATTTCAGGAAAAGTCTCCAACCTCTGCTAATTAGAGGGATTATCGCTGCTCACGCGGCCTAGTTGGACTGTGACATCTGGGAGAGAATACTTAACACATGGAAATTGTTGAGTGAAGGGAAGACACAATTGAGCTGGACTTTTCTCTGAAAGGAAATGTGATTCCTATGAAGAAGTTTTTCTACTGCTTCTGAAATAAGGGTACAAGGAAACAGGCTTAAATTGCAAAAGGGACACTTGATCGTTAGCTGTGAAGACCTTCCAGGGCATCTGAGGATTCTTGGATCCTAAAGTATTTTAAGAAGGGAGACAATGTTAGTCATAGAAAATAGTGCCATGGCTGCAGGCTGGGTGTGAGGCAGCCACAGACAGATACAATTCTTCAGATAGGGGTGGTATTGGAGAAAGAATGGGTAGGGCTTGGTTTGGGGATTTTTTGTTTGTCCTAGAAAAGTCATTCAGTTTTGAGGTCTTTTAATGGAAGCAAGATGATAGTAAGTTACACATGGAACTTGATCCAGACAACAGGAGGTTTAGCCATTTAAGAAAATAAATAGTATCTGTAATCCCATTTCCCTTTGAAAATGGCAAAATTGTTTTTGGTGCAGCTGATTCTTTTATGCAAGTGGACAACAGCTCTGTTTAGGGCCAATTGCATTATCTGCCACTTTAACAGGAATGTCAGTTGAAGTAACAAGGGGAAGGTGATAGGAGGCCTATTGGGGGCATTTTTGGAAATTCTCAGAATAATCGATCAAAGTTGACAGACTGGCAAAGGAGGCTTCCTGAATTGGTAGCAGGTGAGATTATACTCATATTCTGAATCAAATTTTAAAATATAAATTTACCTTCTAATTGCCAATGATGGGAGTGTGAAGACTGCAATGGCAGCCACTTTCTAAAACAATGTCACATATTACACTAATAAGGACAGCTTTGCACAAACATGCAAGCCAGAGTGTCAGTCACCGATGACCTGTGAGTAGAAGTGTTACATTTCTTTACATACCAGGAAAGGAAGAAAGCTTTTAATAGCTACACCTTGGTTTTTCAGTTGAATTTCTGGGAACAGGAGTTTGCCAACCCCCATCAAAGTTCCATAGCTTGAATAGCATTTGTTCTTATTAAAATAATAGCAATTATTATAATACCCAGAGAAGTTATTAGGTGCTTATTACATGGCAGGCACTGTGTAAAGTGTCTTACATAGGTTATCTCATTTAATACTCACAATAATCACATAAGATAAGAATTGTTTCTCTCAGTTTATGAAAGACTGAGCTTAGTCTAGTGCTCAGAACCTGAAAAAGGTCAAAATAGAGAAATTAGCTAATAATGTGTTCTTTTCATAGGTCAGTCTCCATTCTCAGTTGATTAGCTAAACCAATGTATTGACGCATGTGTTCATTCATTCATGCATTCATTCATAAAATCTTTACTGAGTGCCTCCCCTGTGCTGAACATTGTATTAGGCACTGGGGAAACAGTCGTGGCCCAGACAGACACTGTCACTGCCCTCATAAAGATTACATAAAGATGGGGGAGGCAAGTACCCACCAGCGTTTTAGTAGATCCCAAAGTAAAGGTGGGTCAACAGGTAAACAGATGAACAAGCTGTGATATATTCATATATTCCAATAAAATTCTACTAGAATAAAATACACAACAGAATACTGTCACCATGGAGTACTACTCAGCAATAAAAATAATTGAGCTACAAATACAGCTAACAGCATGGATACATCTCAGAAAGTGTTATACTAAGAGGCCATATGGTGTGTGATTTCACTAACATAAAATACAAGAAAAGGTGAAGCTATAATAATAGAATCCAGATCAGTGGTTGCCAGTGGCCAAAGGTTGGGAGTGGAAGGAGATTTGACTACAAAGACAAGAGGAAACTTTGGGGGTGATGGAAATGTTCTATATCTCGATTGTGTTGGTGGTTACACATCGTAAAAGTTTGTCATAACTCATGGAATTGTATATTTAAAATTGACAAGTTTTCTTGTATGTAAGTTACACCTTAATAAAGTTGACTTTACAAAAAATTAGGGACCCTGGGAGCCATATCCCACCTCTTCCACTGACACACCAGGTGACATTGGGTGAAACACTGAATCTGTGTTTTTGTTTCTTCTTTTCTTAACATGGGCTAATGAGACCTTGTCTGCCTCTCTTATTACTAGGTCAAGAGAATTTCAAATGTGCAAGTAAAAGGCTTTGCAATGTATTAGATGCTATGTAAATATTTAACTTCATCGTTATTGTTCCCTCACTGAGGACTATGCTTTCATGATTCTCAGAGGTTGAGTTGATTTATTTTGATGGATTTCGTAACAGTTTGGTTTTGATCTCCTTGTAAGAAGGGCAGCTTTGGAGGCTGAGCCCGGGCTTTGTGGTTCCGGGTCAGCACGTTTTAGGGAAGACCCAACACTTGGCTCTGGATTTAGCCCATCAAGTGGCTGAGCAGATGGGAACAAGATCTTTGGAAGCTTTTTACCAATAACCACACACCCCTAAATAATCAACAAGTCCATGTCCCCTGTGTGACTGGATGAGAAACCAATGCTGAGGGTGATCCGTGCAGAATCTGCTCATGGAACAACATGAGCAACTGATGGTTAGCTTTGTGGTTAGAAACTTCCTTGATTCTCATCCAAGGATTTATCTCCTTACTGCTGGCTGTTTTCCTGAAGAAGCAAAAATGTGTTCTCCATTCTGAAAGCAATTCTTCTCCCACCAATTTTTATTTATTTTTTTGTTTTAGAGCTCAATATGCCACTGATTTCAAAACTGTTCACACTGTAAAGAAACATGAGTAGCACAGATAAATCCATCTTGACATATCCAGTCAGTATTTGATCAGGTCACCAACATGCACTTGGGCCCATATTGGATGCTAAGAGGGAAACTAAGAAGAATATTGCACTTTCCTTGTTCTCAAGGCCTTTAAATTTAATTTTTCCTGAAAGTGCAGTCCCTTCATTTACTGAGTCAGTGGCAAAAAAAAATGCTATGACATTAAAACATGTCCATTATGAAATTAAATCCTTCTTTAAAAATATAAAAAGAAGAAAAGAAAAATCACTATAAGTGCCACTGTTGACTTATGCTCTGATTCCTTCCAGTTTTTTATTATTTATATAGACATATTTTATAATAATATAAAATTTATCCACTTACATTTTGACCATTAGGGCTTTCAAAGAGTCATTGAGTTGGAGTGTCACCCATTTTTCCTAAATTACCCTCCTCAGGAGCATTCATCAGTGCTCAATTCTTCCCCAACAGATGTTGACCAAGGCAGAACCCCACTGAAAATACTGTGGGTCTCCAGATGTCTCAGCTTTTTAAAAAGTAATGCTTATTAAGTTATTTTATATTTACAATTAATAGTTAATACAAGAAAATTGGAAGAAAAAAACACTAGGAAAATGCTAACTTTAATCTCAAAGTAACCACTGTCAGCATCTCAGGGTGTGTCCTAGATTATTCCTCCGTGCCTATTTTTCTTTGTAAAAATACTGGTGACATTGGACTTACAGCCTGGCTTCTAAATATTTCTGCATGTCCACAGATATTCTTTAACAGCATGCTTTTCAGTAGTGACCTATAATTTCATTAAATGGATATGCTGACTAAGCAAGCCTGTGCTATGAAATGTAGAGGTTACTTCCAGTTGATTTTGCTTGTCACAGGCAATGCTACAGGAAATATCCTTGCATTTGCAATCTTAAGTTATTGCCTTAGAACAAATTCCAAGAAGGGGAATTGCTGAGTTAAATATATTTAGTTGTTTTTTTAAAAAAAATAAAGGAAGAAAATATAATTACATAACATCCCCAATTTCCCCACTCTCTGAAAGCACCTTAAAGAAAGGTGAAGGCAATTTGAGCTCCTTCAGCCAAAGATCCTAAGAATTCAGGAATTAACTCCTCAAGAGGGAAACAAAGTAATAATACTATGATTTGGTGGCTTACAAAAGGCAACACAAAAATGAGGAATATTAGGACCAATAAAGTGGAGAAAGCAATTTCCACTCTTCCATTCTTTGATAGATGCTGTGTTACATGTAATAACACGTTTAGCAAGAATGGCAAAATATGTTTCCTCTAGTAGACCCTTCAAATGGAATGATAGTTTTAAATACAATAGACATGACATGTCTCTTAAGGGGCAAAGGAAGTCAACTTCTGTTATCTGTATTCTACAACCAGAAAAGAGTCAGGTATTTAACACCATTATATTACTTAATCTTCACTGAGGCTCTTTGACATTTGTTAGGGACTGAATGTTTATGTCCACCCATCCTCCCAAAATTCATATGTTGGAGTCCTAACCCTAGTGTGGCTATATTTGGAGATGGAGCCTCTAAGGAAATAATCAAAGTTAAGTAAGGTCAAAAAGGTGGGTCCATGATCAGGCAGAATATGTCCTTAAAAGAAGAGATAACAGGCCAGGTATGGTGGCTCACGCCTGTAATCCCAGCACTTTGGGAGGCCAAGGCAGGTGGATCATGAGGTCAGGAGATCGAGACCATCCTGGCCAACATGGTGAAACCTGGTTTCTTCTAAAAATACAAAAATTAGCTAGGCGTGGTGGTGCGTGACTGTAGTCCCAGCTACTAGGGAGACTGAGGCAGGAGAATGGCTTGAACCCAGGAGGGGGAGGTTGCAATGAGCTGAGATCCAGCCTGGGCAACAGAGCAAGACTTCGTCTTAAAAAAAAAAAAAAAGCCCTCACTAAAAACCAAATTTGCCAACACCCTGATCTTGGATGTCTTGGCCTCTAAACCTGTAAGAAAATACAATTTCTGATGTTTCAGCCACTCAGCCTGTCATATGTTGTTATGGCAGTCTGAGAAGTCTAATACAACATGGATATTATCATCATCTACATTATAGATGAGAAAACTTCAAGTGAGGAAGGCTAACAATATACAGCAGGTCATACAGTAAGGATCTGACAGTTTTTGAACTCACCTCTGTCTGAGGCCACAGCCCGTGGTCTATCTGCTTTATCTTCTTGACTCTACAAGAAGGAAAAAAGTTGGTGACTGACTACCTTTCAGGTGTGATTTGAGACACTCTAGTCAACTGTTCTAGGTCCTAAGACATGTTCATTATTATCTGCCTCCATTCCTGAAATTCCACCATTAAAGAATCTGTGCCCAATGTTCCAAGGTTTACTCTCTTTCTGGAACTTTTCTCTGAAATTCTGAAACCTCCCAAAAAGAATAATATTTTAAACCAAGGAATCTGACATATAGTCCCCTCCCCAAATGTATAGCTCACCTGTACATTACAAAGGTAATATTTTCAGAATATTACCTTTGTCTAATAATCTAGACAGTAAATAAGGAGAACAACCAGGCCTACCCAGTTGCCCATCATTGCAATTATGTTGCAAAAAAAATGTCAAGCAAGAAGGCTAAAATAAAAAAGTAATCATAATTAAAACTAAATGCAATTATTATATAATTTAGAGCTACTTAATTCTATTATAATTACATCTTAAAATTGGGGTATTTTGAAGGTTTACTGACAAAAAAATGACAGAGAAGAATAAAGCCTCCATTATACCCTTGATTTTTTTTTGTTTCTGTTTTTGTTTTTTCGAGTCTTATCAACACGTGCAAGCCAACCAGGCAAGAACTTTCTCTAATTCCTTTGCTGTCAGTTAAATATTCTTGCAGATACACTCTCACATATCCTCCACTTCCAATACATGCAAGGTTTCAGATTATGTGACCCACTCCTCCTAAAGAAAATGTAGACAACAAGCTAATAACTTTTTTGGCTACAATTTATTCATTCAAGCCTGTTCTTGCTCTCATATTTCCTACGTCAATTGCCATCCACTTAGTTGCTCCAAATCAGAAATTTTGGAGCCATTCTTGCCTCTTCCTTTCACGGCAACCAGTTTCAGCAGGTTCTGTGGATTCACCCTCATCAAAACTCTCTAAACCATCTGTTTACGGTCTTCCTGATACCCACACCTCATCGTAGGTCAAGGTCAGCATCATCACCCCCCTTCCATCAGGGCATCAGCCTTATCATTAGCCTCCTCCACCAATGACTCTTATTCAAGAATGTCTAAGGGATGAAGAACCATAAGGTATTATTAAAAGTATTAATTTTTAAAATTAATTAAATTTATTAAATTAAAATTTATTAAATTAATTTTAATAAAAATAAATTAAAATTTATTAAATTAATTTTAATTAAATTTATTAAATTAATTTTAATTAAATTTATTAAATTAATTTTAATTAAATTTATTAAATTAAAATTAAAAATTAATTTTAAAAGTATTTTAAAAGGTATTATTGAAATATTTGCCATACTATATATTTCTCTTGAGGCATATCTCTTCAGGATCTTTTATGCACACTCACCGTGTTAATGCTATTCTCATGAAAGATCTTACATTCTTAGCAGGATCTCAGATTGTTGATGTTTTATAATTTGAGGATAAGTCACTTAATTTCTTTGAAATGTGTTTGCTTTATCCGTCAAATGATGTTACACCTTGGTGATGTAGTTCTCAAATTCTAAGGCTCTCGGTTGTCTTGAGTAAACTTATCTACTAAGATATTATTTGCTTTTCTAATTTATTTCTAAGGGTTCAGTGCATACATTGGTGAATGAATGCTGCTGTGCTTAGACTGTTTAATCCTTTTTGATGCAAGTCTGCTCCTCTTTGGTATTAAGTGTTCCACAAGAGGGCGCCCACTTTCTGGCAAATTGGATATTATATCCATAGGCTTCAAATTTTAGGGAAATCCCCGAGGGCAATTTAAACAGCAGTTTAAACTTGTAACCTATTTAAATAGTAAATATAACTTGCTTAAATATTTCAAAAGATAATTGTTAGTTAAATTTATTTAAGTTTTTAAAGAGTATCTCTACAAATGGGGTGAACTGGTGATTTTTCAATGATATTGAAATGATGAAAGACGTCAAATTTATATGAAGACATACTTGGGGTTCTATTAGACTTTCTAGAGAACCTTCATTTTCTTAACTTCCTACTTAATAGGCATGCTTCCTAATTACATCTGAATGGTCTACCTCAGAGGGTTTTATGGAGGTTGATTTAAAGTACATGAAAATGATTTGAAACATTATCTAAATATAGGCTATTGTTTTTAGGCACGAGTTTATTGCTAAAAATCAGGACTCAGGTTTTGTCTTAATTATCTTAATCATCATTACATATTTATAGCGGGAAAAGTTAAAACAAAATTATAAAAGTTTCAGTTTTTCATCTTGAAATGTCTCTACTTGAAATTCCTATCAAATAGATGAAAGATAACCATGTAAATAGCATGTCTGCACTCAACAGCATCAAACTTTTTATGCTACATGGTGGCTTTATCAAAATAAAGCCACTGAGTCAGACATTTTCAATAAAAAATAATTTGGGGTAGAATTCTTCACAAAAACAATAAAGCACTCTGGAGAGCAAATAAGCAGTTTCGAGGAAAGATTCTGCTACCCATTGAGAAAATTTGATTCAAGGGTCCACATTTATAAACTTTAGGCAAATTATAATGGAGTCTGATGATGGAGAGGATGGTGATGGTGAAGGGAGTGGGGCAAAGTTGATGGGAATAAAGGAAGGGAAATGAATGAAGTTGGGAGATTGGTAGGGGATGAGGAAGGAGGAACAAACTGATAGTCAAAGGGACCCTGCAGGCAGGAAGACATTAGGTCAGGACAACAAACACAAGACAGCAGCTTCCAGCCTCACTGGAAACTCAAACTTGCATTTGAGTCCTTTGAGAAGGACTCAAAACATCACATAAAAGGCAAAGCAGCCACCCAGGAGGCTAGCCAGGGCATCAAAAGATGTGAGAAATGACATCTATATATGAGGTTATAAAGTTAGTAGGAAGAGTATACGTTTCTCTTTCAGTATGGGTTTGAGTGACTTTGAGAAAGTTAATGTTTCTGAGCTTCCATCTCTTCAACTTTTTTTTCTAATCTATTTTATTTTCATTTACTATTATTATTTTTATTATTTCAATAGTTTTTGGGGAACAGGTGGTATTTTGTTATATGGATAAGTTCTCTAGCAGTGATTTCTGAGATTTCAGTGCACCCATCATGCAAGCAGTGTACACTGAACCCAACGTGTAGTGTTTTATCCCTCACCCCCTCCCATCCTTCCTCCTAGAGTCTATTATATCTTTTTTTTTTTTTTTTTTTGATGAAATCTCGCTCTGTCTCCAGGCTGGAGTGCAGGGGCGCCATCTCGGCTCACTGCAACCTCTGCCTCCGAGGTTCAAGCGATTCTCCTGCCTCAGCCTCCCGAGTAGCTGGGACTATAGGCACGCATCACCACGCCCAGCTAATTTTTGTATTTTTAGTAGAGACAGGGTTTCACCATGTTGGCCAGGATGGTCTTGATCTCCTGACCTCGTGATTCTCCCGCCTTGGCCTCCCAAAGTGCTGGGATTACAGGCATGAGCCACCGCGCCTGGCCCATTATATCATTCGTATGCCTTTGTGTCCTCATAACTTAGCTCCCACTTATTACTGAGAACATTTGATGTTTGGTTTTCCATTCCTGAGTTATTACACTTAGAATAATGGTCTCCAATTCCATCCAAGTTGATGTGAGTGCCATTACTTTGTTCCTTTTTATGGCTGAGTAGTATTCCATGGGATATATACATATATACATATATATACACACATATATACATATATACACATACATATATATACATATATACATATATACGCATATATACATATATATACGCATATATACATATATACATATATATACGCATATATACATATATACACATATACACATATATACATATATACATATATACATATATACACATATATACATATATACATATATACATATATACACATATATACATATATACATATATACATATATACACATATATACACATATATACATATATACACATATACACATATATACATATATACATATATACATATATATACACATATATACATATATACATATACACACACTTGTTATATATACTTGTTCCATATTTTAGTAATTGTGAATTGTGCTGCTATAAACATGTGTGTGCAAGTGTCTTTTTCTTATAATGACTTTTCCTCTGGGTAGATATGCAGCAGTGTCAATGGTAGATCTACCTTTAGTTCTTTAAGGAATCTCCACACCGTTTTACGTAGTGGTTGTACTAGTTTACATTCCCACCAGTAGTGGAGAAGAGTTCCCTTTTCACCACATCCATGTCAACATCTATTATTTTTTTCATTTTTTAAGTATGGTCATACTTTCAGAAGTAAGGTGGTATCACACTGTGGTTTTGATTTGCATTACCCTGATAATTAGCGTGTTGAGCATTCTTTCAAGTCTGTTGGCCATTTGTATATCTTCTTTTGAGAATTGTCTATTCATGTCCTTAGCCCACTTTTTAATGGGATTATTTGCTTTTTTCTTGCTGATTTATTTGAGCAGCTCTTCAGCTTTAGAATGAGGATAATAATACTCACCTCTCAGTGTTACAATGATTTAATAAAATGGAACACAAAGCTGTACATGGTAAATACTATTACACAAAAACAGTACCTCTACCATCACCATCATCATTATCCTCCTCTCCTCCTCAACATCATTATTTTTATCTGTGTTGTCACACATTATTTCTGTTTAAGACTTGATGATGTGGTAAGTCCTTCAGTGAATGTACCTGGCTAAAATGCTTCTGTGGCTTTCCATACATGGCAATTAAATAAAAAAAAACTTACAAAGTTTAACATATGTCTACCTGACAACCAAGCAATTCCATTCCTAGGTGTTACCAGAGATAAATGAAAGTATTTGTAAATAAAAAGATACACTGAAAGTTCATTGTAGTTTTAATTGTAACTACCTCAAACTGGAAGCAACCCAAATGTCCATCAAGTGGTGAATTAATAAACAAATTATGGTATATTCATCCAGAGAATAAGCTATTGACACAATCAATAACACACAAATCTCAAAAACATTATGTTGAGTGAAAGAAGCAAGACACAGGTAATGCATACTAATGATTTCTTTATACAAAATTGAAGAATACACTAAACTAATCTATGTTGACGGAAATCAGAACAGAAGTTCCGGCCAGAGGAAGAGGGAGCAGAGGAGGGAGTGGGATAGGACTGGTAAGGATTGACTAGACAGGGGTATTGTGGAATGTAGAATGTTCTCATCCTGTGTAGGGTGTGGATTTTATGAGTGTACACGTTAAACAGTTCACTTATGCTCTGTGCATTTGACATATGCCAGTCATATCCCGATAATATGTCAGTTCTTTGGAAATGTAAGAGAAAATCAACAAGTCTGTGAGATTTAAGTAGTCAAAAAGAGCTCACAAAGTGAAACTGATCTACCAAGATACAGTGAAAGGCAACACCTACAGAGATAGCTTCCGTGGCAAAAAGACAGAAACCTACAGTGATGAATAAAGTAAGAGCAGATTTCCAGAAGTTGCTGAATCCATAGCTCATGAGAAAAGTAGTCAGTTGTCAGGGGCCGCCCCCAGCAAATTTTCCCTGTGCGGATGTTGAATTGTCATCAAGCATGATCAGTGTCTGTGAAACGGGTTGATGGGGGCACATTCTGCACATTTACTGCATATCCTACTCACCCCGTAATTGAGTCATCTACCAGGCCTTCACAGTATGTTCATAATCTGGGCACTTCTCACCAACTTCGTTGCAGCTCAAGCCACCATCCCCTCTAGCCTGATAATGGCAATAGCTTCGGTTTTCGGTCTCCCTGCTTCCACCCTGGCCTATTTTCAGCATAGCCTACTCTCAGCACAGTAGCCAGAGAGAGCTGGTTAAGACTCTCCAGTAGTTTTCCATGACCCTTAATACAAAATGCCTAATTATTTATTGCCTTGGCCTACAAGGTCTGCATAAACCTGCTGCTGCAGTCCATCTCTCCAACTTTATCTCATTCCCTGAGGCACTCTCCAGCCCTTTGTGATCCACCCTTAGCAGTTTCTTACAGTAGTTTGGATATCCTAAACTCGTGTCAGATATAGGGTTTCATACCTGCTATGCCCTTCCCCGGGAAAGATCCTCTTTCACAGCTTCTGGCTTTTACTTCGTTTAGATTACTGTTCTTATGGCCTCTCCCTAAAGATGCCTCCTCTGAAAACCCTTTTAAAATAGCACCCCCAGTTACCACCTTTCCCATTAACCCATATGATTGTTAATTTTATGTGTCAACTTGACTGAGCCATAGATGTGCCCAGATATTTAGTCAAACATTATTCTGGGTGTTTCTGTGCAGGTGTTTTGGGATGAGATGAACATTTAAATATGTAGACTGAGTAAAGCAGACTGTCCTCCCTAACATGGGTGGACAATCAGCTGAAGGTCTGAATAGAACAAAAGGCTGACCCTCCCCAGAATAAGAGAGTCTTCTTCTGCCTAATGGCCTTCCAACTGGAACATTGGCCCTTCCTGATTTTGCAGCAGTCTGCCAGCCTACAGGCTCAAACTGGGACATCAGCTTTGCGGGCCTTGGACTTGCTCCCCCTCCATAATCATATGAGACAAAGCCCCTTAATGAATAAATAGATCCTATTGATTCTGTTTCTCTAGAGAACCCTAATACAACATGCTTTATTTTTCCCACAGTGCTTACCCTCATCTGGCACACAATATATTTTCTCATTTATTTGTTTATTGCCTGACCCCTCATGTAAGTTCATGAAGGCAGGAACTTTGTCTTATTTTCTGCTCTAGGTAAGCACCTAGCACGTGGTAGCTGCTTGGGAAATGTTGAATGAATTCTACTTGAAAAGCTTACCCCACTTGAAATGCCACTTAAGAATACTTAAAAGGCTTTCTCTTACAACGCTAGACACCTGGAGTAGGGGTTTTCTACTTTGGTTACACTTGAGAATCAATAAGAAGCTTTTATGCATTTTACTTTATGCTTTTAATACATGATTCTGATAAGTGGTCTGCAAGATTCAGCAGGCAGCCAAAGGAGTCCATAGTACACAAACCCTAAGAATTTACCTTGCTCAATGAATATGGCAGGAAGTATATCTTCATCTTCACTCACAGTGCTTAACACATTGCTGCTGTGCAGTGAGTCTTTCTTGAGCAGAGCGTGAGATGGAGAGGCCGTGGTGGGTCCCTGCCACCCAGAACCTCACATTGCTGAGCACCTGATGCCAGGCACTGTGTAAAATGCTGTGGAAGCCTTGTCACTTCATTCTCACATTGACAATCCTGTGAGGAGGGATTATTATACTCCGCAATCACAGATGAGAAGTTTAGAGAAGTTACGCAGTGTAACCAAGGTTCAACAACTCTTTGATCAGGCTGACTTGGGAATCCAAGCCTTTACCTACTGTGCTGCCTCCCTGTGGCATTGTGTCTGGAATTTGTGGGTTCTTGGTCTCACTGACTTCAAGAATGAAGCCACGGCCCCTCGTGGTGAGTGTTACAGTTCAAGGCGGCGTGTCCGGAGTCTCTGTTCCTTCTGATGTTCAGATGTGTTCGGAGTTTCTCCCTTCTGGTGGGTTCGTGGTCTCGCTGGCTCAGGAATGAAGCTGCAGACCTTCGCGGTGAGTGTTACAGCTCTTAAGGCAACGCGTCTGGACTTGTTCGTTCCTCCCGGTGGGCTCGTGGTCTCCCTGGCTTCAGGAGTGAAGCTGCAGACCTTTTCGGTGAGTGTTACAGCTCATAAAAGCAGTGTGGACCCAAAGAGTGAGCAGTAACAAGATTTATTGCAAAGAGCAAAAGAACAAAACTTCCACAACGTGGAAGGGGACCCGAGCGGGTTGCCACTGCTGGCTCCGGCAGCCTGCTTTTATTCTCTTATCTGGCCCCACCCA
The DNA here is from genome assembly GCF_000001405.40 of Homo sapiens. NCBI lineage: Eukaryota > Metazoa > Chordata > Mammalia > Primates > Hominidae > Homo > Homo sapiens. The sequence continues at coordinate 46,775,499 of NC_000006.12, read as the reverse complement.
CATCCTGCTGATTAGTAGAGACGAGTGATCTGTTTTGACAGGGTGCTGATTGGTGCGTTTACAATCCCTGAGCTAGATACAAAGGTTCTCCACCTCCCCATCAGATTAGTTAGATACAGAGTATGGACACAAAGGTTCTCCAAGGCCCCACCAGAGCAGCTAGATACAGAGTGTCCATTGGTGCACTCACAAACCCTGAGCTAGACACAGGGTGCTGATTGGTGTGTTTACAAACCTTGAGCTAGACATAAAGGTTCTCCAAGGCCCCACCAGAGCAGCTAGATACAGAGTGTAGATTGGTGCACTCACAAACCCTGAGCTAGACACAGGGTGCTGATTGGTGTGTTTATAAACCTTGAGCTAGATAGAGAGTGCCAATTGGTGTATTTACAATCCCTGAGCTAGACATAAAGATTCTCCACGTCCCCACCAGACTCAGGAGCCCAGCTGGCTTCACGCAGTGGATCCCGCACGGGGCTGCAGGTTGAGCTGCCTGCGGGTCCCGCGCCATGCCCTCGCACTCCTCAGCCCTTGGGTGGTCTATGGGACTGGGCGCCGTGGAGCAGGGGGCGGGGCTTGTCGGGGAGGCCAGGGCTGCACAGGAACCCACGGAGGCGGGGGAAGACTCAGGCATGGCAGGCTGCAGTCCCGAGCCCTGCCCCTCGGGAAGGCAGCCAAGGCCCGGTGAGAAATCGAGCACGGCGCCGGTGGGCTGGCACTGCTGGGGGACCCAGTACACCCTCCGCAGCCGCTGGCCCGGGTGCTAAGTCCCTCATTGCCCGGGGCCGGCAGGGCCGGCCGGCTGCTCCGAGTGCGGGGCCCGCCAAGCCCACGCCCACCCAGAACTCCAGCTGGCCCGCAAGCGCCGCACGCAGCCCCGGTTCCCGCTCGCGCCTCTCCCTCCACACCTCCCTGCAAGCTGAGGGAGTGGGCTCCAGCCTTGGGCAGCCAGAAAGGGGCTCCCACAGTGCAGCGGTGGGCTGAAGGGCTCCTCAAGTGCCGCCAAAGTGGGAGCCCAGGCAGAGGAGGCGCCGAGAGTGAGCGAGGGCTGTGAGGACTGCCAGCACGCTGTCACCTCTCAGCATCTCTTACCTAGGTTGCTCCAGAAGTCTCCTACTTGGTCTCCCTGCCTGCATTTTTGCCCTGTTCCAATATGTTTGCAATACCACTATGTCACAACCAACTTTACTTAAGGCCTTCCAGAGGCTTCTCATTGCCCTCAAGGTACCATCAAACTGATATGCCCTGGGCATCTGTGACCGGGCTTCATCTGCTTTCTAGGGTCACTAGGGCCATCGCTTCCCCCTCCCTGTCCCAGATCCCTCACATACACCATACTCCAGCCTTGCCAAACTTGCTTTGGTCTCTCAAACTTGGCATAAATTCTCTTCGGTCTGGGCCTTCCTAAAGCAGCTCCTTGGCCTAGTGTGTGCTCTCTCCTCCTCTTCTTCTGCTTAACCCAGCCTCCCTTTTAGTTTTCTGTTCAGATACCACCACCTCCTCCAAGAGACCTGAATTCTTCTGGTCTGAATTCTTCAGACTACATTATGAGCTCCAGGTAAGGGCTCCTGAGATCTTTGGGCCTCCCCTTCACATTCCATCCCCCTTTACTGTTTTTGTGAGTTAACTTATTGCCTTCTCAGCTGCATGGGATCTAGCCTATCTGTCCACTTTAGGGTGAGCACCTGGCACCTACAACAGTGCTTGGCACATTAAGTGTGCCTAATGTATATTTGTTATATGACTGAATAGATGAGTCATTGAGACACCTACTCTTAAGAACTCATCTGTTCATTTGCATGAAATGTCCAGAAAAGGCAAATCTATAGAGACAAAACGATTAGTGACTGCCAGAGCATGTGAGTGGCAGCTGGGAGTGATTGCTAATGGGCAGGAGAGATCTCTTTAGGGTGTTGAAAATCTTCTAAAATTGGTTTGTGGTGGTGGTTGCACAACCATATGTCTACTAAACATCATTGAGTTATACACTTAAAATGAGAGCATTTGATGGCATGTAAATTATTCTTCAATAGAACTGTTTTGTAAAGGAACTCATCTAGCCTTTGCTGGCTCCTTGGCAACCAGTTCCACAGATTGCTCTGATGGCAGAAAAGCCATCCCAAAAGCTTACATAGCTTAACATTTTTATAATAGCAATAGGGGCCAGACCTCATGTTTCACTGTTTCACACACAACCTTGACTTCTCAGTGGAAAGTATTTTGCTACCTTAGATTCTTCAGGATCTGCAGTCATCAAGTTTCATGGAACCTGATAAGGAGGCTCAGAGTCACATGGCTGAGGGAATTCCAGTACTGAACATTAAAAAAAAAATCTTTGTAGCTAAATTTACTTGGAGACTAGCACAATGTGCATGGGTGTTAGATAAGGCCAGAGAAGTGTCTTGAGTGTGACCAGGCGAGAAATAGGAAGCCAACTTAGAGAGCAGAAGCTGTTCTCTCTAATTTCTGAACCCCTGCTGCAAAGTTGCTAAACAGTCACATGGTTCCTAGTGGGTGGAAGGTCTCTGATTTCTCTTCTGCAAATGTGGCAAGAATTTAGAGTTCCCCGGCCCAATAAGAGGAACATGTGTGGCCACAGGCTGGCCTTGGGACTCCAGTTATATCCTGGAAGGGAGCTTCTTCTTTGCCTTGGTTTTGTCAAATGACATGTGACAAGAAATGGTTTGCTAAGAGACTGCTGCTGTACTTATAATGTTCCCACAAGCCATGCCAGAGTGCCCAAAGAGAAAAATTCTAGTACCCCTCAAGTCCAAGATTCCTGGAGAGCTCACGGCTTCTGCCCCAAAGTCCTTTGGTCTGATGGAATCTAGGACTACCCAAATGTTGAGAACAGAGTGACAAAGCCAGCAGGGGAGAGAATTCCTGAGCTGTCTCTTAGTGAAATTTGCTCTTTTGCATAGGAATTATTGGTGATGCCTGATTGCCCTATAGTTGTTACATGTGATTTTATAAGATGGGGGGAACAATCCTCTGGAGGGAGTGTGGGACGGTGGACAGATGACTGGACTAGAACACAGAAAACCCAAATTCAAATACTAATTCTACAACAAATCCGCTATGTGAGCTTGGGGAAATCACTTTTCTTCTCTGAGCATCTGATTGCCCATCTGTAAAATAAGGGTTTTTGGTTAGATGAACTTTAAGGTCCTCTTGACTCCGATAATAAGAGTCATAACTATAATCATGAGTGCCAGGTACATCATGTGTAATCCTAAGAGGCAGGCATGCCTATCACCAATTACAAATGAGGAAACTGAAGATATGGCAGACTAACCAAACTCCTCAAGTTCAAACTGCTTAGAAAGAATTGCTTGAACTGACTACCCTAAAATAGATCCTGAACTCTGACTACACAGCAGAATGTGAGGGAATTGTTTCTAATTTCTTGGGCTTGTGGGCACCACAGACATTTCCAAAGGCCACTGGCTACTACAGAAAAGCCTCTAGATTTTCCCCCTATCATTACATTTAGAAAACTTTCAAATACACAGAAAAAATTTTTAAAAATTTTATAGTACCATCCTAATACCTACCTTCTACTAGCTCTTACTGCTTGCTTTCACACATAACTAGTCACCTGCCATCTCACTATCCCTCCGTCAATCTTATGTTTCGAGGAACCTTTAGTCTTGATGAGTTCTAAGAAAGGTGTCTCTCATTAAGCTTTCTCAATTCTTTCTCTCTGGCCACATATTGCTTAATCTTCACAAGTATCAATGAAGCCAGCATGAATGGGCCTTATAGAGGAAGAAACTGAGGCTTACAAAGGTCAGCAACTTTCTCAAGGCCACTGAGCTGGGAAGTGCTGGAACCTACCTGTCTCAGGCAAAAGCCCCTGCTCTTACCCCCATGTTCTGTTGCCCTCTGACACAGCACTTTTCAAAAACATAGGCATTATGCCTTCGTTAGTCAGTCATCTTTTACTTCCACTGAGGGGTTTTTTTTTCCCTAGAACATTAAAATCTTTGAGGAAAAATGAAACAAAATAAAAACGACTCAGGTTTTATTCACTCTGCTATGAGCAGAACTTCATGTATAGTGTCCTAGAAGAGAATGAGTAAATTATGTGGTCCCCCTCCCATAAAGGTTGACTTTACCATCTGGTTTTGTGTGTGTGTGTATATGTGTGTATTTATGTGTATTCCATCATATCTGTTTGCTTTCACAAACCAGCGCCTTTCAACTCCGTTGTCAACCTTAGCTGCTTCTTTTGTCTTTCTTCCTTTCATTTTGCGTGCCATGTTTTGAAATGGTGGGAGAAGAGGAAGTTCCATCAGCGTGAATGAGCGTAAGTATAGGCACTTGAGTGATATGGGAATGCTCATATTGCTCAATGTGTCTTTCAACACCCAAGCCTTATCATCCTCAACCTGTCAGCTGGGCTTGCACAAGTAAATACATTTCCGTTTTTTTTTTTTTTTTTTTTTTTTTTTTTTTTTTTTTTTTTTGAGACTGAGCTTCGCTCTTTTTTTGTCCAGGCCTCCCAAAGTGCTAGGATTATAGGCGTGAGCCACCGCGCCTGACCTAAATATATTTCCGTGCCAGCTTGATTGAGTAAAGGGATGTTGGTAACCAGAAATGCCTTAGGTGATCCAGAACCCCATCACACCTTTATTTTAAAGTAGCTTTCCCCCTCTGCTTTCATTTAAATATGGGTGTGTCTGCAGTTACAGGAGCCATAATACTTTATTTTTTTAATGATTTTTCTCCCCTTTTTAAAATTATTATTTATTTATTTATTTATTTTGAGACAGAGTCTCGCTCTGTCCCCCAGGCTGGAGTGCAATGGCACGATCTCAGCTCACCGCAACCTCCGCCTCCCAGTTTTAAGCGATTCTCCTGCCTCAGCCTCCCAAGTAGCTGGGATTACAGGTTTGTGCCACCACACGTGGATAATTTTTTTATTATTATTATTTTTAGTAGAGACAGGGTTTCACCATGTTAGTCAGGCTGGTCTCAAACTCCTAACCTCAGGTAATCCACCCACCACAGCCTCCCAAATTACTGTGATTACAGGAGTGAGCCACCATGCCCGGCCCACTTTTTTATTAAAAAATAAATCACAGATTGGGAAAAATGGTTTCTCTTAATATTCTTAGTGGACAAAGGTAATGTACAGATTGGCAAAAAGAAAACACATTTCCATTACAAAAATGGGCAATGACAACGGGAGCCCTAACACTTTAAATCAGGGAAACTTACCATGAAAGTGTTTAATTATTTTGTCCCATGAGCCACTTTGGCTGCCTGGTAAAGTCTATAAACCCCTTTCTAGGAAAAGCCTTTTTATATAAAATGTAATATAAGAGATTACAAAGAATACTGATATTATCATAATGCAATTATTAAAATATTAAAATAACTGTGGCATATTTATGTCATTATTAATATATTACATAACTAGATTTAGAGATAATTCTAATAGTTACTGTAATTTCCAGTTAATGAGTATAAATATTTTAAGATATCTGAGATATTATCAAAATATTTCTTAATTTGAAATATAATATTAATATAACATGAAAATATCTGAGATATCTGTGTGCAACGAAGCCACATGAACTAATAATACGTATGAGTTTTGTTACCCACCATTCATAGTTGAAGGAAATGTTAAATGTCACATAGGGCTAGTAAACGTAAATATTTTTCCTCCAAAGAAGTTTACATACATCCTAAATTCTATGCAGTTATAAGAATGATTAGTTTAGAAAGGATTTTAACAATTATACAGCTCAAGGATTCTAACCCTGGATGGACATCACATTAATTTAGTGAATATTGAAAAAATAGAAATTCCTGGGACCTGACTTATTGAATTAGAATCTCTGAGGAGAAATCCATAAATTTGTATTTTTTATAAACTCCAGAGGTTATTCTGATACAAAGCCAATAGGGAATCCACTGAACTAGCCCAATATTTCCAATAATTTATTCACCAAGAATTTATGGAATACATTCCCTTTTCCATCATCAACTCTCATGGACCTGGTGTTTTGACAGGGGCTTTGTCTTCCTACATGAATTAAATAATCATTAATTTTTCCCCCATATTAAAAAATGTTTACCGTATACTTTGCATGTACTAAAACTTATACTTTTAGTGTACCATACAGTCATGTAACCCAGTCATGTAATCACTACAATTATCAAGATAGAGAGCAGTGACATCACCCTAAAAAAATTACCTGTGTTCCTTTGGAGTAAACTCTCCATCCTATCCCCAGTACCTAGAAACCACTGATTTGTTTTCTGTCCTGGTTGTATATTTTCCAGAAAGTTATACAAATGGTTCATACTATATGCATATATTTTGAATCTGGCCCTCTTACATTGAGCATAATGCATTTGAGATTAATACATATTGTGTGTATTAGTAGTTCATTTCTCTTCATTACTAAGTAATATTTCATTGTATTGGGGGACCAAGTGTGTTTACTCATTCACTAGTTGAGGAATATTTGGATTGTTCCTAGTTTTTGGCAATTATGACTAAAGCTTCTATACACATTCATAGGCAGGTTTTACGTAAGTTTTTCTTTCACTTGAGTACCTACCTAAAAATGAGATTGTTTGGTCACATGGTAAGTGTATATTTAACTTTATTTTAAAACTCCCAAGCTGTTTTCCAAAGTGGCTGTACCATTGTTCATTTTTGCTAGCAAAGTATGTGAGATCCCATTGCTCTGCATTCCCAGCACTTGGCATTGTCAGCTTTTTTTTTCTCTTATTCCATTCTAATAGGCGTGTATCTCATTGTGATTTTAATTTTCATTACCCTTATGGCTAATGAGGACAACCATCTTTTCATGTGCTTATTTACCATCTGTGTATTTTCCTTGGTGGATTATCTGTTTAAATCTTTTGCCCATTTTATAAATTGGATTGTTTGATTATTATTGAGTTTTGAGCTTTTAAAAAATATATTCTGGATGCAAGTCTGTCATCAGATGTTTTGCAAAGATTTTCTCCAGGTTTGTATCTTGTATTTTCATTTCCTTAATAGTGTCTTCTGAATGGAAGTTCTTAATTCTCATTTTTTTAATGCTAAATCATGGCTTTGGTACCATATCTAAGACATCTTTGCCTAATTCAAAGCCACAAATAATTTCTCCTTTTTTTTTCTAGAATTTTCAAAGTTTTGTGTTTTATTTTCAAGTCGGTGATCCATCTTGTGTTAATTTTTATATTTGATGTAAGATATAAATTAAGGGTCATTTTTGCTTATGTGGATATCCAAACCATTCAAACAAATGATTCCTACATCATTTGTTAAAAAAAAACTTTTCTTTATTGAATGTCCTTGACACTTTTATGACAAAAAAATCTATTGACTATCTTTGTGGGGATCTATTTCTTGACTTTGTATTCTGTTTCATAAATCTATGTATCTATATTTTTGCCAACATCACACTATCTTGATTATTATTATAAGCCTTGAAATCAGGTAGTGTGCATCCTTGAACAGTGTTCTTTTTCTAAATTGTTTTGACTATTCCGGCTCTTTTACGTTTCTTCATAAGTTTTAGAATCAGCTTGACAATTTCTAAGAAAAAGTCCTTCTGGTATTTGGATTGGGATTGTATTGAATTTATACAGCAGTTTGGGAAGAACTGACATCTTAACAATATTGAGTCTTCTAGTCAATGAGCATTTGTATCTCTCCACTTATTTAGATCTTTGATTTTTCATCAGTTTTATAATTTTCAGCATACTAACCTTGCTCATATTTAAATTTATCTCTAAGTATTTCATGTAGTTTGGGTACTATTATAAATGGCATTTTATGCATTTTGTCAATTACCAGTAGTGCATTTGCTAATATATAGAAATGAGGACTGACTTTAATTATATTGAACTTGTGTCCTGCAACCTTGCTGGTTTCACTTACTAGTTCTAGTAGCTCTCTTTTCTGATTATTTGGAATTTTCTAAATAAACAATTGTGTCATCCATGAACAGAGATTATTTTAGTCTCTTTTTATTCAGCTTTTTTTTTCTTATCTTATTGCACAAGCTAGAACCTCCAGTATAATGTGGAATAGGAATGGAGAAAAGAACATCCTTGTCCTGTTCCCAATATTAGGGAGAAAACATTCAGTCTTTTACCACTCACTACAGTAGCTATGGTTCTCCTGATAGATGAGATGAAGTAGGTTTTTCTAGTTTTCTGAGTGTTTTTATTTTATTTTACTAAATTTTCTCAGATGCTTCTCTCATGTCTCATGTGGTTTCTTTTCTCTAGTCTGTTGATAGACTAAATAGAGAATTACAAGGAGTGATTATTGAATGTTCAACCAGTCTGGCATTCGTGGGGTAAAAAATACTACCTAGCCATGGTGTATTATCTTTTTATATATTGATGGATTTGATTTGTTGCATTTTGTTAAATATTTTTGTACCTGTGTTCATGAGAAATATTGGCCTGTAGTTTTCTTGTGATGTTTGCGTCTGGTTTTGTTATCAGGGTAATACTGGCTTCATAACAAGTGTTAGAAGCATTCCTCCCTCTTCTATTTTCTGGAAGGATTGATATAAAATTGGTATTGTATTTTCCTTAAATGGTTGGTAGAATTTGCCAGTAAAGCTACTTGGGCCTGAAGTTTTCCATCTTGGATTATTTTTAACTAGAATTTGAATTTTTTAAAATAGATAATTTTTTATGAGTAAACTTTGACAAATTATGTCTTTCAATGTATTTTCCCATTTCCGATAAGTTGTCAAATTGTAGGCATCAAGTTTTTCATAGTATTATTTTGCTACTTTTAATATCTATAGATTTCTCCATTTTTATTAATCAAAAATTTTATCAAATTTGTAGTCACCATAATCAGATTACCATAAAAGAACGAGGGTTATCTCACTGGATTGATGTAATTCTAGACCTAAGCAAAAAATTAGATGTTTGGCTTATTAAGGTCAGTCTTCCCTATTAAGAACCATTGATTTATGTTGGTCATTTTGAACTATTATTCTTTTAAGGTCATCACTGGTGTATTTGCAACCCAGTGGCCCAAATAGTTCTAGCAGTTATTTTTCCAGATGTTTTTGGGATTTTCTAAGTAGACATCATGTCAACTGTGAAAACAATATAAAAAAGAAAATTGAGATCAGAAATTTTAAGTAGTTTTCCCAGAAACATTCCAGATGCAGGTTGAGAACTAAGGGAATTCATCTAAATCCAAAAAAGGCAGCATTGGAGAATATAAAATAATGAGCTAAAAAAAATCAAGCACAGCAGCTATAGTTTGCAATCTTTCATTAATAATTTATTGATTGGCTGGGTATGGTGGCTCACACCTGTAATCCCAACACTTTGGGATGCTGAGGGGGGTGCAGATGACTTGAGGTCAGGAGTTCAAGACCAACCTGGCCAACATGGTGAAAACCCATCTCTACTAAAAATACAAAAATTAGCCAGGTGTGGTGGTGCACACCTGAAGTCTGAGCTACTTAGGAGGCTGAGGCAGGAGAATATCTTGAATCTGAGAGTCAGAGGTTGCAGTGAGCCAAGCTCATGCCACTGCACTCCAGCCTGGGCAATAGAGGGAGACTGTCTCAAAAAAAATAAAAAATAAAAATAAACTATTGGTTGATTTCAGACAAATAACTTTATTAAACTTGCATTTCTCTATCTGTAAAAACCCTTACTTAAGTATGACATTTTGAAGAGATTGATACAAAATACCTGGCATGCACATGGCTGATGCTCAGTAAAAAGAAGCTTCTACTATTTGTCACTGCAACCACTTCAGTAACTTGAGTTAAAATTCAACTTGAGCCACTTTCGAAAGGCCAGGCTTGGAAAACAAAAAGGTCAAGTTTCTCCAGGTTGCTGAGAAAACCATCCTTAACTTCTTAAATACTTTAGCTTAGGTTCAATGAGGATTTTATTTGGTTTTTTCAGTTTTAGGGGAAAAAAAATTATTCCTCACCCTTATCTAGAAAATACTCGATGACTCAATCTCAGTCAAGAAATGTATATTGAGCATGACATGGGACTACCTAGGCCCATTGGGAGAAACAAAAGAAGTATATGCAGAGCCCTTGCTTTTTAGAGATCTTAAAGAAGACCCAAACTCAGAGGAAAGTGGTATCTATGAATCAATCAAGAAAAGGAAACTATCTCATTAGAAGTTTATTTCGAACCCGAAGCAGGACTAAATAGAGTGGGCCTTGTACTCTGAGTGGCTTTCTGGTGGAGGTAGACCCTGAAGAAGGAATAGGATTTGGAGAAGCAGGAGGGAAGACAGAGGGTGTCTAGCAGAGATGACAGGAGCCAGGGCTCAGAGCAGACAGGCAGTGTAGCACGCGGACGTGAGGCCAGGCTGTGGAGCTTAAGTCCAAGTTCCAGCTCTGTCCTCTGCTGGTTGTGTGACTTGGGCAGATTACCTAACCTTATGAACCCCTATGTCCTCATTTAAAATAACAACTAACTCAAAAACTTGTTGAGTAGACATGGTAACATGTTTGGAACAGCACACAGGGTAGGTATCAGTAGGCAGTGAGCAGCCCAGCTTGGCAGGCACCAGGGGTGTACAAAGCGGAGTATTAGGAAATGAAATTAGATTGGAGAATTGGGATCAGAAAAAAATGTATATAATTATTCATAATTTTTATTATTAACTTTTTTTTAAAGAAATCTGTCTTTTCTCTGAAAATTGTAGCCTTATGTTTTAGTATTGTTCTTGATCGAGGTGGGTTTTTTTTTGTTGTTTGTTGTTGTTGTTGTTGTTGTTTTGGGACCGAGTCTCCCTCTGTCACCCAGACTGGAGTGCAGTGGCACAATTTCTATTCACTGCAACCTCTGCCTCCCAGGTTCAAGCGATTCTTCTGCCTCAGCCTTTCAAGTAGCTGGGACAACAGGCACGCACCACCACACCCAGCTAGTTTTTGTATTTTTAGTAGGGACAGGGTTTCACCATATTGGCCAGGCTGGTCTTGAACTCCTGACCTCATGCTCCGCCCACCTTCACCTCGAAAGTGTTGGGAATACAGGCGTGAGCCACCGCGCCCGGCCGATCGAGGTTGTTTTAAGGGTCTCCTTCTTGAGAGATTTTAAAATCCACATTGTAGTCACTTTATCTTCTAAATTTTTCTCCTCTTCACTTAATAATGTGGAGGGTGGAAAGCAGGAGTCAAGATATCATTGTCTCCCAAATCAGTGTTGCAATATTATAAGAAGATGAACTGAATCAATCATTTTAAGTGTTACAGAAAAATTTAGCGTGAAATATGTGATCTGGTTAAATTGGTTTTTGTTAGATGCTTTTTTTGTTTTACTTATAATGTTTCTCTTCAGGAACTTTTAAAATAACATTGCCTGCCAAGGGAGTATATGAGACAGAAACAGAAAATAAAAGGTTGTTAATTCCGAAGTTCAAGGATTAAGGTCTGAAAACTGATAAGAAAAAATTTTAACAATGTTTTTGGCTGAAATCAGGGTATTTGTGATTCTCTCCCAAGGAATGACCAATAAGGGGTATTGTTAAGCAAAATAGATCCCACCAATCTTTTTGATAATATAAGTACTAAACAATAACATTGTTGCCTGCATTTTTAATGTTTCTAACTAGCTGCTTTTATTTCATGGAGACATACCCTGAATGCAGTGTTCTGTGGTACAGTTCTTAGAATCCACAGTAAAGGTTGGTTTTTAAAAATAAGATATAAAAATCTTCCCATGGACAAGAAAGTATTTCCATATAATTCAGTCACTGGCCAAAGTAAACATGTAAATGCTACGCAGAAGAGCCCTGGACATACATAGTGCTACTCACCCTCTTGGTAATATAATGGAAGTAGCTCAGAGCCAAGAGTCAGTAGCTTCTGAATTAGTTTGCTAGGGTTACCATAACAAAGTATCACACACTGGGTATGACACACTGGGTCGCTTAAACCAGAAATTCATTGTTTCATCATAGTTCTGGCAGTTAGAGATTCAAAAATCAAGGTGTTGGCAGGGCTGTTTCCTTCTGAGGGCTGTGAGGGAAGGATCTGCTGCAGAACTCTCTCCTTGGTGTGTAGATGGCCATCTTTTCCCTGTGTCTCTTCACATCCTCTTTCCTCAGTTAGTGTCTCCTTCCATAAGGATAGCAATCATCCTGGGTTAGAGGCCCACTCAACTCCACTCCACTTAATTAATTACACCCCCAGTGACCCTATTTTCAAATAAGGCCACTTTCCGAGGAACTGAAAATTAGGACCTCACATATAAATTTAGGGGGGGAAACAATTCAACCCTTAACAGCTTTGATTTCTCATTTATAAAGGCATCTTCTAATATTTTGATTGTAACTTTCTAAATTTTCTTTTAGCAAGCATTTATAATTACTGATCTAAGAAATAGATATCCAAAGTTGAATAAAGTGCCCTCAGGAGCACACAGTCTACTCAGGCCTTATTTATCTTTTGATTCTCAGAATCTAGCATAGTGCTAGACATAAAGTATGGCTCTATAAATATTTGACAACTGGTAAAACAAAAGAAGGAAGGCAGGACTGTGCTTACTTTAGATCTTCCCTAGTGAAAGAAGAATAATTGCTTGTCATTTCCTTAATGAGTTCAGGTTTTGTATAGGTCCAAAATTAATGATTCTAGTGAATGTGAACATCTTAATTTAAATATGTAGATTGGATGCCTGGTGTGAATTCATCAGGGGCAACATCCTGCTTTAACTTGGTTTCTTAGACAGTCTAGATCTAAAGGTTCCAGACTCTGGTATGATAACAGCAATAGATGTGATCTTGCAGATCTGGTTCTACCCTTTGGTTTTATCTACTCATCTGACAAAGGGCTAATATCCAGAATCTACAATGAACTCAAACAAATTTACAAGAAGAAAACAAACAACCCCATCAAAAAGTGGGCGAAGGATATGAACAGATATTTCTCAAAAGAAGACATTTATGCAGCCAAAATACACATGAAAAAATGCTCATCATCACTGGTCATCAGAGAAATGCAAATCAAAACCACAATGAGATACCATCTCACACCAGTTAGAATGGTGATCATTAAAAAGTCAGGAAACAACAGGTACTGGAGAGGATATGGAGAAATAGGAACACTTTTACACTGTTGGTGGGACTGTAAACTAGTTCAACCACTGTGGAAGTCAGTGTGGCGATTCCTCAGGGATCTAGAACTAGAAATACCATTTGATCCAGCAATCCCATTACTGGGTATATACCCAAAGGATTATAAATCATGCTGCTATAAAGAGACATGCACACGTATGTTTATTGCGGCACTATTCACAATAGCAAAGACTTGGAACCAACCCAAATGTCCAACAATGATAGACTGGATTAAGAAAATGTGGCACATATACACCATGGAATACTATGCAGCCATAAAAAATGATGAGTTCATGTCCTTTGTAGGGACATGGATGAAGCTGGAAACCATCATTCTCAGCAAACTATCGCAAGGACAAAAAACCAAACGCCACATGTTCTCACTCATAGGTGGGAATTGAACAATGAGAACACATGGACACAGGAAAGGGAACACCACACACCAGGGCCTGTTGTGAGGTGGGGGGAGGGGGAAGGATGGCATTAGGAGATATACCTAATGTTAAATGATGAGTTACTGGGTTCAGCACACCAACATGGCACATGTGTGCATATGTAACTAACCTGCACGTTGTGCACATGTACCCTAAAACTTAAAGTATAATAATTATAATAATAAAAATAAGGAATCCCATCCCAGAATCACTGCCCACAGTCACATAGCCAGTGCCAGGTGAAGTCAAGTCCAGAATCGTCTCTCCTCTTCCACTGCCCTTTGTATGACATGATACTGCCTCTACTTCCTACATGATATAAACAGCTCATTTCTCCCTGCCTGTGAGGATGGGACAGAACAGGCAAGGACCACAAATACCACTCCCTTCAACTGCTGCAAATCTTCAAATAGATCCCAGTGAAATGGACAGTCAGCACGACAGAATGAAGGCAGGATGTTGGAAGTCCACCTGTTTTGGCTCAGATACCTTGCAAGGGACAAACCTCAGCCCTAAGGCTGCTCGGTGGAGAGCTCAACCTCAGGGGCAAGAATATAGTGGACAACTTCATTCAGGGTTTTGATGGACTTCAGAGAATGATGTCACCCCAAATCTCCCCCTCTGGACTGAGGGAAATGCTTCGAGGCAAGCCATTCTTCATTGTTACGTATCTGGGACAGTGAAGGCTGTGAAAAATAATAACTACCACAGCAACTGACATTTGGTGACCCACACCTTGTTGAGGACATTGTACTAAGTAGCTAACATGTATTATCTCATTTGATCCTCACCACAACCCTATGACATAGGTGCTGGTATGATCTCCCTGTTTACAGAAGAGGAAACTTGAGAAGTTAAGCAACCTGCCAAAGGTCTTAGAGCCTGAAAGATTAGCCCATCGACCAAATCCAGCCAGGCTTTACAGCCAGCACAAACATCGGTCAGGTGGCCTAGGGCAAGTCATTCAACCTCTCAGAACTTCAGTTTGTGATGTCAGTTGGGGATAATGATACTTGCCTTGCAGGTATGTCATGCAGATTAGATACAATCCATGTAAAGCACTTAGTATAGAGTCTATGTTGCATTAAATTATTCATACAGAGAAGCTATTTTAGCATTCTCTTCCTGTTGTTCTCACTTACTACCTAAAAACTTGTGGGAGAAGACATAAGTCTCTTTATATCTCAATGAGAATAAGTATGAAATGAGGGCACAATGAGGGCACTGGGAGGCCATAGGGTTGTGGACACAACCAAAGACACTTTGCTTATCACAGTTTTGTCCAGCTGATGGAGGACAGGCTATTATCCATGCCACAAAACTAGATGGGATATTTATGGACTGGACAATAAAGAGCCTCATGTGACCTATAAAAGGCATTATTCCTGGATCCCTTTGGGATTCCCAGGGGAAAACTGAGTTCACTTCTATAGTAATACAACAGTCATGACATAAACCAGTTATAGTGTGCCAATGTCAGCATCTTACACACATTGTCCATCTCATCCTCACAGCAACCCCAGGAAATGGGAATTCTTTTACCTATTTCCGTAGAGGAGGATACAAACCTAAGTCACCATTACTCATAAGCCCATGATTAAAATACTGTACTTATTAGAAAAGTCTGCTTGCAAGGAAAATAATCAATTCAATATACTGTAAGCAAAGGGCAACTTTTATGATAAAATAGTATTTCACAGATTCCTGAGTAAGGAACCAGAACTAGGAATAGCAAATTATCTAACTATTCATCTCTATCTATCTATCTATCTATCTATCTATCTATCTATCTAATCTCTCTATTCATTTATCTACTGACCTATCTCTATCCCTTTGTCTTTTCCTCGGTCTTCTTGTCCTTTTTGTAGAGCATCTCTGTACCCTTCCTCAGCCCTAGTGTAGAATTAGCCACTCCATACTTCTGAAGTCATCTGCTATTGGTCCAGCCTATCATGAGGATTTCTTTTCAAGTACCCAGGAGAAGAATCTTATTAGTCCAGCTCGAGTCAGTTGTCTTCCAATGTTTCTACTGGTCCAAAGCAGGAACTACTCTGCATTGCAGAGCATAGAGAAAGGGATTGATGCTCAAGGGTAGATCAACACGAGGAAAGGTATCCTCTATAGCTATACTGCTTTTCTATAAGATATTCAAGCATTTTTTTCATACCAGAAAATTCAAACAAAGCATGACTTGTATTAACACAAGCATTAATTGAGGAATAAGTAATAAAGATACTTGATAGCTAAATAAATTGATTTAGGCAGAGAAATTAGTATATCTAAAATGCAGAGCAGCCAGGGAAAGTAAAATACACCAGACTAGTCTCCTAGTAGAGGCTTAACATGCTGTTTGGGTTCTATAGCAATGCTGTCCAATAGAAATAAACTAAAAAAGCACATGGGTAATTTTAAACATTCTAGTAGCCACATGTTTTAAAAAGGAAAAGGAAAAAGATAAAATTCATTTTGGTAATATATCTTATTCAACGCAATATCCAAAATATTATCATTTCAATGTGGAATCAATATTAAGTATTATTAAGGAGACATTTTATATTTTTGTACTAAGTGTTTGAAATCTAATGTGTATTTTGCATCTCAATTTGGATGCAATTTTTTATTGGAATTATCTGATCTGAATTTAATTTTCCCAAATTTACAGTTGAAAAAGTAGACCTATAATCACATGTTCATTATTTTACATTATCTCTCGATCGTTATCAGGGATGAAGTTAATTCATGCCAGAGTTTCCTTGTCTCCTGAAATTCTATTATTGTTGGGGGGCAGGGGTCAAAAGATGCTGACTGTGCAAACCACTGATGACAAAATGCAAGCAGGTTTTGTCCTTTCCCGGTAATTATTGTACACAGTAGGTGCTAGCCAGGAAACAACAGCCCATGTGGACAGCACCTAATGACAGGTCCATGGGCAGAAGCCAGGTGGGTAAGGGTCTATGAGTAAAGTCATGGAAAGGCCACCATGCCTAACAGCCTCATTTCTGGCACCAGGGAAAGTTCCTTGCCAGAAAACATAAGGTTGAGTTCTCATACTCTCCTCCCCTTGGTATTGCTGGGCCTGGTGGGGCCTCGACTTTTCTTATTCTTTTTATTCATGTTTTGATTTAGGGAAGGAAGAGACAGCTCCAGCTCCCTTTTCTTGGCATCCCAGTCTTCATCACGCTCATCCAGAGGCAGCCCCTTCTGCTGGGCAGCGCAACGGTGGTCCTGGCACTCGGGCTCTGCCCTAGGAAAGAAGAGAGAGCCTTCTGAACTTGGATCAGGAGGACCTGTTCCAGCCTGGGAATCGGCCTTTATTCACAGGTTCTGCACACCGCAGTTCAGTTGAGAAGGAAGGAGGCCAAGTTTGAGCATTTCCAAGCATACACTTAGGGAAGGTCTCAGACACTAAAGAAACTACTTGGAGGTGGAGAAAAATTGTGGGACCCGAGTGAGATGTTAACAGACTCAAAGATAGTCACTCAGCTTGAAGAAAATGCTCCTGATTCTTGAAGTGCTCACATTTATAGAGCAACCTGCAGATTATTGCGAGACTGTTTTCGTTTATTTTTAGTTTTATTTTTCATAATCATAAAAGTGATGTGTGTTCCTTGTATAAAATTTAAAAGTACAGAAACATATAAGGAACAAAATGAGAATCACTCACAATCACATATGTATTATACGTATGTATGGATTCTGTAAAAATACATATAATTGTAAATGGATACATGGATGGATAAATAAATAGAGCATTATACACACATAGACAATGGGAAATACACACATATACAGTTTTGTATGAGGCCAATGGTGAGTATGTGACTTGCTTAAAGGTACTTGGAAAAGTCACTTTTGAACCAATATGAGGACAAATGGAATTTAAGAGGATAGATAATGGTATAGGGAAGGCAAATAGCATTTTAAGTGCAAACCATTATTAAAAGCACAGTTCATTCAAAGGACAGCAAACTCACTAGTCCCTCACCCTAAGCTGGAAGTGACCTTTCAATCTTCAGACCACACCATGTCTTTCCTCTGCCTAGTCACTCTCTGTCTTGTATTAGTGTTATTTATGTAAACAAGTTATTTCGTCTCCCACACAGTTAACCTTCTTGATGTCCAGCACTGTATCTGGTTTATTTTAGGTTGTTTTTAGTGTCTAACTCAATGACATACACATAGTAGAACTCAAAAATATTTGCTAAATGAGAGGTTTATCACTTGGGGGGCTGAATCAAAAGCTGAATTGTTTCACAACATTCCCTAGGATATTCAGAAAATGATCACATATGGTCTAGGCTTCTTTTGAAGTTCTCTTATATCCTTTATCTTCATCACCTAGCCCAGGAGCCAACTTACTCAAAATGTGAATCAATAAGAAATTCCTTAAGTGATCCCCTTGCCTAAAGTCTAGCAGTCTTCAATCCCACGCAGTACCACTGCCAACTCCTCTACTACACAAATAAATTGCTAATGCATCTGTTTCAGCTTGTGACTCCCCTGATGAGCTCACACTCTTCTGCTTGCCTAGTTCACTGTGGTCACCCACCCCGTCACCTGACCTTATGCTCCATTCCTCTCTAGTGTGAATGCTCTGCCTAGCCAGGCCACTCATCCCTGCACTCCACTATCCCTCACCTTCTCACATATACACACAACCTATGCACATTTCCAAGTTGGTGCCTTCACTCTAAATCAACAGTTTTTCTCCCTCCTTCATTAGCCAGCTAGCTTTCAAGATCCAGGTTAATCCCCCCTTAATTCAGGATTCTTCTCCCTAAACGCTCTGTCAGGGAAGTTCTTAGTGGGAGCTGATAATAAGTAGAAATGACTCACACGTGATGTGACTGACCTTTATTGTTTTTGCTGGCTCAACACTGTCTGCCTACTTTTCTTGGTAATAGCACTCCCCACTATTTGGAGGCAAGCACCCCTCCTGCATTTCAGTTATGCTGGGATCATATTTCATGTTGATCCCTGGTCACTAGGGAGGGGCTGGGATTACTTAGAGAGAGTCAGTAGAGGACAGCCAAGGGCAGGACCCTAAGGAATGTCAGCATTTAAAAGGCACGCAAGAACATATCATAAGATTTATTCTTAGAAAAAGCACATTTTAAAAGTCATAAGGAATTATCAGAGAAGTAGAAGAAAAACTAAAAGAGAATAGCATCAGATAAAACAAGGGAGAAGAGTTTCAGGAATATTAAATACCGAATTAAGTGGAGGTAAGATGTGAATTGAGAAGAGGCAATTGATTTAGCGTGAGGAGCTCCCTAATGACTTGAGTGACAGCTGATTCAGTATGGGGATCAGGGAAGAAGTCTGAAGCGTGGGTGAGAGGTGAAGAAGTGGAGACAATTACATAGATTAGTTTCCTCAAATTTAATGTTTCAAAGAAGTACAACTATCATGATTAATACTGCTATATTATATGTTAAAGTTCCAAGGCTATATAAAACTATCAAGTAATATCAGTAAGCGTTCCTATCATAATATTCAAGCAAATGAAATAACGTTGCCTTTTTGAGAGAAAAACATATTTTGAAACTTTTACAAGCAGACATAAAGACAGTTGACATTTCCAAAAAGGCACACGTAATTTATGAAAATCTATTACATTCCAAATTTAGTACAAACTCAAAGCTGATCTAATTCTGATACTTAAAATGCACCTCTCTCCTTTGGCTGAAAATGAAATAACAAACCCTTCCAATTAACAGACATTTAAAACCTACTCAATTTGATTGCTAACAAGTCAGAGGAAGGACATGTTGTCCTTCCCCAAGATTTTAGGACCTAATGTTTACCATGATCTTAGATCTTGCAAATACAAACTACTAAAGAAGTCAGGCGTTTCTTGATTTATATAGAGTCAAAATTCTATTCCCCTGGGGAGAAGAAAGAGAAGGTAGTTGTTTAATGGGTGTGGAGTTTCAGTTTTACAAGATGAAAAAGTTCTGGAGCTCTGTTTCACAACAATGTAAATGTGCATAACACTGATGAACTGTACACTTTAGAAACAGTTAATATGGTAAATTTTATGAGTTTTTCATCACAATAAAAATACAGAAAACTATTCAAAAATTATATTTTTTACACAAGTTATTACTATAAAACATGTTAGACACTCTGAGAGGATAAGTGCTTTTCCTTTTGGATTAAAAAAAGTAGATTAGCTTTCAAGTTGCTTAGAAGTGTAGGGAAGAAGAAAGACACAGCGCAATTCAGAAGGGCCTCTAACTTTTTGTTTGTTTGATAATACCTATTTGAACATGTTCACAGTCCAAAAAGAAGTCAAGGGAAAGGAAAAAACACTAAAAATACAGGAGAAACCGTAAAGATGTAACAAAGAACACACGAATAATGAATGGCCTTCTAGAAGACATAAAGGATTAGATCAAGAGTCTATATGGAGGGATAACACTTTACAAAGGAGGGACAGGACGGCAAGAAGGAGCTGATATAAATGTACATAAAATCTGCAGGTGTGAGACTTGAAAAATGTGTAACCCATGGCTTCAATATTTTTTCTAAAGTAGAAGGCATACCTCTGAAAGACAGGCTGAGGTGTGATGTGGCTTTGGAATTGCCAGTGAGGAGTAGGATAGGAAGAGATAGCCAAGCTGCTCTGAGGGCTCAGATAAAAGTGGAAATATTCAAACTGCTAGGATACCCATATATTGACGTGGGATTTTCTCTAGCTGAACAAGGATAAACGTGGAGAAGACAGAGATTCATCTAAGGTTGGGAATTCCAGGTTATGTGCTGGGTTGAGAATTAATAGCAGGAATAGCGGGAAGAGAGTGGAAGAATGAAGTGTATTATGGTACTCATATGGTAGAGGAAATTTAGTGAGACCTTCAGGAAGGTGATAGATTAGGAGAAAAAGGAGAAGTTGAGTGACAAGAGATCTTGATGAATTCAAGACCTGGTGATAATGCAGGAACTGATAAAGTGAAGAGAGCTATGGTCACATTGTGGTATGTTAGGATTTTAAAAAGTTCAGAGAACAATGTCTGCTGATGCTGAGGTCCACAGAGGATGGAGATCGTTGAATGTAGGGGATGATGGATGAAATTGGGAAAAGTGAATCTGTGAGTCAGGACTCAAGGTTCTGCCTCTTTACTCCCCAAAGCATCTCAATTGTGATATTGGATATTTTTAATGTAAGACATTACCTTTAAGAGAATGTCTCTTGGGTTACTTCTATAGATAACTAATCTCATCATAGGCAAAATTTTCACTTGTTCAACTTTCTGAAGATAACTGCATTTTCAGGTTCTTCGGAGGGCACCCCATCATGAACTGCCCCTATAGATGGCATTGCTATCTATATCATTTGGTTTCCAAGCAACGATGCCCTCACTCCAATACTCTACTTTCTCTTGTATGAATTGCTTGTCGAAACAATCGAATTCTAAGTTTCCAAATTTTGTTCCATCCTCTCAGAGCTATAACTGTTATGCAAATTATTGGTGCTTAATTATGTTTGAATGCTTGGCTGAGCGAAAAAAATAAACAGGTGCTAGTTAAGTTCTTTGGTGTGTGTAAATAGGGCATTCACAGATGAACATAGAAGTTTTAAAAGATAGGAGGGCACTGAAAAATGGAAGTCTAATTCACCTGCCTCGTTTTAAATATGAGAAAACTGAGGGTCGGGAAGCTGCATTGACTTGCACAAGGTCACACAGCCAGTTTGGATGCCTTTTAGAAAGCTGAAGGTCATGATTCTTGCACCATGTCCCATCTTCAAACTTGGTATTCCAATTCTCTTATCTGAGATAATTTTTGTATAATCAAAACAACATGTTAATATAGTTTTGACCCCTAAACTAGTCTTTTAAGTGAAACACTAATAAAAATAACTCAACTAAAAAAATCAATAAAAATAATAGTCCATTGGCTGGATTTCCTCATTTCATTTTCATTGACCTGAGACCACAGAATCACCCAAGATCTTGATCACAGACTCCTGTTCCTCTGCTCCTTCTATAGGTGGAAAAAAAATAAACTTACTTTTCCAGAAATGCCACACAGGCTTTCTGTCCATAGATCTGTGCAATCCTCTTCGGTGTGTCTCCAAAGAAGTCAGGGGCGTCGATGGCAGCGTGCAATGCATGGAGAGTTTTGAGTATATTCAGATGGCCTGCTTCTGCTGCAAAATGAGCTGGGGTCCAGCCCACACTAGTAACCAGGCAGGGCCTGGCTCCATATTCTATCAGGAGCCGTATCACCTCCATTTGCCCTTAGATGTACCAAAAAGAAACAGGATGAGGTTAGGATAAAGATGTCCCAAGTGGCTTGAGGCCAGGGCCAGTCTAGGTAACACAATAGAAGGGGAAACTTTGCCTTTGAGGAGCCTCCAGTTTCCTATCATCATCCCCTCCTCCCTTTTCCCTCTTCTCACCAGGGACTCAGTGCCCTACCTCACCCCACGAACCTTGTTCCCACCCAGGGCCTGAGCCTTGCAAGCCTTCCCTGTCCTCCTTCCAGGACACTCCCCTCCCCTGTGCATTGCCACAGGCCCTGCCCAGGAATCTTGCTTTCTCTCCCAAGCCACACTATACCTGCCTATTGGTAAGGCCCACTGTGCTTTTGACAGTCTCAACACTGAGCCAAAACCAAATATTTTAAGTCCTATTTACGTGATAAATAACACAGGTTAAGAGCACAGGCTTTCTAGTTGATAGATGTGATTTCATACCCTGACAATCCCACTTGCTAACAAGTGGCACCTCAGACAAGAAACAAATATCTGAGGCCAATTTCCTCATTTGCAAATTAAGGATATTACCCCTTATATCACTGAATTCTTGTAGAGTGCAGGTGAAATCACAGACATGAAGTACACAGCACAGTGCCCAGCACATAGCAAATCTTCACTAAAAGGTGTTTCGGTATAGCTACCATCACTCTGTACTTAGATTTTTGCAAAAATATCCCAACTAATTTCTCTGCAGCCAGTCTTGCTTCTTGTCAACCCATTCTCCACACAAGAATCACAATAAATGTGTAAAAAGCAAAGTTGACCATAGCACTTTCTTACTTAACATTCTTTAATGGCTTTCTATTGCCAAAGGCTTTGAGAGGCCCACAGCCTGAGTTTTTGCCACTATCTTCCTCTAATTCTGTAACTGAGCTATGTAAGGCGTGGGGGATTCAATGAGGAATGAAGCAAAGTCCCCTATCCTTCTTTGTGATGCTCTATTCCTGTTAGAGGTTGAGAGGGCAAAGGACTAATATTAACTGAGAGCAGACTGTAAGATAGGCACTGTACACTCATTATATTACTGAATTCCCATCACAGGGCTCCAAGGTGGCATTCCTGCACACGTTATTTAGGTGAATAAACAGGCCCAGAGATATCAAATAACTTGCTTAAGATGCTACAACTAGTAAGCGGTGATATCAGGATTAAAATGTTCCATCTGGGGCCAGGCGTGGTGGCTCACGCCTGTAATCCCAGCACTTTGGGAGACTGAGGTGGGTGGATCACTGGAGGTCAGGAGTTTGAGAGCAGCCTGGCCAACATAAAGAAACACCTTCTCCATTAAAAATACAAAAATTCACTAGTCGTGGTGGCACATGCCTGTAATCCCAGCTACTCGGTAGGCTGAGGCAGGAGAATCGCTTGAACCCAGGAGGTGGAGGTTATAGTGAGCTGAGATTGTGCCACTGCACTCCAGCCTGGATGACAGAGCGAGACTCTGTCTCAAAAAAAGAAAAAAAATGAAATGAAGTTTCCAACTGGCTCTAAAGAAATGTTTGTTCCACTCCCCCACATAGCCTACTGATTGATAGCCTCATGAATGGTGGACTCAAAAGGGCAGATCTACCTAAGCATTGCCCACTCACCTTTGATTGCAGCCCAGTGAAGTGGGGTCCGGTCATTCCAGTCTACATCTTTGTAGTTTGGGTCACAGAGACCTTTCTTCAAAATCTTCTTCACTAAGCTGTAGTCTCCTGCAGCCACAGCTTGGTGAAGCTTTGTCATGTCTGACATTTTGGCCAATTCCATGGCAGAAAACAACTGTGGGAGAGACATGCCACTTAGGAAATTCTATGTAACTCTTTATTCCTAGCGAGTAATCCCATAGACTTCTGTATCATTTATTTCCTTTCCTGCCGCATGCATTTGCCTCTCAGTTTGCCTCATGTGTGTGGCATGAGTGTGTCCTTAGACCTTAGCTCCTGTGGTTAGTGCCTGCCTGTCACCTACCCTAAAACTATTGGTGGCTCCCACTGCACACAGAATTATGTCTAAACTCACGGGCTACCTGGCCTCAAACCATCCTCCAGTGCTATTTCCTACTCCTACTTCAGAGTTCTAGTAGTGTTCCCTTACGTTAGTAAGTAAGTAAGTTAGTAAGTAAGCTAGAATTGCATGTAATTCTGTGCCTTATCTTTCTTATCTATAGAATGGATGTAATCTGCCAGGGTTGTTGTAAGGATAAATGTCAATTTGCAAAAAAAAATTATATTGGATACAGAGCAGGTACTCCATGAAAATTAAATAGTATTAGTGTTGTTACACCCGTTGAGATGGACACACAATCACACAAATAAATATGTGAAAATTGTTATTAATGTTATGCCATAAACTAGCAGTTCTCAAACTATAGTCTATAGACCTTCAGAAATCCCTGGAGCACTTTCAGGGGATCTGTGAAGTCAAAGCTGTTTTCATTATATTAAAATGTTATTGGCCTTTTTACACTGTGTTGACAATTGTTCTGATGGCTCAAAAGCAATAGTGTAGAAAACTGCTGGTACCTTAGCATGAAGCAAGGCAATGACACCAAACTGGACCTGGAATCATGCCATTCACCACACACTCAGAGTAAATTTTAAAAAGCCAGTTACATAGGAACATCCTAAATGAAACAATAAGAATTATTTTTATTAAATCTTTATCTTTGATTACATGACTTAATGAATGTGTTATTAGAATATTGTACAATGAAATGTGTGCATGTTTAGAAAATATTTATCACCCTAAAGACCAATATTTTCCATGGCAAAGATAGAATGTTACAAAATCATGCATGGATAAAGAGATCCATTTGGTAGACCAATGGATTTTAATAAAACCATATAGAAAGTGCATTGATATCATTTCAGACTGCACATTGCAACTAATCTTTAAGACACTACAACTTACACAATATTGTTGTAGTATCAAACAATATCCACAATTATCTGAAAATATTCCTCCCTTTTCCAACTTTATATATATAATATATATGTGTATATTATATGTACACACACGTATATATAATATACATGTGTATATGTGTATATAATATATAATTATATATTATATATACATATGTGTGTATGTATATGTGTATGTATATATATCTCATGCACATATATGTATATATATTACATATACTTGTGTGTATGTGTGTGTGTATAACCAGATTGTCTTTATATACTTTAACCAAAACAACAAACTGAATGCAGAAGCAGATACAAGAATCCAGCTGTCTTCTATTAAGTCAGATATTAAAGAGATTGGGCAGGGGAGAGTAAACCTATGTGACTAGTCACACTTGTTTTGGAAAATATATTTATTTTCATAAAATGTCATTTATATTATAGTGTAATAAGTTTATTACAGTTTTTTAAATGAACTAATCAATATTTAAAAGTTTTCTCAGTTTTAATTTCCAATAGAATAAATTGACAACCATAACCACATAAACAAAAGCTCTCTGGGGCTCTCAATAATTTTTAAGAGTAGAAAGAAGCTCTGAGAACGAAAAGGTTGAGAGCTGCTGACGTAAAGAAGGAGCTGAGCTAGAAAACAAGAGTGGAGAGAGTGCCACTTGAGATGGGGCCATTGGGAATGTCTCTGATCTCAAGATTTAAGTTGGGATCATAAGAAGGAGCTGGAGTCAACTTCACTAACTGTGACCAGCAGCAGCAGCAGCCCCTGGGAACTTGTTAGAAATGCAAATTATTGTGCTCAGCCCCAGACTTACAGAATCTGAAACTCTGGGCAGGGGTCCGGCCATCTTTGTTGTGGTAAGCCCTCCAGGTGAGTGCATTGAAATGTGAGAACAGCCCTGGAGGGAGAGAAAGAAAAGTAAACGTAATTAAAATGCAATGCCCTAAATGCCCAGAGGACAGAGAGAAAGAACCATTCACAAAGACCGGAAAGTAAAAGAGCTTTCTCTAAAAGTGGCCTAAGCTGGGTCCTGATGCGATGGGTCAGAGACATATTGGCGACTGATGGAGGTGGAGTATCCCCAGCTGAAAGACAGCATGTATGTGTCCAGAGTCACATGCTGCAAAGGGGAAGTAGTTCCTAATGTGTAAACCAAGAGTCAATAAACTTTTTCTGTAAAGAACCAGATAGTAAATATTTTTATGCCAAGAGGAAAAGAAAAAAGCGGGGGGGGGGGGGGGGGAATAAAAGAGAAAAAAAAATTATGCCAAGAGTCTATTACATATATGTAGGAAAGAAAACTCCTGCTCCACCCTGCCCCCCTTGCCTGGGGTGGATCTTTCTACCCTCTTTGTACCCTGGAGCCCTCAGGTGGAGATATTCTTAGGCGAACGAGGACAAGCCTGAGGGGGAAGGGCCTGGTCGGTGAGATGGTCAGTTTCACTCTGCCCTAGTGATGCTCAGATCCCAGTGAACTTTCTCTCCTCCTAGAGGGGTCATCTCCAGTTAGTTGGCAGGAGACATGGAGGCTCATGGAGCCACCAACTCCCATACTGAGATTCCACTGCTCAGTCCCAGCAGTTGCCACCAGCAGAGTCTCCATTGTGTAGGTGGTGACCAGCAGGGCCTGGGCAGTGGCCAGGCACAGCTGTGGGCTGCTGAGGGGCCAGCAGGGGCAGAGGGCATTGCCTGGGCTTGCTCTGGGAGTCTCACTGTGCTATCCCATGGAGGTTCAACACCTTAAATGGTGACCACGGGCCTACGAAAGTGGGGTGAGCCAGATTTGGCCTGTAGACCATAGTGTGCTAGCCTCTGATATAGGCAAATCATTAGAGACCTTGTTAAAATGCAGATTCTGATTTAGTAGGTCTGGAACCTGGCCTGAGATTCTGCATTGTAACAAGTTCTCACAACGGTACTAGCTCACTTACCACACTCTGAGTAGCAATATCTTTGTGGCTGAAAAGTAAGGTATAGACTGGCTGGAAGCAAAATTGGAGAGCTGAGGAGGGAGTAAGGATGTGGCAGCTGTTCTCAACTGAGGGGATACATGAGAATCAGCAGTGGATTTTCAAAAATACAGATGCCTGGGCCTCAGTCCAAAAGGAATCAGAATCTTTGGGTGTGCAGGACAAGGATTGGGCATGTTTTGTGAAGTAGATGCTCTGTACATACTATGTTAGGTAAAAGAGAAGATGGCACAGACTGCATTTTACTTTCAAAATTCATTTTAATAGAAATCCCTTACACTGGAGTGTTTGATCAATGATAGAATAGTAAACAAAAATGCTAGAGTGTTTCTAATCTGAGGGTGCCACTAAAATAAAACCATTTTTTAAATCAGTATCTAGAAGTTTTTCGCTTGCCTTTCATAGAGGCCTTTAAGCAGGTGTACATTTCAACTAACCCCATTTGTCCCACATTTGAGTTCATGCCAAGATTCCATAACTTTCCATGGGTGAGTTGCAATTCAAGTGGAAGCATTAGGCAGCAAAATTTATTTCCAGAGAAATGGAAAAGCCGATTCTAAAAAATCATATGGAAATGCAAGGGACCCAGAAGAAAACAATCTTGAAAGAGAGCAAAGTTAGAGGACTCACACTTCCTGATTCCAATAAGTATGCCAGGAAAATTCAGTGACAACATAATAGTCTTTTCAATAAATGATGCTGAGACAACTGGATATCTACAGCTAAAAGAATGAAGTTGGTCCTCTCCCTCACAAAGATGTATTCCTGTGTTTTCCTCTAAGAGTTTTATAGTTTTAAGACTTACTTTTAGGTCTGTGATCCGTTTTGAGTTAATTTTTATACTTGACAACAATTGCCACAAAACAATTGAACATAAATATAAGGGTTTTTTCTAGACTCTCAGATCTACTCCGTTGCTCTAAATATCTATCTTTATGCTAGTACTACACAGTCCTGATTACTGCAGGTTTGTAGTAAGTTTTGAAATGGGAAAGTCTGAGTATTCCAATGAGCTATATACCCAAGAGAAGAAAAACATATATCCATATAAACATTTGTACATGTATGTTCTTAGAAGCATTATTTATAAGAGGCAAAAGTGGAAACATCCCAAAGGTTCATCAATAGATGAATAGATACACAAAATGTGGAATATCCATATAAAGCATTCTTATTTGGCAATAAAAAGGAATGAAGTACTGATACATACTTTATGGATGAACCTTGAAACATGCTAAGTGAAAGAAGCCAGTTACAGAAGACCACATATTGCATACCTCCATGTATGTGGAATGCCCAGAATAAGCAAATCTAGATAGCTAGAATGTAGACTATAGGCAGCCTAGGGCTGCGATGGAGGTTGGGGTGGGGAGTGACTGCTGATAAGTACAGGATTTCTTTTTGGGGTGATGAAATGTTCTTAAATTAGATTAGATGCTTTCACAACTCCAAAAGGCCCAAAACCACTGAATTCTACATTTTAAATGAATCCAGTTTTATGGTATGTGAATTGTATTTTAACAAAGCTGCTTTACAAAAAACTATTAATTAGAAGCTTTCTACAAAACAAAAACAAACACAATTTGTTTGCAGAAAATATATACAACTCACTAGCTTGGCATTGACTACTGAAATTTATCAATTGGTTCCTTTAGTAACCAATCCTTGTGAATTTGATTAAATGCACTTGATTTCCTATCTTTCTGGTAGAGGCACATCTACCATAAAGATAGGAAATCAAGTGCAAAGTAGTCAATAAATATCAGTTTTAATAAATGTGAGTGATTTTTAATAACTATAGTAAATAAGAGAGGGTAACTTAAAAACACTTACTGTCTTGTGTGAAATTTGAGGAGCTCTGTGCTGACAGGCAGTCCTAACCATCCGGAGTGTTGTGTCCATGCCATGGAAACTGACTCCTCCTTCTGCATGAAAGCCAGCCAGTCAACTTCAGCTTCCCTAGGTGTCTGGTGGGGTGGGATTGCCAGTCTGCTTCACACCCTAACTCTTCAGCAGTTCCAGCCATCTTTTTTAGTCCAAATGTGTTGGCCCTTAACAGGTTCTTTCAAATAGTATTTAATGCAAAAAATAAAAGTAAAATAAAATTTAAAAAGCTGTGAATGATTGTCTGCCCACATAATACTGTGACGGAGGTAGGCTGCTTACAGACCACATAACCATAAGAGATGTGAGACCTGTGGGGGAGTGGGGACAGTGTGGGCTCCTCACATTCAGAAGCAGCTGTCAGGTCTTGGGCAAGTTCCTTAACTTTAGAGAGGCTTTTTTCTTTTCTTTTTTTTTTTTCTCACCAATAACATGAAATTTTAACATCTTTTTTTTATAGTGCTATTAAATATGACTAGCTAAAATAATTTAGAAAACACTTGGCACAGGGTAGATGCTTTTACAAAAAGAAGAAGAAGAAGGAGGAGAAGGAGGAGGAGGAGGAGGAGAAGGAGAAGGAGAAGGAGAAGGAGAACCAAATAAAAATTCCTAGGTGCTTTCTTTTTGCTTCCTCTTTTTACCCCTTGCTCTAAGCGAAAATCTACCATATTGATGATGATGCTGGTCAAAAAGACCTTATTTCTTCTTCCTCTCTTTCTACATTTTCCCTGCCTTTTCCCTCTCTCCTTCCTTTTCTTTTTCCCTTTCTCTGAAGGGAGTTCCTCTCTCTCACTCTCTCTCTCTTACTATCTTTCCCACCTCCCTCATTCTCCATCCATTTCTCTCCCTGCCTTTCTTCCCATATGTATTTAGTGAATGCCTTATATCTGTCAAGCACCACTGTACTGGGCCCTGTGAAGATCAAGATACCCATTGTTCCTGTCGTCCTTGAGCTTTTGGTCTAGATAAGAATAAACAAGAAAACAAATAAACGTACACAAGTAGACTCACAACCTGTACGAGTACAATGAACAAACAACATACAATAGCAGAGAACACCAGGAAAGGAGTATGGGCAACTTAGGGGATGACATTTGAGGGTCTGAGGGGAGACCTGGCAGAGCAGAAGAAATCAGGCATCTGAAGAGCTAGGAAGATGACCTAGGTAGAGGGAGGGGAGGAGCTTGGCTTAGGTGAAGAATGAAGAAGAGGAGGATGCAGCTGGTTTATGCAGTGTGGGGCAAGTAGAAGATGAGATCATTCCCGGTCTACTAGGACATGGTAAGGAGTTTGGATTGTATTCCAAGTACAACGAGTAGACATTGGAAGCACTTAAACAACGAAGAAGAATGTGCAACTTTTATTTTCTTAAAAGACTACTTTGACTATTATGTGGAAAATGGAGCAAAAGGAGACAAGATTGAAAGCAGGAAGATTGCTGAGGAGGCTACCGTGGAAGTCCAGACAAGAAAGGATGGTGACTTGGTGAACTGTGGCCATAGAGATGAAAGAAGTGAGTGAAATTAAAAGTTTTTTAGGAGGGAACATTGATGGAAGTTGCCAATGGATTAGACATGAGTACTGGGGGGAAAGAGGGCATCAAGGATGATCCTCAGGTTTCTGGCTTGACGAACCTGGTGGAAGGTGCTCACATTCGTGGTAGGAGGTGACTAGGGTAGGGCCAGGTTTGGGTAAGGGAAGGACAGTATAAATGAAGCGTTCTGTTTCAATGTGTTAAGTTTGAGATACCTATGAGACACCCAAATATCAAGTAGGAATCCAGAGTTCTGTGACTTTGGGCTAAAGATACATATTCTGGAGTTATCAGCACATAGGTGACATTTAAAGATGTAAGAGTATATAAGATAATCTAAGGATAGCAAATGCAGAGAGGAGACCCAAGCTCTGAGGCCCTTAGATCTGGCAGCAAAGAATAATTAGCAAAGGTTATTAAGAAGCACCACTGAGAGGTAGGAGGGAAACCAGGAGAACTGAGTCTTACAGAAGCCAAGAGGAGAAGAATGTGGTTATAAGGAGTAGCTGTCAACCATGTAAAAGGGAGTAGAGTTTAATGTGTAACTATCACAAGCCAGAAAGATGCATATGAGACCCCTTCCCCACCCTCAAAGAGCTCAGTGTCTCATCACCCTTTCTGAGATTTGTAACAGTTCTGGTTCAGCTTGATTTCATTGAACAAATACTTGATGGGTAACTAGTATGTGTTGATGCAAGGGTACAGAAACAGAGGTCTTACCCTCAAAGAGCTTGTAATAAGGGACGATGGTAAAAAGTTGCATGCGTCTGGGGCCTCACCTTCTCTTACACCCTCTCACAGGTTTCCTTCCCATAATAACACGTGTCTGACATCTAATTTCTTGACAAGCCATGAACTGGCCAGAGAGTGAGGCAACCAAAGGGAGAGGCCCCCAGGATTTCCCCAGGATTTTCCACAAGTCAAGAGTGAGCTACTTCCACTATACTAAAAGAAAGAAGAAGAAGAAGAAGAAGAAGAAGAAGAAGAAGAAGAAGAAGAAGAAGAAGAAGAAGAAGAAGAAGAAGAAGAAGAAGAAAAAGAAGAAGAAGAGGAAGAGGAAGAGGAAGAGGAAGAAGAAGAAGGAGAAGGAGAAGGAGAAGGAGAAGGAGAAGAAGAAGGAGAAGGAGAAGGAGAAGAAGAAGAAGAAGAAGAGACAAAAAAGGTGCAAAATATTGTAGTATGTTTTGAATAAAAAAATAAAATTTTGACATAATACACAGGGCTATATAAAAATAAGGCCAAAATGAATCTTGATCTTATGAAAATATTAATTATTTGTTAACTACAAGTAGTAGGGTCTGCTAATGTGATATTCAGTTTGTATGATATATGTTTCTCAGTGCTCTTAGTGTGCCTTTGTGACTGAATGAAGGTCAAAAGTCTACATTCAACAGTCTCTCACCTATCCTGCAACAGGTCACAGAGGCCACCTGGGGAAATATCGATGGGCCAGTCATTGATCTTTGGTCCCATTGGCTCAAGCACTGGGACTAAAGTTTCTGGATAAGGTGACTTCCATGAGACCTTTTTTCCATAGAATCAAAGTCATTTTTAGATCAGGAAGAAACTCTGGAAATAATGAATCCAAAACTCATTTAACAGGTGAGAATATTGAGAGCCATTGACATTAAATTATTTATTTAAAGTAACACTGCTACTGTGTTTTCATTCATCTCTTACCACCTCCCCCACCCCAGCTAAGTTCAACATACAGAATAGATGCACAGCAACTGCATGTTAAGGGTTCAGTTCAGGGTTCAGTGTTCAGGGTTCAGGGTTGAGTGGGTGTGGTCTGGGCAGCACTGCCATCCATGAGCTGCTGACTCATGTTTGGGACACTGAGACTTGATTCTCTCCTACCTCCTTCCAATTCTAAAGAGGATGATAATAATAACAAACCTGTATAGTCTTTGTTCTAAGTACTTTAAAACACATTAACAAATTTATTTCTGTGGGGCAGTTACACTTATTATGCCTACTTTACAGAAGCAAAAACAAAGGCACGTAGTAATCAAGTTACTTCCTTAAGTTTACAAAGCTAGCTGTGGGACAGTTCTGGTAGTTTGGTTGCAATATCCATGTTCTTATCTACTGTGCTACATATTGCCTCTTGAGGTGGAAGTCAAACTTACATGCAAAAGTTAATGAAGTTAAGACTTCTGTCCCTGGGAAATAACCCAGTTTCAACTTCAATATGTATGAAAGAGGCAATACAGTAAAGGGACGGAATGGTGACTTGGACAATGGGAATGGCAGGAAGGAAATGGAATATTTGTTAGATGCCTTCGTGCATCAGGCATTGTTCTAAGTATTTTATGGATATTATCTCATCAATCCTAACACCAAGCCTGAAATACAGATAATTTGCAGGCAAAGAAACAGTCTCAGCTGCTCTGCCTATGGAGTAGCCATTCTTTTCTTTCCTTACTTCTTTCTTGAAAAAAAAAGAAAAGAAAGAAACTGAGGCTCAGAGGGCTTAAGCATACTCAAAGCAGGTCTCTGTATTTCTTGTTGAGTGTTATGAGGATGACAGCTGATAAAACTTGGTGCCTGATGGCGCTACTACCAAAGCTCATACCTCAGGCAAGTTCTAGAGTTCCCTGCATCTGGGACTAGGAGGGTGAGAATTGGGTTCCATCTGGGCTTCTGGATTATTCATTCCCTTCTATCTATATCCATTTTGCTGGAGCTTTCACAGGGCCTCCTAGTCAAAGAGTAGAACCTGAGATGACATCTTGGACCACCCGTGGGAAGAGCCTGGAGAAAAAGCATGTGTTGGATCTAGGATTCCAGCATTGCTGCTGATCAGCCCAAACTAGAAGTGTGTGTCAATCCATCAGGAAGCTTGTAAAATTTTGTTCTGTGGAGTTAGGATTTCCAAGTGGGCCATATTTCCTCTAAGGTGTTGTTTTACTAGCAGATACCAGCTTCAAAGACACAGCTATGGCTCTCCTCTCAGTCTCTCCTGTGTGCTGCACAAACTGAAGGTGGGCCTAGGTAGCTCCCTCACTCTGTAGACTTCGACTGTTGCATGGGTTTACAAAAGGGTTCTATATCACTGCCTTGGTATCTCATATCCCTCCCACCAAGGAGCCCTTGTCCAGACATGTCATCCTTTCTAGCCTCTCTGGTGGACCGATTGTCCCTGAATCACGTTTCTTGAAGGAGTCTCTTTGGGGGATACTTTTACATTTCAAATATTTCCTGAGCACCTGATCACACATGTGAAAAAGATCACATCTCTCTTTGAGTAGTTATTAATCTAGTTGAGGAGGTAAGATATTGCACAACAAAATGTAATCGAGGCTATGTTAAATGCTGTAAGAGGGGCACCGAAGCACTTGAAGACTGGTATATAGGAATAAGCAGGTATGCTGGACATCCTTCATTTGTCTCATCAGATCCACTCTCCATTTTTCCCACCTGGCACCCATGGGCTCTGGTGCCACTGGTTTCCAGTTGGGCCTGGGCAATTTCCAGCATGAGATTGAAGGATGGATGGAGAATGGGTTTGGAATATTTAGTCCCTCGGCCTCCTTCCTGCCTGAGTGCCAAGGGTTTGCTGTGAAGGTCACAGTTCCTCTCTGGTGGCCTTCTCTATAGAGTTGGTCTTGCCAGGTCACAGCTACTGCTTTCTCCTCTTGCTCCTGCAGGCCCATGCATGATAAGGGCTCTTCAGTGTTGTTTGCCCAGAGGCACTGCACTATGCCTTGTTGGGTTTCCTAAACTCTGCTTTCACCTTTGTCCACATTCACTTTGTTAAACATTCATCCAATAATCCAGTTTAAGCCTGTTGCATGCTTCCTGCCAGGACCTGGACCAATAAAGTAGGAATTCAACAAGCTAAGGGGATGCCATGACATGAAGTCCAGAATGGTTGAGCATAAAGTGAGCTGAATATGGGAGACGTAAATGAAAAGGAGCTTGAGGCCAGATCCTGGAAGGACACAAATGCCATGTCAGGATGTCTAGATTTTATCTGTACCTGTGTCCAGTGGGAAACACTGGCAGTTTCTGAATGGGAAAGTAGACTGAATTAAAGTCCATCCCTCACTTTTGGAGAGGTAATTTTGCCATAAGAATGTAAAATGTATTCAGGGGTAAAGGATACCCATGGAGGTGGAAGAATGAGTTAGAAGACAAAAATATGCATATACTCTAACTCAGAAAATTCATTTCTGGGTATTTCTCACACATAATTAAAAACATGCACAAAGATTTAATTGCAATGACAGTCACCGAAGTACCTTTTCAAAAATTAAAAATTATGAACAACCCAAATTTTCACTAACAAGAAAATAAATATTTAGCCTTTCAAACCAATGCCGTAGATGTGGATTTGTTGACTTGGTAAAATTTAGTATTATATGGCTGAATGAAAATAGAGCCTAATATAAATGGCCAATAATTCCAGTATATATATTTGTTTATGTGGAAAAAGCTTAAATGGATATATATTTAATTAGTAATAAGCACATTTTTTAATGAGCATGTATAATTTGTGTAAACAAAAGAAACATTTTGTAATTGTCAAGGTTAGACCTTTTGAGGGCCTTGATTAGCATGAAAACAGTAGGAACTATGCAAGTAGATAAAGGATGTGAGTGACTGAATCACAGTGCCAACTGAGAGAAACTTGGGAGTTTGGATTTAGCACAATGCTTCCTATATCTTGATTAAGGTGAGTAAGGGTGTTATCAATGACTGGGGTAAGGAAAAATGCCCTGGAGACCAACTTGGCAGGCCAGATGGTAGAATCCAGTTACTGAATGCACACAAACAAACCCATTGTGACATCCACAGTTCTCAAGTCCTTAAGTGAACCACGTCCACAAAAGATATCAAGGCATTGCCAATGAGGAATGAAGGCTTAGCCTGGCATTGGATAATAAGTTTTTGAATTGGCTAAAATATCAAATAAAAGATAAATTTTTTCTACTTCAAAAACTTAGCGGCATAGTTATCATCATTGGACTATTGGATCTCAAATTCTATTCTTAGATCGTGATATTCTACCTTCTCACTTCTGTCACTCTGTCTTGTGGTAGGTTCTTCCAACCCACACAAACCACCAGTATCTTCCAGGTCTTCCTAGTTATTCACATACCTATTCATATATGTATGAATTGTCTTTCTCATATGTATATTTATGTGAGATATGGCAAGATTTCTCTTCAAACAGCCTGCTCATCTTCTTATTCTCTAATTCTAAATTACCACCCCTCTTTCTTCTCCTTTTCTTCTTTCTGATTTTACTATATGCCCAGGCATGCCACAGCCCCAGCTCACATTTATTTCCTTATTTGGGAATGGACTGGCGGGCGCTCTAGTCCTCTGTAGATGACCCCTTCCTCCTCTTCCCTCTCTCCCATCATAAGCCCACCTTATCTAAGAAAGTTTAAATATTTAGCCAATCGAGTCTAGTTTAGATTGTGCAGTCTGACTCCAGCCGATGGGGAAAGGACACAGGGGCAGGAGTCATCTTAGGAATAAAAGCTTCTACTCTCCTTTGTTCGGTGTGCTCTCGTGGCAATCAGCCCTACGAGAAGCACCCTTCTGCACCGAAGTAAATTTGCTTTGCTAAAAAATCCTTTGTTTGCTCACTTTTCTTTAAGACTCCGAGTTTTATTTCTAACAATTTACATATCTCTAGATGCATATATATCTATATACATACTAATAGGTAACATCTATGAAGTGCTCACTCTGCTTGTCAAACACTATTCCAAGCACTTTACATGCATTATTCCTTATCATCCTCACTACAACCCAGTGATGTAGTTGCAGGTATTATTTCCATTTTACAGATTAGGAAACTGAGGGGTTAGAAGGCTACATAATTTGCCCAAGACCGTAGAAGGAGTACAGGTAGAGGTGGATTCCAGGCTTTGTCTGACTCTGCTCTCTTAATAACCACAATCACATCTTAATAAAGCATCTAGAAGGTATGTACCAAATTGTTAAATAATTACCAAATGAAGTTGGGGTTACAGGGCAACCTGAACTTCCTATTTTTTTCTGTTTTGTTTAGATGTCTAGCAATATCAATATTACATCTTAACTGGAAAAATGTTTTCAAATTACCATCGATTATGTCATTTTCTTATGACATAATTGATCATGTTGTGATGTACTACTATTGCCATGTGCTAGACTTTGTACTGGATGCAAGAATAAAAATGATGTGGTTCCTGTCCTCAAGGTGCTCACTGTCCAAACTCTATTACATTATCCAGAGGACTTTTTTAGTAACCCCAGCCCTCCTTTCATTCTTATCTTCTGGTTTGTCCTATCCATATGCCTAATGCTCTTGACATGATGGAGAACTTGACATTCCTAAGATGTATTATTCACTTCTAGGCCCCTGAGCCTTTGCTCATGAATTTCCATATTCTGTAGAATGAGTAGGAGTTCATCTGGAAGAACTCCTACTCATGCTTGAAAGCTACTGCCATGGTGAAGTCTTTTCACAAAGTTCTAATCTTGAAAAGTTTTAAATATGTATTTCATACAATCATGAGCATAGTTCAAATAAGTAGCACTGAAGTACAAAAAAGAAAAGCAAGAGTCCCCACCTCAGCCCACCCCAACCCCAACGTCAACCTCAGTCTCAATCTCATTGCCATTCTCCAAATTCTTAATGGTTTCTGCTTTTAGATTTCTGGTGGTGATCTCCATGTTTCCAAAATAACATGCTATCTTATTATTTCCTGGTATATCATCTTAGGCCCTATGTACCTAATTTTTCCTAAGAGAAATGAAGATTTAACTCACATACACACTGGTCTTACCTCCTCCCTGACCTCCTAATAGAGATACGTCTCTATATTCAGCCCTGCATTGCTCTCTCCTCTGTACACCCAGACCATTTCGTCCTGTCAACTACAGACAGTATCTTTTGACTGTCACTTCCTAAAATGAGAACCTTAGTACCCCACCCTTCTCTCCACCTTACTCCTGCTCCTACCCCTTTTTACCTATTGACGTTTACCCTGTGCATTAAAAAAATTAATCATATTTACATTATCTTTTAGAGTCATAGTTATTCTTTGACTTGCCTATAAGGTGAATCTAAAAGCAGAAAACCAATATGCAGCATTTCTGCGACTATGTGAATATTGTTCCCTGTAATCTAGTGGAGGGCTTGACTATGCTTCCTGCTCTGGGTCATTTGGAGAACATTCAGATTTCAGATTTAAATGGGATCTCCTGTTTGAGACACCACTAATAGCTCAAAATCAATCCATTTTAGGTACATCACACTTGCGTCAGGCCTTTCCTGGACATTTTCTCCCTTGAAGATCCTAGTTTTAATTTCAACTTTATATT
Source organism: Homo sapiens (assembly GCF_000001405.40). Taxonomy (NCBI): domain Eukaryota; kingdom Metazoa; phylum Chordata; class Mammalia; order Primates; family Hominidae; genus Homo; species Homo sapiens. The sequence continues at coordinate 46,738,076 of NC_000006.12, read as the reverse complement.
TTAGATGGAAATAATTTAACCATAATTTTTTTTCTTTGCATTCTGTCACCTTCTAACAACCTCGAGGGCTTCCAAGTTCCTAGTCATGCTTTCAATTGTATTGAACCCTATTTTTCCCTCCAGACTTCCTACTGCAATCAGGATGGGTTGCTTCCTAGCCTCCACACTGCTGCCATTCTGGGACCTCTCCTGCTTATCTCGGTTGGAGCCACTTTTCTTTGGGTCCCAGACAGTGAGGTGTCCTTGACTCCCACATCTTTCTCAGGATAATTAAATAACTCACCTTGCTGAACTCCCACAGTCCTCTGTATTTGCCTAATAGGGTAGCACTTTTTGTTGTTATTTCCTTATCCTCCAGGGAAGGACTGTGTCTTATTCATCCTTGAAATGGTACCTGACATACAGCTGGCCCTCACCTCAGTAAACACTATTCAAATTTAAAAAAAAACGTTGAGCGCATGGCAAGGCACAGTGGCTCACACCTGTAACCCTGGCACTTTGAGAGGCTGAGGCAGGAAGATCGCTTGAGCCTAGGAGTTCAAGACCAACCTGGGCAACATAGTGAGACACTGTCTCTACAAAAAATAAAAATAAAAAATTTAGCCAGGTGTGGTGATATGTGTCTGTGATCCTAGCTACTTGGGAAGCTGAGGTAGGAGGATTGCTTGAGCCTGGGAGGTAAAGGCGGCAGTGAGCTGTGATCATGCCACTGCACTTCAGCCTGAGTGACAGAGTGAGACCATATCTCCAGAAAAGAAAAAAAAAAGAAAGAAAGAAAAGAAAAGAAAAAGAAATTGAGCACATTATTACAATTTAATATCTTGATTGAAGGGAAGAGGTGAGACATCAGTTTCATTCATATTAAAGAGGAAATAGGTACTGTTATGTCAATGGGAAATGAGAGGAGGAATTAAATGTAGGAAACAGAATAACAAAGAACCAACTCATAAAAAACTAAAACAACCCATATCAGACACACCTTATAATCTGTATGTCTGTGTTGACTTATCCTCTTGGAATGTGAGGAATATTCTTTATTAATTTTACTTACTGGGTTGCCAGATATAATACAGGAAGCCCAGTTAAATCTGAATTTCAGATAAACAACAAATAACTTTTTAGTATATGTCCCAAATATTGCATGGGGCATATTTATACTAAAAAACTATTTATTGTTTATCTGACATTCAAATTTCACCAGATGTTCTGCATTTTTATTTGCTAAATCTGGGCACTCTTCACTGGGCATCTTCTCAGGGCACTAACCTGCCAAATGCCAACTGCTGTGGGGCTGCTCAGAGAATATGACCTAATGACAATGGGAGATGACATGTTGCTGGCAATGAGAGAAGTGAATAAAATGTTGCATACTTGTTTTCAGGAGCTGTTCTCAAAGCTTACCACCTTTTTAGTGTGGGATTAGGTCTTCAACTTCAACTTTGTCTTCACCTTTGTCTTAAGGTCAAAAGAAGACGTTAGAGATGTCTTTGGTAGGGCATAATGTATCCTTTTAGATTGATATTTGTGGGCCATTTGTTTTACAGGGGGTTAGTCCAGGAAGTACAAGACAATGTCATTAGGCGGATAGAGTTCCATTTAAATTAAAAATAAAATCTATTGTTAGGTTTAAATGAGTCACTGCTTCATTAAGCTATCAATATTAGATAACACATATTGAATGAATGTTTCCCATAGGCCAAGCTCTGTCCCAAGCATTTCACATGTATTTGCATTTCGTGCTCACAAACTGCCTCTGACTGACTGATTTTGATTTTCTTGATTTTATGGATGAGGAGACCGAGAAGCAGAGATGATGAACTTCCCCAAGGTCACACCACTCATAAGTGGGAGAAACAAGCTAAAATTCAGGCCATCTTACTGCAGAATACTCAAAATCAAAATAAGCAAAATTTCATCTCCAGTTCTGGCACCTCACCAAAAACCAAAACACGATTTAAAAATATAAAATTTTAATAACACCACACATAAATTTCAAACTACTTTCCCTAAGTTTCTAGCTGAAGTTTTAAATGAGTGTGTTTTTAATTTATTAGAAAGTGGATTGAAGAGAAAACATTGGAAGATGAAGGAAGGCGTTTCAGTTAAACCCCAAATAACTCTGTGTTACACTGAGCTATGAAACGGCTCCTTCTAGCTCCATTTCTCCTCAGACCTAAGTGCTATTCCTGATTGTCCTTCATTGTCATTTCCAGGGAGAAATGACACCAGCACAGTGGCAGGCCTTCCAATCTGGAGCACGGTCCACACAACTTCCGAATTGGTGTTCAGTGTAAAGTGTATCGGAGTGCGGAAAATGCGCAGGGCATTGCCAACTATAGATGCTCGGAGTAATTCAGTGTATTCAGAGAACACGGTGAAACAAGGAAAACCGGCCTGACTGGGGGGTGAATTCAGCAGGGAGTAAATCTGATCGGCATCAGGTCTGCGGAAAGGAGCTGGTGAGCACGACACCACCCAGGCATTGCCTGGCTCTCTCCGCGGCGGGCTAAGTTAACCGCGGGTCCAGGTGCGGGCCATGGTCTTGGGGAGGGTGCTGGGTGCGCTCGAGCAGGCTAGCGTCGGGAGCCGCCGCTGCTAGTGAGAGGCCGGGGCCACACACGCTCCTCCCCGGTACCTCCTCCAGCATCACCAGGGGAGGAGAGGGTCGGGGCCACAAGGCCGCGCTAGGCGGACCCAGGACACAGCCCGCGCGCAGCCCACCCGCCCGCCGCCTGCCAGAGCTGCTCGGCCCGCAGCCAGGGGGACAGCGGCTGGTCGGAGGCTCGCAGTGCTGTCGGCGAGAAGCAGTCGGGTTTGGAGCGCTTGGGTCGCGTTGGTGCGCGGTGGAACGCGCCCAGGGACCCCAGTTCCCGCGAGCAGCTCCGCGCCGCGCCTGAGTGAGGAGGGGCCCCGGGGGCGAGGCGGGAGTGGGAGGAAGGGCACGGTCGCCGCGCTGGAGGTCGGGACCCCGGAGCGGCGACCGGCCGGGGTGGGCTCGCTGAGTCGCACCCGCTCTGCTGGCCGGTCCTGGGCTCACAGTCCCTGCAGCCCTCGGAAACAGCGCTAGGATCCTTGCGGGGAGAGGGAGAGGATGACGGTATTAGACACCAGTTCTTCCAAACCTTTTCCCGAAAGGAAGCAACCCTAAGAGCTCAGAGCTGGGGGGAGAATCAGGACAGGCAGGGAACACATGGAGTTTTCTTTTCTTTTTTTTCTCTCTCTCTCTCTTTCTTTCGTTCCTTCTTTCTTTCTTTTGAGGCGGAGTCTCATTTTGTCGCCAGGCTGGAGTGCAGAGGCGCGATCTCGACTCACTGCAACCTCTGTCTCCCGGGTTCAAGCAATTCTCCTGCCTCAACTTCCCGAGTAGCTGGGACTGCTGGCGTGCCGTATCACGCTCGGCTAATTTTTTTGAATTTTTAGTAGAGACGGGGTTTCGCTGTGTTCGCCACAATGGTCTCGATCTCCTGACCTCGTGATTCGCCCGCCTCCGCCTCCCAAAATGCTGGGATTACAGGCATGAGCCACCGCGCCCGCCCCGGAGTTTTCTTATCTGTAGATCTCCTACAGGGACAATCTCTCTCTCCGTCTCTCTCTCTCTCTCTCTCTCTCTCTCTCTCTCTCTCTCTCTCTCTCTCTCTCTCTCTCTCTCTCTCTCTCTCTCACACACACACACACCACTACACACCTCTCACTCTGCCTCCTCTCTCTCTCTCCCTCCGCTCTCTCTCTCACACACCCTTCTCCCTCTCTCCCTCTCTCTCACTCTCCCTTTGAGGAGTATTGCGTTTTTGGAGCCCAGTTATGCGTGGCTGCTGTAAGAACAAAACAAAGCACTCTTTGTCCTACCTGGAGCATCCCCCTGCCGGCCAGATAAGATCACAGCTGTGTCACCAAGTCAAGGGAGAGGCTCATTTTTAAAAAATTAAGCAAAATCAGAAAACAGAGAACACTGTCTTCCTCATCATCTCCTGGAGCTTGTAAGAGAAATTTCTGTCACCAAAAACGAAAAGTTCGGGCTTTTATTCATGCCTGTGGTTCTTGGGATTACTGCAGTGGTGATGAGGAAGGAGAGGTGCGTATGGCTCATAAATGGCAGCTTGCCACCTTTAAAAGGCACACGGATTCAGATTTGGGATGTGTTAACAAATCAGGCTTGCACAAATTACTTTTGATCCAAATGAGAATGCTGAGCTGGGAGACTGGTATATGGGTAGGAGCTGGAAAATGTATCCCCTGAGGTGTTGGCAATCCCAAGAGGCTCAGCACGAAACCTTGAGCTTACATTGAATTCAGAGATCTGAGCATTAAGCACTGGCCTGATCAAGAAGAAGCAGATGGCCTTCTGGTCACGAGGCACTGGTGAGCCTCCATCACCCAGGCAGATTCCCTCACAGAGGAATTCTGCTGGCCCTGCAGAAAGTGGTGAGACAGCGCACCACCTTGGCATTTTCCAGCAGGCCTACTTCAGCTCCTTGCACTTGGGCACTGAAAGTGCTTTCCCCTCCCCAGATATTTGTGCACCAGAAGCTGCTGCTGGCCATGTGGTGATGTCTCAATGTCTTTCTTCATTGAACTGGGCCCTTCATACCCAAGGCTGGCACCATAGTCTGTGACTGCCTACTGTACAGCCAGCAAGACTGAAGGAGTTGCAGCATTAGGAGTGTTGTGAATCTGGTTCAGCCACTCATTTTACAGTTGAGAAATCCCTTCTGAGGTGTGGAAGGGCTTGCTTAGCACCGCAGGACTTTTCCCTCAGACAGAACCTGGGACAGCTGGGTCCTCATTTCCTCTCCATTGTGTCTCTGTCCCCTTTGCACTTTTGTTGTGAGGAACATACATGGGCCTAAACACATTCCCTCACTCTCACCTTTGCACATGAATATGACTTACCACACTCTTTGAAGCTCTGTCAGCACAGAACATTAAGAAAAGTGCTAACTGGGTACCTGAGCAGCTGGAGTGGGAGCCCCTGGGAAAGTCAGTTTAGGAGTCCCCTTTATCTTCCTTTTCCTGATACCCAAGAAGATGGCTATTTCCTGGAAAGGAAGGTGGATATTGGATTATTTACACTCTGATTCCTCTTAAGCCTAATTTTTTTTCAAGATTCGTGATAATAAGCCTGACTGACGTCTCAAGATGTTGAGAAATTTCCATAAAATAAAAGCATTGAAGAGAAAGTACTGAGTGAAGGGAAATTGAAGAGAAACATTCAGTTCTAAAATTGTATTGTTTCAGAATATGATTCTGGGTTCTTACTGACTTTCTTCATGACGCCAGCCACCTGTTAGACACATTATGTGCCCTCACTGTCATTTTGCTCAATTTTATGGGCGTGACTCAACACTAACAGAAACAGGCTAATACATACAAACATGTAGGTTTTTGGTTTTTAAAGAAACTTAGCAGTTGAGGAGAAATAAAAAGTCTATTGTAAGAGTAGATGCTCATTGAATTAAGTGGGCTAGTTGATTCCTAGTAGAACTTGTATTCATTCATTCATTCACTTCAAAAAATATTTATTGATCAGATCCTAAGTGCCAGGTACTGAGTACAGCACAGTTAGTAAGATAGATATGCTCTCTGCTCTCACAGTGCTCACATTCTAGAATTGAGGGATGAACAGGGTGAATTCATATAATGAGAAGAAAAGCAAGCAGATTGCTGCAGTATAGTGGTGTGTGTGTGTGTGTGTGTGTGTGTGTGTGTGTATGTGTGTGTTGGATATATGGGAGGGGCCTAGCTTCTTGGATTGGATTGTGAGGAGAGACTTCTCTGCAAGAAGGCCTGGAGATGAAACCTCAGGAAGATGGGCAGACGTCCCTGCAGAGGGAACCACAAGCACAAATGTCCTGCTCCTGGGAACAGGTGTGATGTGTTGGAGGCACAGTTGGAATGCCAGTGTGGCTGGAGTTAGGTGAGGGAGAAGGAGAGTTGGAGGAGTGAGCTTTAGGGGCAGGAGCCAGGTCAGGAAGACCCTCATAGGCCAAGGGAAACATTTGGATTTTACTCTTTACAATGAGAGAAGCCAAAAGAGAGTTTGAAGCAGAGATGTGACATAATTGATTTACTTTATAAAGAGATGACTCTGGGTGCTATGTGGAGAATGGATTACAGGGGAAGGAGAGGGGACAGAAGAAGGCCAGAAGCGAGTTTACTGATGGGGGGTGGTAGCAGTAGATGGGCGTAGGCTATTTTTTGGAGTTACAGTGGGAAGTTAATGTTTCTCTGTCTCGAATTTCCCATCTACAAAATGGGAATGAGATTGCTATACCTGGTCCACTTGTAAAAACTAATAAACAAATGAATATGCCCTGAAGCATAATGTAAGACATTATTACCATTATTATTTGCTCATATTGTATTACTTTGAATTCCCTGTGCTTTATCTTAAAATTTATTTTAATAAATTTGATGTCTTATTATATTATTTTCAGTAAACCTAATTTATTATACATAAAAGTATCTTTCTCTGTTCGGAGAACTGGAAACTCTTAACTAAGAGTTACCAATAAAAACAAGTCGTCACAAAATGCAGGGAAATTATTGCTAAAATAATAGCTGGCTTAATTTCAAAAGTTGAATATGGTCAGATAAAAATTCAAAAATAGAATAATTAAAGCTGGGAATGGGAAAAAAATATTTTGGACAGATTTGCCTTTGTCCTGGCTGTGGTCATGCAGATATCTGTGAGTGCAAAGATTTGTAGATAACTGAAAATATCTATATGGCAGCAGAATTTCTGGAGAAGTCTGTGGACCAGAGTTGGGTAGGGTTGTTTCCCTTAGTGAAGCATTCTCTCTCAGAGGAAGCTCTTGAATTTTCTCTCGTTTATCACTAAGTTTTAGAGTGTCAGGAAGTTTTAAAGTTGTTTACCAACTAGGATAGTGACGTTCTTCGCAGAGACAGGACAAGTAACTGCCACAATAAGGCAACTCTATTTCTCTTTCCTGACTCACTCTGATGTGCAAGTTACTAGAAGGAGATATGCCTGCTTAGAGGAAAAAAAGCTCTTCCTCATTTGTATTGTGGGCAGCAGAAATGTCAGCTCGTGACTTAATAGTCCCTAGGTCATGTTAACTTGCCAGATCCCCTTAATTATTTATTGGTCAGTGTGTCTGAATTTCAGCTTGAAGTGGCTAGTCTGGTGATTCAAATTGCAGACAAAATGTGATAGTAATTCTGGGATCTGTATGATTTATCTCTTGCCATATCAACCACCATATTTTTCTTAGGGCTGGAGAGTGGGGGTGTTTGGGTATCTTAAAGGGAGAGGTTACATCTCTCCTTGAAGCCAGAAATCTATTTGTTTCACTCACGTTTTGAAAGGTTGAATTAGTTGCTCCTTTAAAAATCAGTGGATATTACATACAAATGTAATTTTCCAGTTTTTCTTGGAAGCAATCAGATGATCTAGTGACATGGAGCTGCCATTCCTACATGGAAGCAATTAACTGGAATAGAGTGGTAGTTGCCTTCTTTGGATGGTCCAGTTTGCACCATCCAAATAGAATAAGGACAGTTCACGCCAGTCCTTATTCTATTGCATGAACCTGTTTGATTCATTTAAATTACCTGTCTGGCCCTTGTAGACTTTTGATTTTTAACTTCAGGTTTAGGGCAATCAAGTGTAACCTGTCTGTTATACTTTCACCTTCATGTAATGCAGGAATCTATATTCCAGTATCCCTGCTGGTAGTCCCCAAACCTGTACTTTAACTGCTCCTCTGATAAAGAAGATAATGCTAATTGTTGAAAAGCTACTGTTGATGGAGCTGTACAGTCTGGGCCTACATAGAACATGTTTAGGAACTTTGCACAGGACTGTGGCTGTCACATGCAACCTAGGTTTTCCACATTAAAAGTAAACATTCCTCATTCCTTCAACAGCTCCTCATGTGACTTGCTGCCTTGTTCCCTCATCATTCTGGTTATTTTTGGGTTACTGTCCCTTGTCCTGAACCTTTATTTGTTAAAATCCTTAAATCCCCACCAATTCAATAAGATGTGGTCTAACTGGTGCAGAATGCAGTGGGAGGGTGGCCTCCCTTTCTCTATGATGTCATACTTTTGTCATGCAACTGAAGATGTCTTTAGATTTTTCCTGGCCTATCCATTGTGTTTTTAAATTTACTTTCAGGGCTTATTTTCCAGTTAGATTGTTCCTGAGAGTTTACAGGAGAACTGCTCAATGTACAGCTTGAGAGCAATGGTTTTCAGCTGAGGATGATTTATGCCCCCACTCCAGGGGACATCTGGCAATGTCTGGAGACGTAATATTTAGTTGCCACAACTGGGGTGTGCTATTGGCATCTAGTGGGTAGAGGCCAGGGATGTTGCTAAACACCCTGCAATGCACAGGACAGCCCCCACAGCCAAGACTTATCAGCCCCTAGTGTCAGCAGTGCTGAGCTTAAGAATTCCTACTTTAGGGTCCGGGTCTAGGTTCAGATCCTGGTTTAGCTACTTCCTATCCTTGTGAACTTGGGCACGTTATTTAACCTCTTTGTCTTCATTATCTCAACTGTATGTCAAAGAACTCTGAGGACTAAATGAGTTCATTTATATGAAATGCTTAGAAGGGTAACTGTATGTACAAACACTATCTTATTTTTCTACCATATTTTATTCATTTTGGTGTGTACATATGACATCAGATAAGTGGGTGGGTAAAGTTTGAGGGATAGCACTTCATTTCTAATCTTGCCTATGGGATGGGCACTAGTGCATTTGGATGTTTTAGGGAGCTAACAGCTTTTCTCAGAAATGCCTTCTCTCTATGGTCCCCATTATCATTTTTCCGGCTTCTTTTAGTATTTTCCTCCATATTGGGGCATATATGTCAGTTTAATACTGCATCCTCCTGGAGAATATGGACACTGAGTTCCTTTAGCGGGAGAGCATCTGTGCCTGTTGCTTGTACATCCCATTTCCGGTGTGCCCCAGGCTCCTCCACACCCCAGTCACCGTGGCTTGCACCTGCACAACAGATTCCTGGGGCTGTGTAGCAATTGGTAGACTTTGGATAATAATAATAGCATTTCTCCAAGGGCTCACATCCCCATAAGAACCCCATTATCAGGGTTCCTCTTTGACAGATGAGGAGAGAAAAGCAGAAAGTAGGTAAGAACTTAACTGAAGTCACCAAACTAGTAAGTAGCAGATTCAAGATTCAAACCTTGGCAGCCAGAAACTGGAGCTAAATTTCTAAACCACTTTATTACTCTGATACAGGTAAGTTTTCTCAAGAAGTATACCCATGACCTTAACCTAACCATCATGTAGCCATTTATGCATACAACACTCAACAGATCCAGTTACTCTTACTCTTACTATTGTGAGTAATATAGTTGGGGGACTGAGTCTGAGAGTAAGATCAGGAACTTACAGTATAGCAGCAGGCTGCCCATTGATCTTAGACAACTTTTACCTTTTATGACCTTTAAGCCATATAGAACACCAAACATTTGGACATTTGCACATGGGATGCAGATTAATTCCCATTTCCAAAATTGTGAGTAGAATCAACTAATTATATGTTACTTGCAGGTTTTGCATCTCATGCATCTGCCTCCCTAGAATGAAATAAATATTTCTTCCTTATTAAACAAGGATAGAGTTGCCCCAGCATTTTCTTAGACCAGGGTTTCTCAACCTCAGCATTATTGACATTTTGAGATTCCTCTATGTTGTAGGGCTGTCCTGTGCACTACAGGATGCTTAACAGCATCCCTGACTGCTACTCACTAGATGCCAGTAGCAGCCCCCTCCTGGTTGTGGCAACCAAAAATATCTCCAGACATTAATAAGTGTCTTCTTGGGGGGCAAAAATGCCTTAGTTGAGAGACACTGCTGTAGAGTGATGTTCTAGCTGCATTCTCCAGCCTTCATCCTATTGTAAAATATCCAAAGAAGATTTTATCTTCTTCAGCAATCATTTGGTGTGGTAATGGGTCAGTTTTGAGGTATTTAAGCCACTTTCTTTGACTTTAGTTGAAACTGAATTGGGCTATTATTTGCTTTTTGTCTCATTCAGTTACTTTATATGCTCCATATTAGTTTTCTATTGCTGCTGTAAAAATTTTCTACAAATTTAGTCACTTAAAGCAACATAATTTATTATCTCATGGTTCTGAAAGTCAGAAGTCTGACATGGCCTTACTAGGCTAAAATAACAGGTTCAGTGAACCTTCAGAGGTCAGCTAGTCTGTGTTGCTTTCCTGAGGCTCTAGAGAGAATCTGTCTCCTTACCTTTCCAAGATTCTAGAGGCCATCCACATGTTATAGCTCATGCCCGCTTCCTTCATTTTCAAAACCAGCCATGGTGGGTTGAGTTCTCACATCACATCATTCAGATCTCTTCTTCTGCCATCCTCTTATACTTTTAAGGACTCTTGTGATTACATTGGGTCAGATAATCCATGATAATCTCCCTATTTTAAGGTCAACTGATTAACATTAATTCCATTTGCATCTTAATTCTTTTTTGCCATGGAACATTACATATTCACATGTTCTGGGGTTTAGAATATGGACATTTGGGTGGGAGTGCATTATTCAACCTGCCACATGCCCCCATTCCAAAGGTCAATCAGGAAGAATTTGGAAAGAGAGTACTGATACTTAACAAATGAGCATTTTCTTTTCTGACTCTTTACTAATAACACAAGAGCTAAGGCCCACCTGCCCTAATCTCTTGCCAGGACTGGGTTTTACTTGGATGGTTTATCTGTCAGCTTTTCACAGAGATTTCAAACTCGAGATTGGACATTTTATCTATTGTTTTGGGTTGTCTTTTGTTTCGAAAAGGGAAATGATGCCTGATGAGAATTTAACAGTGACAAATAGGGGAAATCGGGATTTGTGGCAGTTATGGTTGTGTATGGAGACTACAACTGAGATCTGAAGAACAGGTAGGGCACTGTGGTTTCAGTGGGAGAAATGAAGTCTGCAGGAGAGAGGCAGAAAGGTAGAATCCGTTTAAATGGAATGTATTATCTGAGTGCTCATTGAAAGTCTTCTTGATTGCCAGGATGATATTTTATCTAGTGGTCAAGGGGCCAAATTGAAGATAGTTATTTTCAGGCCTTACTATTTGAAGAAAATCATTGATTTTTAAAGTGAACATTCCCATTGATTTAGAATGTTGGTGGCTCATGCCTGTAATCCCAGCACTTTGAGAGGTAGAGGTGAGCGGATCACATGAGGTCAGGAGTTCATAAGCAGCCTGGCCAACATGGAGAAACCTTGTCTCTACTAAAAATACAAAAATTAGCCAGGCATTATGGTGGGTGCCTGTAATCCCAGCTACTCAGAAGGCTGAGGCAGGAGAATCACTTGAACCTGGAAGGCGGAGGTTGCAGTGAGCTGAGGTGGTGCTATTGCATTCCTAGGTGACAGAGTGAGACTCCAT